>NC_000003.12:155220725-155523755 GCF_000001405.40 Homo sapiens
CCTATTTCATAACTAGTGCTGGGAGAACAGGCTAGCCATATGCAGAAAACTGAAACTAGACACCACTTCCTTATCCCTTATACAAAAATTAACTCAAGATCGATTAAAGACTTAAATGTAAAACCCCCCAAAATCCTAGAAGAATATCTAGGCAATACCATTCAGGACATAGGCAGGGGAAAGATTTGTCAAAGATCAGATGGACGTAGATGTGTAGTCTTATTTCTGAGATCTCTATTCTGTTCCATTGGTCTGTGTCTGTTTTGTACCAGTACCATGCTGTTTTGGTAACTGTAGCCTTGTAGTATAATTTGAAGTCAAGTAGTATGATGCCTCCAGTTTTGGTCTTTTTGCTTAGGATTGTCTTGGCTATACTGGCTCTTTTTTGGTTCCATATGAATTTCAAAATAGTTTTTCCTAATTCTGTGAAGAATGTTAATGGTAGTTTAATGGGAATAGCATTGAATCTTATAAATTACTTTGGTCAGTATGGCTGTTTTCATATTGATTTTTCCTATCCATGAGCATGGAATGTTTTCTGTTTGTTAGTGTCGTCTCCTATTTCCTTGAGCAGTGGTTTGTATTTCTTCTTGAAGAGCTCCTTCACTTCCCTTGTTAGCTGTATTCCTAGGTATTTTATTCTCTTTATAGGAATTGTGAATGGGAGTTCCTTCATGATTTCGTTCTCTGCTTGCCTATTATTGGTGTATAGAAATGCTTGTGATTTTTGTACATTGATTTTGTATCCTGAGACTTTGCTGAAGTTGCTTATCAGCTTAAGAAGCTTTTGGGCTGAGATGATGAGGTTTTCTAGATATAGGATTATGTCATCTGAAAAGAGAGACAGTTTGACTTCCTCTCTTCCTATTTGAATACATTTATTTCTTTCTCTTGCCTGATTGACCTGGCCAGAATTTCCAATAATATGTTGAATAGGAGTGGTGAGAGAGGGCATCCTTGTCTTGTGCTGGTTTTCAAGGGGAATGCTTCCAGTTTTTACCCATTCAGTATGATATTGGGTATGGGTTTGTCATAAATGGCTCTTATTGTTTTGAGTTATGATCCTTCAATACCTAGTTTATTCAGAGTTTTTAACATGAAGGGGTGTTGAATTTTATCGAAAGCCTTTTCTGTGCCTATTGAGATAACATGTGATTTTTGTCTTTAGTTCCATTTATGTGATGAATTACATTTATTGATTTGTGTATATTGAACCAGCCTTGCATCCTGGCGATGAAGCTGACTTGATTGTGGTGGATAAGCAGTTTTTTTGTTTATTTGTTTGTCGTATGTGTGTGTGTGCTGCTGCTGAATTTGGTTTGCCAGTATTTTATTATTTTATTGAGGATTTTTGCATTGATGTTCATCAGGGACATTGACCTGAAGTTTTCCTTTTTTGTTGTATCTCTGCCAGGTTTTGGTATCAGGATGATGCTGGCCTCATAAAATGAGTTACAGAGAAGTCCATTCTTTTCAACTGTTTGGAATAGTTTCAGAAGGAATGGTACCAGCTCCTCTTTGTACCTCTGAAAGAATTCAGCTGTAAATCTGTCTGGTCCTGGTCTTTTTTTTTTTTTGGTTGGTAGGCTATATATTACTGTCTCCACTTCAGAACTTGTTATTGGTCTATTCAGGGATTCAGCTTCTTCCTGGTTCAGTCTTGGGCGGGTATATGTGTCCAGGAATTTATCCTTTTCTTCTAGCTTTCCTAGTTTAATTGCATAGGGGTGTTTATAGTATTCTCTGATGGTCGTTTGTATTTCTGAGGGGTCACTGGTGATATCCCCTTTATCACTTTTTATTGTGTCTATTTGACTCTTCTCTCTTTTCTTCTTTGTTAGTCTAGCTAGTGGTCTATTTTGTTAATTTTTTCAAAAAAACCAGCTCCCGGATTCATTGACTTTTTTTTAAGGTTTTTTTGTGTCTCTATATCCTTCAGTTCTGCTCTGATCTTGCTTATTTCTTGTCATATGCTAGCTTTGGGGTTTGTTTGCCCTTGGTTCTTTAGTTCCTTTATTAACAGTTGTGATGTTAGGGTGTCAATTTGCTATCTTTCTAGCTTTTTGATGTGGACATTTAGTGCTATAAATTAACTCTGCTTTAGCTGTGTCCCAAGAGATTCTGATACGTTGTCTCTTTGTTCTCATTGGTTTCAAAGAACTTCTTGATTTCTGTCTTAATTTCATTATTTACCCAGGAGTCATTCAGGAGCAGGTTGTTCAACTTCCATCTAGCTGTGTAGTTTTGAGTGAGTTTCTTAATCTTGAATTCTAGTTTGATTGTGCTGTGGTCTGAAAGACTGTTTGTTATGATATCAGTTCTTTTGCATTTGCTGAAGAGTGTTTTACTTCTAATTATGTGATTGATTTTAGAGTAAGCGCGATGTGCTGCTGAGAAGAATGTATATCTATTGTTTTGTGGTGGAGAGTTCTGTAGATATATATGAGGTCCACTTAATCCAGAGCTGAGTTCAAGTCCTGAATATCCTTGTTAATTTTCTGTCTTGATGATCTGTCTAATATTGACAGTGGGGTCTTACAGTCTCCCACTATTATTGTGTGGGAGTCTAAGCCTCTAAGTCTCTAAGAACTTGTTTTATGAATCCAGGTGCTCCTGTATTGGGTACATATATATTTAGGAAAGTTAGCTCTTCTTGTTAAATTGATCCCTTTACCTTTATGTAATGCCCTTCTTTGTCTTTTTTCATCTTTGTTGGTTTAAAGTCTGTTTTATCAGAAAGTACAATTGCAACCCCTGCTTTTTTCTGCTTTCCATTTGCTTGGTGGATTTTCCTCAATCCCTTTATTTTGAGCCTATGTGTGTTTTTGCATGTGAGATGGGTCTCTTGAATACAGCACACTGATGGATAGAGTCTTAACTCTATCCAGCTTGCCATTCTGTGTCTTTTAATTGGGGCATTTAGCCCATTTACATTTAAGATTAATATTACGTATGAATTTCATTCTGTCATCATGTGCTGGCTGTTTATTTTGCAGACGTGTTGATGTAGTTGCTTCATAGTGTCATTGGTATTTGTACCTCAGTGTGTTTTTGCAGTGGCTGGTAATGGTTTTTCCTTTCCACATTTAGTGCTTCCTTCAGGAGCTCTTGCAAGGCAGGCCTGGTGGTGATGAATTCCCTCAGCATTTGCTTGTCTGAAAGGGATTTTATTTCTCCTTCACTTATAAAGCTTAGTTTGGCTAGATATAAAATTCTAGGTTGAACATTCTTTTCTTTAAGAATGTTGAATATTGGCCCCCAAACTCTTCTGGCTTGTAGGGTTTCCACTGAGAGGTCTGCTGCTAGTCTGATGGGCTTCCCTTTGTAGGTGACCTGGCCTTTTTCTCTGGCTGCCCCTAACATTTTTCCCTTCATTTCGACCTTGGAGAATCTGAGAATTTTTGTCTTGGGGTTGATCTTCTCATGATGTATCTTACTGGGGTTCTCTGGACTTCCTGAATTTGAATGTTGGCCTGTCTTGTTAGCTTGGGAAGTTCTCCTGGATGATATCCTGAAGTTAATTTTCCAACTTGGTTCCATTCTTCCTGTCTTCTCATCTCTTTCAGGTACCCCAATCAGTCATACATTCAGTCTTATTTACATAATCCCATAGTCCTTGGAGGTTTTGTTCATTCCTTTTTCTTATTTTTTCTCTGATCTTGTCTGCCTTTCTTATTTCAGCAAGATAGTCTTTGGGCTCTGAAATTCTTTCCTCTGCTTGATCTATGCAGTTATTGATACTTGTGGTTGCATTGTGAAGTTCCTGTGTTGTGTTTTTCAGCTCCATCAGGTAATTTATGTTTCTCTCTAAACTCGTTATTCTGGTTAACAGCTCCTGTAATGTTTTATTGTGGTTCTTAGCTTCTTTGCATTGGGTTAGAACATGCTCCTTTAGCTTAGCAAAGTTCATTATTACTCACTTTCTGAAGCCTACTTCTGTCAATTCATCCATTTGAGCCTCCACCCAGTTCTGTGCCCCTGCTGGAGAGATGTTGTGATCGTTTGGAGGAAAAGAGGCACTCTGGCTTTTTGAGTTTTCAGCATTTTTTTGTTGATTCTTTTACATTCATCGAAAGTTTCCCCAGCTTCGATCTTTGAGGCTGCTGATCTTTGGATGGAGTTTTTGTGGGGATTATTTTATTGATGCTGTTGTTGTTGCTTTCTGTTTTTTTTTTACTTTTAAGTCGGGGCCCTCTTCCCTAGGACTGCTGCGGTTTGCTGGGGGTCCACTCCAGACCCTATTCACCTGGGTCCCTCCTGCACCTGGAGGTGTCACCAGTAGAGACTGCAGAACAGCAAAGATGGCTGCCTGCTTTTCCCTCTGGGATCTCTGTCCCAGAACAGCACCAACCTGATGATAGCAGGAATGCTCCTGTATAAGGTGTCTGGCCTTCCCTGTTGGGGGGCTCTCACCCAGTCAGGAGGCACAGGATCTAGGACTTGCTTAATGAAGCACTCTGGCTGCCCCTTGGCAGACAGTGTGCGCTGCACTGGGGGCAATTCCACTTGTCCAAACTGCCTGGATTCCTCAGAGCCAGCAGGGGGAAAAGCTAAGTTTGCTGATGCATGGAGACTGCAGCTGCTCCTTTCCCCAGGGGCTCAGTCCCAGGGACATCAGAGTTCTGTCCCTAAAACTCGGGCTGGAGTTGCTGAAACTCCTGCAGGGATGCCCTGCCCAGTGAGGAGGGATGGGTCAGGGTCTGGCCTAAAGAGGTAGTCTGGCCATGATCTGCCACAGCTACTGAGCTGCACTGTGAGGAATTCCTCCTGGTTCTAAACCACCCAGTATCCCTGGGACCGGCAGGGGATAAATGGCAGATTGGAGCTGCAATGATGGCTGCCACCCCTCCCCTGGGGAGCTCAGTTGTCTTAGGCAGCAGGCAGCCACAGTGATGATGGCGGCCCCAACCCCCGGGACCTCAGTAGTCTTAGGCAGTCTCCAACCAAGTGGCCACTGAGAATCTGCACAGCTCTGTGCTTGGGACGCAAGGCCCTGGTGGCTTGGGCTCACGAGGGGGATTCCTGATCTGCAAGTTGCACAGATCTGTGGAAAAAGCATGGTTTCCCAGGCAGGGTAGCATGATCACTCACCACCTCCCTTGGCTGAGGGTGGGAGCTCCCTTGTCCCATGTGATTCCTAGGTGGACCGTGGCACCACCCTGCTTTTCCTCACTCTTCTTGGCTTGTGCCAACTGCCTAGTCAGTCGCAATGAGAGAACCTTGATACCTCAGTTATCAGTGCAGAATTCACTCGCCGTTTTCATTCTTCTCAGAGGGAGCTTCCAACCACAGCTGTTTCTATTCGGCCATCTTGGCCTCTCCCTGAATAAACATCTTTTCATACATTTTAAGGGCCATTTATATTTATTTTTTCTATATCTGTTCATTTATTTTGTTAATTTTTAAAAATTATATATACTTTTTAATTTAAAGAAGCTCTATACACATTAGGGTTATTAATTCTCATTTATAAATAAATAGGATTTTTCCCCAGTTTGTTCTTTGTTTTTTAAACATATTTCTGGTGAGTTTTTTTTTGGGGGGGGGATCATACAGAGATTTTTGGGTTTTACTTAGTTTATCTTTCATGGCATCTGAAATTTGAGTCATGGGAAGACCTTTCTTGTTCAAGTCTTATAACCTATTTAATGTTCTTTCAGTAATTATATGGTTTCATTTTTTTATACTTAAATATTTGATCCATTTAAAATTTATACCAGTAGACAATGTGAGAGATTAAACTTATTTTTTTCCAGTTAGTTACACAATTATATCAATACCTATTACTGAGAAGTCCATATTTTTAGGGTCTTTAAATCTGAACTTTAAATGTTGGGCTAAATGTAGTAGAGTTTCATTATTTTCTAAGTTAAAATTCATAAAAGAAAGGGGTTAGGTACCTATTGGTTTGTACACAATCCACTTAAAGACAAGAATGAAAAATTTAATTTTGCTCTTGAGATCCTGTCTTTAAATAAATAGACTGGAATTGGTATAGAAAGTTATGCAAGAAAAATGTTAGATCATGTTAAAGGAATATTGCTGTGGCTTTTTATTATTTTCCTTTTACAGATTTAAGGCAAGTGATTAGCAAAGATTATACACGGGACTCAAAGGAAAATAGTGTACTTAATTATAAGTGAATGAACAACCTAAAATGTAATTTGATACAATTCTGGCTCAATGACATTTCCAGACCCCAACTTTAATTTAATTTATCAAAATATTAGGAGCTGGGACTAGGATATCTATTTTTATGACAAGTTCCCAGATGATCGTAATAAAGGGGGCCCACATATCTAGGAACCTCTGACTTCTGGCCTGAAAAAAGAAAGGTCAGAAGCCAAGTTTAGAACTACAGAGCTAGAAGAAATGTGAAA
The DNA here is from genome assembly GCF_000001405.40 of Homo sapiens. Taxonomy (NCBI): domain Eukaryota; kingdom Metazoa; phylum Chordata; class Mammalia; order Primates; family Hominidae; genus Homo; species Homo sapiens. Next base: position 155,227,106 of record NC_000003.12, read on the forward strand.
ACATGATCCAGCCCAACCCATTGTCTTTATTCTAATTAAAGGATACAAATATGTCTAGTATCCAAAAGTCTCAGTAATCCACAAATGCCATCACAAGCTCAATTTCAAACTCATGAGCCCAACAAGCTTAAAATACCAGCAATTATTCGCTCAGATTTCTTCAATTTGGGCAGACCTTGGTGGGAAAGACTCATTTTTGTTCCACATGGTATTGATTGGGAACATTCATGCAACTCCTATTGGGATTAGAAAGCCCAAGCTGGCTTCTCTCCATGTGGCTTCATCATTCAACAGTCCAGCCCAATCTTCTTCCACGGTGGCTGGATACCAAGAGCAAGTACTGCAAGAAGGAGTAAAGAAAAGCTGATGGTCCTCTCAAGAGCTTGGACTGGAACTGGCAAGGCGTCACTTCCACCATATTCTATTAGTTAAAACAAATCATAAGACCAGCCCAGATTCAAGAGAAGGAGAAAGAACCTCCACCTCTCAAAAACTCTGTGGCCATCATAACTTATTAATGGCCTTCCTTTAAAGTTGGGCCACTCCCCCCTTCTTTAAACACCAGCCTCCATACACTATATTCTCTCAGGACAAGCCTACTATGATTTCTTGATGGACCTAAACTTGCAAAACAAAGATTTCCAGACCTTGAAAGACAAAAACCTGCTAACACAATCTACCTGCCTTCCTCTAAGCAAGGAAGTCTGCAATTCTGGACAGAGGCTTCTTATGAGAGAGAAGTTTCCTTTTGGAAATGAAAAAACAGCAGCAAAAAGTCAAGAAATTTATTATTTCAGTAACTTCCCCAGTTATGGTCATATTCGTTTTTAAATATAGTCTCCTTCAAATTCTCTTTTGTAATTTGGTATAGATACAGGAAAACAAAACCTAATGATGTTTATAAAGTCATATTTTGATAGTTTCAACCTCATTGATATTCAAACAGACTCTATCATACCTTTTAAAAGCAGCGTAAAAATAATTGAGTTGGCCCTTAACTCCTCCCCTCCTTAGTGTTTAAGAAAAATGTATGGGTAGTCATTAGTACAGAAATTTAGCTCAAAATAGCTCAAGCAAAAAGGAAACTTCTTGGTTCCTAAGTCTGGGAAATTAGGGTTAGGTCTGATTTCAAGTGTGGCTGGATATAGGTGTTTAAACATTGCCATCACAGCCCTTCATTTCCATTCTCTTGGCTATAGTTGTCAATCAGCTGGCTTCATTCCCTCCTGCATGACAGGAGCTTCCTCTATGTAACTGGAAAGATAGTTGCCAGCAGCCTAACATCATTTTCTTCAAGCTCAGCCACTCCCAGGAAAAAATAACTTCTCTTCCCACCCTAATAACACTCCCAGGGAAGTCTTTAATTTTACTATTTAGGTGACATGTTCACCTTTGGAGGGTAGTGTAGTAGAGAGAATAGTGACTCCCTGAAGATGTCCACATTCTAATCTCTACAACCTATGAATTTGTTAGTTTACACAGCAAAAGGGACTTTGCAGATGTGATTAAATTAAAGACCTTGAGATGGGAAGATTATCCTGGATTATCTAGGTGGATCCAATATAATCACAAGGGTCCTTATGAGAAAAATGCAGGAGACATCAAAAAGAGTAGGTGACATGATAATGGATATAGAGACAGAGATTTTGTAGTGATGTACTTTGAAGATGAAAGAATGAGGCCCAAGCCAAGGATACAGATGGTCTGTAGAGGCAGGAAAAGCCAAGGAAACAGATTCTCTGCTACAGCCTCCAGAAGAGACCAGCTGACACCTAGAGTTTAGCCCAGTAAAGCTGATTTTAGACTCCAGCCTCTAGAACTATAAAAGAATACATTTGTATTTTCTTAAGCCACTAAGTTTGTGGTGATTTGTTACCGCAACATAAAAAGTAATCAAGGGGTTTCCTGCTTTGGGCTCAGTTTAGTTTTCAAGCTTTGATCTCTAGTCAAGGAAGAGGGTAGAGTTGGCCGGGGATGGTGGAAGTGGGAATACATGATTGATGGTATAGCCAAGACCCAGAAATTCAGGCCACATAAAATCTCCCCACAGTGAAATTCCTTTGTCATAAGAGGAAATAGATAGGAAAGAAGTCTTAATAAATAAAATTAACAAGGAAACAACTCCACAAACAATAATTACTGTAGTCTAATGCTACTCAAAAGTAAAAATGCTGAATCAGGTGGAAGAGAAGAAGTAAGCAAGGAAAGGACATTAGAGCTTACAACTGGGCTGAATAGTCAATAATTCATAGCTGCAACGGCAAATGTTTTCCAGCTCTAATGTCCTGAAAGACAGAGAATTGTGAAGATAAGCACATGTCTTAGAAACAGTAATATCTAGACTCAAATCTACTGCTAAGAGCTGGTACTTTTATCATGGTTTTCGACAACAAAGTGAAAGGGCTGGTTCTTCATAAACTCTTCCACAAAGAATCCCTAGTGTCATAGAAGAGAAGTGAATGAATGGACACAGAGAATCTGGGAGCTTCACAAGGAACCCTATGCCCGTGAAAATTTTCTTCATTTAAAATTCAGACAATTTGTTCTAATATAAAAATAATATATTAAAGTCCTGTAAGTTAAATTACTTTTTTCTGTTCTCAAATATTTGAGTTAATTGATGCTCCAGAAAGGTTTACCAGCTTTACTCTAGCTTCAGATATTCTGATTTCTATGACTTATGTGGCATGCATACCCCAATTATGGTACTAGGATCAGGTCCCTGCTAGACTTCCAATTCTGAGACAATCATCATAGGTCTGCTGTCTCCATTGTCACTCACCTGGCACATGAGATGGGAGAAGCATTATCAGCAACAGTAAGAGCTTAATTGGGTTGATGAAGAAGCTGCTGCCAGGCTTCCATCAGAAGATACTTCAGAGCAACACAAAGGAAGGGTTGAAGGTTTTGTGGTTTTAAAATATGCCTGCAGCTTCTTCAACACTCCTCCCATTAAGTTCTAGTGTTCTATAGCACTGGAGGATAACTATAGTTAACATATATTTTATATAGTTTCAAATAGAGAGATGGAGGATATTGAATGTTACCAACACAAAGAAATGATAAATGTTTGAGGTGATGGAAATGCTAATTACCCTGATATGATCACTGCACATTGTATGTATCAAAACATCTCTATGTACCCCACAAATATGTATAATTATTATGTACCAATTAAAAAAACAAAATGGAAAAAAGTAGATTCTATGTCTCCTTCCACCAAAACAGGGCAAGTCTTTATAAGAAATTATAGAACTTCTGAAGCTAAGTTAGAAAAGGCAATACAGCTTCCACCTGGCTCTCTCCTTCTTGGAATGCTTGCCTTTGGTACCCAGCTGCCATAGTGTGAGGAAATCCAAGCCACATGGAGAGGTAGCATATAATGTTCTAGCTAATGCCCCCCACTAAGATTTCTGCTAATAGCCAGCATTCACTGCCAGATATGTAAGTGAGGAAGCCTTTGAGAGGATTCCAGTAGCAGTAATTGTTGAGAAAGCCTTTGAGATGACTCCAGACCCAGTCACTGCCTGATTGCACCCACAGAGAGACCTTGAGCAAGAACAGCCTAACTTAGTCCAGTCAGCTTACAGAACCAAGAGAGGTAATAATAAATTGTTGTTGTTTTACACCACTAAGTTTATGCAGCAATAGATGTCCAAAACAAGGGTAATATCTGTAGGACTGAATCCCTGGATAGGGAAAAGGATGCAATATGCAGCTCAGGTAACATAATCTTCACATGTCTGGGGCCCAGATTTTACCACAGTACCTCTGATGCCACGTTCCATGTTGGATTGCAATGTGTCTGTTTACTTCTCCAACCCCTGTCTGGAAGATGGTAGATATGTTATAAATGTACAGGGGAAAGGGAGTGGGAAGATGGAAGAGGCTGGGATCTGACCCCAAATCATGAGAACAACAATCCCAGTAATCTGCTAAAATCTTTTATAGTTGAATTTGATGAACAGCTCCAAGTAGCGCAATGTGGCCTGGAGGTGCTGGTGGTAATGCCACCAACACCATCACTTACCAATAGAATGGCCATGTTACTTCATATCCCAAGGGACATTTCTCACATTGGGATATAGGAAACAATCTATGGGATTATATATATATGTATACGTATATATATATATGTATGTATATATGTGTGTGTATATATACATATATATACACACACATATATATACACACACACATACATACATATATATATATATCTTCTAGGAGTATCAATTGCACTTTAATTGTTCACTTTACACATTTTTATTGAAGATCTATCATATTCTAGACACAAGGGTATGCAATCTAACATAAAATTTTATATTAAACACAAATGTATCATGGAGAAGACAAAATTACCGTGAATTTTTTAGAAACAGACAAAAAGTATTCATCCTCGCAGTGGTATCATACTAATTTCCTGGCACATCAGAGGTAGGCGTGCACTCTCCTCAGTGGTTAAGGGTGCAGAGTATAAGAAATCTTCATTTGGGAGGCATAGCATTAGGAGAAATACCTAATGTAAACGACGAGTTGATGGGTGCAGCAAACCAACATGGCACATGTATACCTATGTAACGAACCTGCACATTGTGCACACGTGCCCCAGAACTTAAAGTATAATAAAGAAAAAGAAATTTTCATTTAAAATATTAACAAAAATGCTTTTGTTATAATGTCTTCCTGTACCATAGGTCAAAAATTGGTAGCCTAAGGCCTAATCTGCAGATGTGTCTTATATGAACCACAGAGTAATTTGTTTCATTACAACTTGAATTGGTGGCCAATATTTAAGACTCAGGGGTTTCATTTGCTATGTTGACTTTCTGGCTTCTTGTGGAAACAAACAAACAAAAAAAAACTGAAAGAGCTATCATCCTTGAGACCACATCCTCATGTGACCACAACAGCTGGTGCTGGGCTTCTGCGTCCCCATTCGGATTAAAGACCTGGTCCCAGTAGCCCTGTCTACACCACCAACCAGACCTGTGGCCTACTTCTCTTGTCCATGCTACCTGCCTGGCCCTAGGAAATATTGGAATGTGTGCCCCTGTTCCAGACTGACACTGAACCACTTGGGTCCTTTTCTAGTACTTAACACTGTCTTCTCTAACTTCAATGTTTCAAATTTTCAAGACACTAGTCTTCACAGTCAAATCCAGAAATTGAGCCTTATCTGCCCAAGTCACAAATCAGAGAACCACAGAGCTGGAATGGACCCGCCTTTCTGATCATGGTGTAGGATTCTGAAGGCTGCCACATAATCACAGGGATCAGAAAGAGCCCCAAGTTCACCTGAGTGACACTTGAGGAAAGAGTCAGGATTAAAATATACATCTTCCCCAAATACAGAGTCCCAGGAAAATCAGGCAAAGAGAGATTAAAAGAAGGTTAGACCAGGTTATTTTAGAGCATTCACTCTTATCACAGGGCACAGACTCCATCCCACAGTTGGGAAAGGGGAAAAGAGGATCCCAAATGTCTTTAGATTCTGGCAAGAATAAGTGGGCGTAGCCTCTTCACTAAGACAAGCAGGAAAATGGATCCCAAATTTCCATAGCACTCTGTGTGTGTGGTTGTCACTGTATCCACCTCAGGGACAGTGAACATTCACCATGAGTCATGGTTTTGTTTTCTGGGCTCAGTAGCCTGTGGTCTGGCAGGAATCGAGGTCTGTGATTTTGCAACAGCTGTTCGTGTCACCTGGAAAGGCAACTGAGCAAGCAATGGGATAATTTTTATCAGCTCATGAGCACTGGCTTTGCCTGCCAAAAGGCCATGTTTCTCAGCTAGAAAATTATATTCATATCTGGAACCAGTATAGAGTCTTAAATGCCTTAAATGCCAGGATCTAAATTCTTACTTTATGCTACATAGTCCTAAATTATTCTCATAGTCTCGAATTCAAATTTAAGGCATACTAACTCCTAAAGGTCATGGCTATAACATATTTTCAGATGTTACCATAACTTGGAGAGAATCTTCAGCAAATAGGGTGGAGATGAAGGCTCATTCTATCTCTTTAACTTAAAATTACTTTCTTAAAATGACTTTCTGATGGCATCAGGGAGCAGCCGTCCTGTTCTCTATTTAGGACTTTAATACATAAACTTCTCTCAAGCAACTGTTCCAAGCTCGTTCATGTCACCTTTTAGCTCTGGTCTTTCCAGATCTCATTTTTGGCCCATCTTCTGGGCAAGTCTCCCTAGCCCATGATCTTGCATTTGCCTTTCTCTGGGCCCCTTCCAGCTTCTCTATGGAGAGAGGCACAATGTCCTTTGGACTGCAGCCAAGGGAGAAACACTGACTCCATGATGACCATAGGCACTGACTGTTCCCTGAAAACAGCACATAGCAGTGACAGAAGGATGCCAGGGGGACTGCTCATTCCCTTCCTGCTGTGGGAACCTCTATTAACGTGTGTGGGATAATAAAACCAGCTACTTTTATCAGCAGATGTCACATAAAAACTGACCAACATACTTAACTAGCAGGTCAAAGATCTGAGCCATAGTCAAGTTCTGAAAAATGATTAAGTGAAAATCTAACAAATCTGTCAGTAACACTAATTGGAAACTCATCAAGATTTTCTAATCTAAATGCCCTCAAAATAACATTATTATTTTGAAAGCAGTCTGATGGTGACAGGGAGGTTTCAAGGCAAAAAGTATTTACATGTGTGGAATATGAGAGGAGAGTGGAGTGAAATATTTTATTTAGGTCATTATCTAATAAGATTATCTGTCTGCTGTTTCCAGATTCAAAGATAGTGTCAACAGAAAATTATAGATACAATATATTGCAGTCCATGTGTGTGGTTGTCATTTTTTGATATGCAATCATCTACTTTTAATACTGCTTCTTGGTCTCATCCACTCTGGGCCTGTTATTGCAAAGTACTGACTCCAACACTAATAATTCTTTTTCTTTTTCTAATTACTGTCACTATTTTTTTTTTTTACTTTTATTTTAGGTGCAGGGGCACATGTGCAGGTTTGTTGTATAGGTAAATTGTGTGTTGCAGGGATTTGGTGTACAGACTATTTCATCACCCATGTATTCAGCATAGTACCCGAGGGGTTTTCCAATCCTCGCCCTCCTCCCACCTTCCACCATCAAGTAGGCCCAGATGTCTGATGTTCCCTTTTTTGTGTCCATATGTACTCAGTGTTTAGCTCCCACTTATAAAAAAGAACATGCAATATTTGGTTTTCTGTTCCCATGTTAGTTTACTTAGCATGATGGCCTCTAGCTCCATCCATGTTGCTGTGTAAGACATGCTCTCATTCTTTTCACAGTTGCATAGTATTCCATGGCATGTAAGTACCACATTTTCTTTATCCAGTTTACCACTGATGGGCATTTGAGTTGATTCCATGTCTTTGCTATTGTAAATAGTGCTGCAATGAACATACACATGCATATGTCTTTATGGCAGGAAAATTTATATTCCTTTGGATATAAACCCAATAATGGGATTGATGAGTCAAATGATAGTTCTGTTTTTAGTGCTTTGAGAAATCACCTGAGTGCTTTCCACAATAGCTGTACTAATTTACGTTCCCACCAGCAGTGCATATGCACTCCCTTTTCTCCACAACCTCATCAATATATGTTCTTTTTTGACTTTTTATAGTAGTCATTCTGACTGGCATGAGATGGTATGCTATGGTGGTTTTGATGTGCATTTCTCTAATGATTAGTGATGCTGAGCATTTATTCATATGCTGTTGGCCACATATAAGTCTTCTTCTGAAAAGTGTTCATGCCCTTTGCCCACTTTTAATGGAGTTGTTTGTTTTCTGCTTGTAAATTTGTTTAAGTTCTTTATAGATTCTGGATATTAAACCTTTGTTGGATGCATAGTTTGCAAATATTTTCACCCATTCTATAGCTTGTTTTCTGTTTCTGTTGATACGGAAATATTCTGTTGATGCTTTCTTTCACTGTGCAGAAGCTCTTTGTCAATTTTTGTTTTTATTGCAATTGCTCTTGGCATCCTCATCATGCAATCTTTGCCAGGTCCTGTGTCCAAAATGGTATTTCCTAGGTTACCCTCCAGGATTTTTATAGTTTTACATTTTACATTTAAGTCTTCAATCCATTTGAATTACTTTTTGTATATGGTGGCGGGGTGAGGTTTCAGAAAGGGTCCAGTTTCAAACTTCTGCATATGGCTAGCTAGTTATCCCAGCACCATTTATTGACTCGGGAGTCCCCATTGCTTTTGTTTTCAATTTTGTTGAAGATCAGATGGTTGTAGGTCTGACATTATTCCTGGGCTCTCTATTCTGTTCCACTGGTCTATGTGTCTGTTTTTGTACCAGTACAATGCTGTTTTGATTACTATAGACTTGTAATATAGTATGAAGTCGGGTAACGTGATACCTCCCGCTTTCTTCTTTTTGCTTAGGATTACCCTGGCTATTCAGGCTCTTTTTGGGTTCAATATGAATTTTTAATTTTTTTCTAATTCTGTGAAGAATGTCACTGGTAGTTTGATAGGAATAGCATTGAATCTGTAAATTGCTTGCGCAGTATGGCCATTTTGATGATATTGATTCTTCCTATCCATGGAATATTTTTCCGTTTGTTTGTGCCATCTCTGATTTCTTTGACCTGTGTTTTATAATTCTCATTGTAGAGATCTTTCTCCTCCCTGCTTAGCTGTATTCCTATGTATTTTATTCTTTTTGTGGCTATTGTGAATAGGATCGCATTTTTGATTTGGCTCTCAGCTTGGATGTTGTTGGTGTAGGAATGCTACTGACTTTTGTACATTGATTTTGTATACTGAAACTTTGCTGAAGTTGTTTATCAGATGAAAGATCTTTTGGGAAAAGACTGGGGTTTTCCAAGTATGGAATCACATTATTTGCAAACAGAAATTGTTTGTCTTCCTCTCCTTCTATTTGGATGTCTTTTATTTCTTTCTCTTGCCTGATTGCTCTGGCTAAGACTTCCAGTACTATGTTGAATAGTAGTAGTGAGAGAAGGCATCCTTATCTTATTCCAGTTTTCAAGGAGAATGCTCCCACCTTTTGCCCATTCAGTATAATGTTGGCTGTAGGTTTGCCATAGATGGCTCCTATTATTTTCAAGCATGTTCCATCAATGTCTAGTTTGTTCAGGGTTTTTAACATGAAGGGATGCTGAATTTTATCAAAAGCCTTTTTTGCATCTATTGAGATGGTCATGTGATTTTGTTTTTAGTTCTGTTTATGTAATGAATCACATTTATTCATTCGCATATGTTGAACCAACCTTGCATCCCAGGGATAAAGCCTACATGACTGTGGTGGGATAGCTTTTTGATATTCTGCTGAATTCTGTTTACTATTATTTTGTTGAGTATTTTTGCATCTATGTTCATCAGGGATATTGGCCTGAAATTTTTGTTGTTATTGTTGTGTCTCTGTCAGGTTTAGGTATCAGGATGATGCTGGCCTCATAGAATGAGTTGAGGAGGTTTCCTATCTGCACAATTTTTTGGAATAGTTTCAGTAGGAATGGTACCAGCTCTTCTTTACACATCTGGTAGCATTTAGCTGTGAATCCATCTGGTCCTAGGCATTTTCTCATTAGTACACTTTTTATTCAATTTCAGAACTCATTATTAATCTGTTCAGGGATTTAATTTCTTTCTGGTTCAGTCTGGAGAGGTTGTATGTTGCCTGGAATTTATCAATTTCTTCTAGGTTTTCTAATTTGTGTGCACAGAGGTGTTCAAAGTAGTCTCTGAGAGTTTTCCATATATCTGTGGGGTGAGTGGTAACATCACCTTTGTCATTTATGACTATGTTCATTTAGTTTTTCTCTCTTTTTTTCTTTATTAGTCTAGCTAGAGGTCTACCTGAGTTATTATTTAAAAGCCAACTTCTAGATTCATTGATCTTTTGTATTTTTTTTGTGTCTCAATTTCCTTCAATTCAGCTCTGATTTTGGTTATTTCTTATCTTCTGCTAGCTTTGGGTCTGGCTTCCTCTCATTTCTCTAGTTCCTCTAGTTGTGATATTAGGTTGTTAATTTGAGATCTTTCTAACTTTTCAACGTGTGCTATAAACTTCCCTCTTAACACTGTTTTGTCTGTGTCCCTAAGATTCTGTTATCTTGTAATTTTGTTCTCATTAGTTTCAAATAATTTGATTTCTGCTTTAATTTCATTATTTAATTTCATTATTTACCAAGAAGTCATTCAGGAATACATTGTTCAACTTTCATGTAATTGTATGGTTTTGAGCAATTTAGCATTTGTTTTTATTGTGCTGTGGTCTGAGAGTCTGGTTAATATGATTTGGGTTTTTTTAAATTTGCTGAGGATTGTTTTATGCCGGATTGTGTGGTTGATTTTAGAGTATGTGCCATGTGCAGATGAGAAGAATTCTGTTGTTTTGGGGTGGGGAATTCTGTAGATGTCTATTAGTTCTATTTGGTCAAGTGTCAAGTCAAGTCCTAATTATCTTTGTTGTTATCTGTCTGATTCTGTCAGTGGAGTTTTAAAGTTCCTCACTGTTATTGTGTAGTTAATCGAAGTCTCTTCATAGGTCACTAAGAACTTGCTCTATAAATCTGAGTGCTCCTATGTTGGGTGTGTATATATTTAGGATAGGTCTTCTTATTGAATTGAGCCCTTTACCATTATGTAATTCCCTTTCTTTTTTTTTTTTTGTCTTTTTTGTTCTTTGTTGGTTTAAAGTCTGCTTTGTCTGCAATTAGAATAGTAACCCCTGCTTTTTACTGTTTTCCATTTGCTTGGTAGATTTTTCTCCATCCTTTACTTTGAGTCTATTGATTTGATTGCATGTGAGATGGGTATCTTGAAGAGAGCATATCGTTGGGTTTTGCTTCTTTATCCAACTTGTCCCTCTGTGTCTTAATAGGGGCATTTAGCCTGTTGACATTCAAGGTTAGTATTGATATGTGCAGATTTGATCCTGTCATTGTTTTGTTAGCTGGTTATTAGGCAGATTTGTTGGTGTGCTTGCTTTATAGTGTCACTGGTCTATCTATTTAAGTGTGTTTTTGTAATGGCCAGTAATGGTCTTTCCCTTCCATATTTAGCACCTCCTCTGTACCACTTGTAAGGCAGGTCTGATGTCAAAGAATTCCCTTAGCATTTGCTTGTCTGAAAAATATCTTATTTCGCCTTAGCTTATGAAGCTTAGTTTGGCTAAATATGAAATTCTTGGTTGGAAATTCTTTTTTTAAGAATGCTGAATATAGGCCTCCAATATTTTCTAGTTTGTAAGGTTTCTGCAGAAAGATCTGATGTTAGTCTGATTGGGTTCCCTTTGTAGGTGACCCGCCCCTTCTCTGTAGCCACCTTCAACATTTTTTCTTGCATTTTGACCTTGGAGAATCTGATAATTGTATCTTGGGGATGGTCTTCTTGTGTAGTATTTCACAAGTGTTCACTGAATTTCCTGAATTTGAATGTTGGCCTCTCTTGCAAAGTTGAGGAAATGTTCATGAGTGATATCCTGAAATACGTTTTCCAGTTTGCTTGCTTTTTCTTCCTCCCTTTCAGGGACGCCAATTAGTCGTATCTCAGGTCTCCTTACATAATCCCATATTTCTCAGAGGTTTTGTTCTCTCTTCTTTATTGTTTGTTCTTTATTTTTGTCTGACTGAGTTATTTCAGAGAGCTAGTCTTCAAGCTCTGAGATTCTTTCTTTAGCTTGTTTGAGTCTGCTGTTAATATTTGCAGCTGCATTCTAAAATCCTTAAAGTGAGTTTTTCAGCTCTATCGGATTAGTTTTGGTCTTTCTTTAAATGACCATTTCATCTTTCATCTCCTGTATCATTTCACTGTATTCCTTAGAATTCTTGGATTGGGTTTTGACTTTCTTCTGAATTTTGATGATCTTCATTTCTATCCATATTCTGAATTATATTTCTGTCACGTCAGCCATTTCAGCCTGGTTAAGAACCATTGCTAGGGAACTAGTGCAGTTGTTTAGAGGTAAGAAGACACTCTAGCTTTTTGAGTTGCCAAAGTTCTTGTGCTATTTTTTTCTCATCTTTGTGGGCTGATGTTCCTTCAATCTTTGAAGTTGCTGTCCTTTGGATTTTTTTTTTAATCCTCTTTGACATCCTTGGGAGTTTAATTATGGTATAAGGTAAGTTCAGTTAACTGGCTTCATTTCTGGAAGATTTTAGGGAGCAAAGCCTCAGCTCGGAACTCCTGAGATGCATACTCTAACTTTTAGGGGCTGGTATCAGGCCCCTGGCTTTGTTCTGTGACCCCCTCAAGGTTAGGATCCTGCTGCCCTGGAGAGGCCAAGGTGTTCCCAGACTGCTGGTCACAACACTCCAATAGGTGGTGCCATCCAAAGCACTTTTTTGGGCACTGGCAGCAAGATCCATCCTCATTCTAATGTGCCATCAGCAGTGACAGCACACTGGTGTACATGCTCATAGACTGAGGCAGGGCACTGATTGCCACAGAGGTGCTGGCCTCTGTGTGGGCATTCACAGTGGTGGTAGTGGTGGTGGCATGGCAAGGGGTACAGGAGCTACCAGCATCTATGTGGCCAGCAGCAGTGTCAGTGTGGAGGTGGGGCTTTGGCAGGCACAGGGCTGATGTTCTCTGTGCATGCAATTGCACCAGCAGCAATGGCAGCTCAGGACAGGAAATAGGGCTGCTGGTCTCCTTTTGTGCATTCCCCATTGACAATGGTGTCACGGTAGGAGGGTAGGGTCCATTCATGGCAGCAGCAGTGGCATGCTGGAGTGCACATGCACACATGCGCCAGCGGGGAAGAGGAGGCAAAGTATGCATTCCCCCCAATCAAGTAATGTGGGGGTTAGCTGTGGGCGAGTGCATGCCAGCAAAATGCATGGGGGAGGCTGTGGTATGGGGGAGATGGGTGGGCTAGCACAGGTCAGCAGGGCCTGTTCTGCTGGAGATCTCCAATGGTCAGGCATGGTCTGCCAGTGCAGGAGCTATGATGCAGTTCCCTCAGAGGCACCCTGGCTGGGCATCCAAGGCTGCAGTACAAGCAGGTGCACCCAGGCTGGGGCCCCGGAAGAGGCCAGCAGACAGGGGTGCACTTAGGTCAGATTGGCCCCATTCCATGGGCATGATCATCCTGCTATATTCTGATCCAACAGTTCATGTAAGGCTAAAGTATCCTAGGGAAGCAAGGCAACCCTTGAGGGATAGGTGCTTCTGGCCATGATCTGCTGTAGACATTGCTTCACAAAACCCTCTGAGCTCCATACCGGCTGGAATTCTGCTCCTACTACCTCTCTAAGCAGCTCTCCCTGCCAACTCAAGTGTCCATGAGGGATGTGGGGTCTCCTGCTGCCAGATTTCCAGAGGTCCATGGTGAGAGCAGGTTGCTCCTTGCCTGCTCAACTCACCCTTTCCCCAGGAGTTATTGGGGGCCAGGAATGAGTCCCCATGTGTGGGAGCCCAGTCTAGTGTTCCCAGCCTCCTTGCCCTTCAGCCCAGCATCTGTGTTCTCCCTCCATTTATTTTCAATGCCTTCTCTGAAGATCTGTTTGGAATGCACCAGTCCTCTGGATTTCCTGGTCCCTTGGTGGCAGATGTTCTTTCCCACTGTGTCTAGTCAGCCATCTTGCCTCCCTCACATTTCCATGGTCAGAAGCTTAACCAGATCTTCTGATCAATGTCCCAAAGGCTGTAATCAACATCTGAGGTACGAAGGTCTTCTTCCAAGCTCACCTGGGCTGGGCTGTCTGCTCCCCATTTCAATGCTAGGTGCCACAGGCTCAGGGCCTCTTGGGCTCTGGGAGGAGACGCAGTGGAAGACAAGGCCATTATGAGGTCACACCAGAGTCGCCTAGCACTGTTGCCACCTCATGGTCTCCAGCATCCAAGGAGAGTGTGGGCAGCTGGAGCCAGGTCCTCCTCCTCCTCCTTCTCCTCTTCTTCCTCCTTCGTTTCTTCCTTTCCTCCTCCACCTGCCTATTGCAGAGCAGCAGAAAGCAAAGGAGCTAGAAAAGGGTGAAATCAATTCTTTTTCTGTAACCTTTTTGCTTTGCTTTTATTAAGTTCTTAAGGCTTTTGGTCTTGAGTCCTAGATAAGATGCAAATAATTCTGAAGGGATCATAACTTTTAATATTATCAGTGGATATTTAAGAAAAAAATAAAACCATAAGATAGACTGATAGATAGTAGAGAATAAAAAGAAGATTCAGGAGAGGCCATGGGGAGGCAAAGGAAGAGAAAGGAGTGGAGAGTGTGCATGAGTGTGTGTGAGTGTGTGTGTGTATGAGTGCATGTGAGAGAGAGAGGGTGGGGGAGGGAGGGAGAGAGAGAGTGAGAGAGGGAGAAAGAGTGGAAATTCTAGAAAGAAATTGCCTCTTCTTCTGTTCAACTACTTCACTGTTTTGTCAAAAGTTAGCACTGCCTCTAAGGTCTCCTGCAACTCACCCACCCACCCCTCTTACTCCATGGTATTCAACTTCTAAACTAAGAGGAAAGCCCGAGCTAGAGGTCCTATGCATCAATCAGGGAAGAGATATTGAGAAGAATAAACAGAGAAACTGTAAGTGCCTGAACACTACATAAGGACAATGAATAATTGCTTGGTTCTAAGACGGGCCTGGCCTGAACAGATCAGGCCACAGTTAGCCTGTTCCCAGGACACTTGGCGGTCATTAGTCCCAGAAAAGGAATCATTGCATTTGATCCTATGAGAAGCCAAGCATGCTTTCCTGATGAAACAGCATGCCAGCAGATTAGGATATTGCTCTGAGGCAAAAGGGAACATATGGAAACTATCCTGAGAAGGATATAAAGTAATAATTACCCGACAGATTGACCCAGACAACGTAATCATTGTGGGGCCAATGTAGAAAAAGAGCATTTTATTAATATAATTTTTCTTTTTCTTTAACACAGCTAGTCATTCTTTTCAAATTATGCTGCATGGGTCCAACAAAAAGCAGCAGAAGAAATATTTGCTTTTGATTAAATGCATTGTTGGTTTCCTTAGAAAACGAAATTATCTGCAAAACATAATACATTTTAGTTGATTTACAGAAATTACCTCAAAAATGAAGCTCAAGAGAATTTCACACCAGGAATCTCAACTTTTTAAAGAAGAAAGAATAGACAAGAGTTGAAAAATCTTCTCCATAGTATCGTATGTCTGGAAAAACTTAGCACTTTTAAGAAAAAATGGCATGAATAAAACAATGGTATTAGTACTCCTTTTTTGGAAAAACATATTCACATGTATGATTTGGAGAGAACATTTGCTTTTGTCAAATGTGTCAGAGCCCTTCATTGGGTGCACTGATACTACTCATCTCAGCCTTCATGGCAGAATGATTTCTAGTAGAATCATGCCTATGCCAACCAACATTAAGGAGTTATGTGAGTTCCCTTAACATTAGCATATTTCTCTCCCTTAGGAAAGGGTATAGATGAGAGTGAATGCTAAAAAGAAGGAACCATGACACATAAACCAGACCATATGCTTGGCTCTCACTTAGAATGAATCAGAATAGTTGGAGCAATAGCACAGGCATTTGCTAAGTACCCATGCCCACTGGTCTACCAAAAACTGGTTCTCTCCAAATCACAAATGTGTATATGTTTTTCAAAAAAAAAAAGAAGACTAATACCATTGTTTTATTCATGCCATTTTTCTTAAAAATGTTAAGTTTCACCAGACATACAATATTGTGAAGAATATTTTTCAACTCGTGTCTATCCTTTCTTCTTTAAAAAGTTGAGATTCCTGGTATAAAATTCTTCTGAACTTTATTTTTGAGGTAATTTCTGTAAATAAACTAAAATGTATTATGTTTTGCAGGTATTTTTTCTCTCAACTAAAACATCCATTTTAATCAATATTTGGCAAGAAAATATATACCTGTTTCATCTTCACTGGTTATTTCCATAAACTGGAAAGAAGGACTGTCTAAATGGTAGTTATGTCCCATGAGATGTTTAAGCAAAAGGGAAAATTATACAAAAAAGAATGCCATATTTTGTCTGCGCCACCAGAATGACAATAAAAATTTATCATGCTAGAAAGTAATGCCGTGGTATCCAAACAGCAGCTGCTGAGATGTTGGTCCATACTGAGGGACCACAGCCTTTGCCTCCATGAATTCAGATGCCATCTTGTCCTTGGACTCCAAACCAAATGACATTGTTTAGACTGTACCCTAGAACCAGATATCCCTAAGAAGGCAAATTATTTGGAGAGACCTACCAAGGATTCTTATCTACTTTGGTCAGTGTTACTCAGTTTGACATTGAGTATTGCAGGGCGCTAAACAGAATTTACTTCAAGATGACTAAGGGAGCTCAGGTATTTGAATTCAGAGGGAAGAGCCACTTTATGGTGGCATCCAAAAACAAAGTAGATTCCTTGATGTAGGCTCACGCAAAATCCAACAAAATAAAAACTGGGAAACACCAGTTAAAGTATATGAATGGCTTTGATCTAACTAGCAGAAGAAGTAAACTCAGTAAGCATTTGTTATTTTAAAATGCTGAGTCACAGGTTAAAGAATGGTTTAGATAAACTCATGGTTTGTGGATTCATAATATAACCTTAAGAAAAGATGGTGATACTTAGTATACATTTTGTGGTTGATGTCAACAAGGTTAGTAATATCCTTCTGTAAAACAGGACTTGTTTCTTAGAACTGCAAAAGGACTGAAAGGTCATATAGTTCAATCTCCTAATTTTAGAGAGAGAGAAAACAAAAAGGCCTTTAGAGGCTAAGACTTGAATAAGATCCCACAGCGAGCTAATGACTCAAACTAGGTGCCAGACCAAGACACCGATTCTCAGTACTAGTACTTTTCTCCAGACCAGTATTTCCCAAATTGTGTACCTCAAATTTCTTGGTTTGATTACACACACACACACAAACACACATACACACACACCCTTATCTATCTATATATTTATATATATGTATATCTCCTTTCTTAGTGATTCACAAAGCACATTATCATATTAAAAATTCTGAGTAATCTTTCAGTAAAGAAATCTGTTTAACTTTACTAAGCTCAACTTTTCCCAAACTTATTTGACCATGAAGCCCTTTTTGCCACTCAGTAATTAATTAACATCTCATGAAACTAAATCAGGAAATGTCTGCATCAAAACCTCATTTGTATTTGTAATTATTCTATTTGGTCCACTGGTTCATTTTTTTCAACCTGGTTAATGCAAGCTAGAAATATGAGCAGCAAATAAAAATAGATTCTTAAATAAAACCCCAACAGTTTCATTCATTCAACCAACTCATCACAGTAACAGTGAAATCCCAAGGTTACATGTACATAGACCAGCTGCATGGCACAGAGCCAACGGTGATCTCTATATTTTTGCACATTTGCAAATCAGTAAAGCATTGGCCCACTTTTTTCAAAGGCAGATGGCCATAAAATTAGATGTATACCAACTGATTTAAGAAAATTTTCTTTGACACTTACAGACTTTTTTTGTATAAAACAGAAAGTGAGTATCCCATACAACAGAATTATGTCTGTAGATTTTTGTTGAATCAAGAGTACACTTAGCTTTAGCGGTGAATCTTTATCTCTAAATAAAATGGAAGGAGATTCAAGCCAATATCTTATAGAGAGTTATAAAAGCTTCATTCTATTTTAAAACCTATTCATCAGTTTCCGTGGCATTGTCATTTCACCTTTGTGAAATGAGAATATTAGGCTGTCAAACTGGTATGGAAATTCTAAAATTCTTAAGTGTTTATATAATCTTCTGGCTTAAGAAAACAGATCTGGAAAGGCATCATTTGCGCTTGTCAAATGCGGCAGAGCCTTCTCATGCTACTCATCTCATTCCTCATGGCAGAATGATTTCTAGTAGAATCATGCATATGCCAACCAACATTGAGGAGTCATCTGATTTCCCTTGAGATTAGCATATATTTCTCTCTCTCCCTTTCTCTTTCTCTCTCTTTCTCTCTCTCTCTCACACATACACACACACACACACACACACACACACAGACACACACACACACATGCGCCTGGAAGGTACTTGACAGACTCTAATGATTAATTTTATGTGCCAACTTAACTAGATCAAGGGGTGCCCACATCGCTGGCAAAACATTATTTCTGGGTATGTCTGTGAGGTTGTTTCTGGAAGACTTTAGCATTTTAATAAGTAGACTGAATAAAGAAGATCCATCCTCTTTGGATGGATGTGTCAGGCATCATCTAATCCATTAAGAGTCTGAATATAACAGAAAGGTAGAGAAAGAGCTAATTTTCTCTCTACCCCGCCCCTCCCTTCCTTGAGCTGGGACATCCAACTTCTCTTGCCCTCAGACATCAGTGCCCCTGGTTCTTGGGCCTTTGGACTCCAAGATTTACACTGGTACCTCCTTTCTTGATTTTCAGGCCTTTCCCTAACCCTCCTGGTTCTCGGTCCTTCAGCCTTGAACTGGGAGGTAAACTATCAATTCCCCTGGCTCTCAGGCCTTCAGACTTGGAGTACATTACACCATTGGCTTTCCTCGTTCACCAGCTTGTAGATGGCATATCATGGGATTTCTCAGCCTCCATAATCTTGTGAGCAAACTTCCATAATGTGTGTGTGTGTGTGTGTGTGTGTGTGTGGTGTGTGTATGTACACATATCCTATTGATTCTGTTCTCTAGAGAACACTGACTGATACAGACTTTGGTACTGATGGTGGTTCTTAAAGAAACAGAATTTCTTTTCTGTTTTTCTGAATTGATTTTGGGGTTCCCAGGATTGGCTCTCTACACTAATTAGATTTTAAAATGCTAATGACTCTCTTTCCAGTAGTGAAAAAAAAAAGGCACTGACAGTCTATGGCATGATCTGGTTATAGAGATATGCAAAATATCTGCCTTGGATACTCCTATTCAACCACTCATAAGAAGTAAGGAACTGGGTACTCTGTTAACCTTCTCAGATGGAGGCACAAGACTTATTTTGTGATTGGCTGAATTACAACACAAGCTGAAGTCTCAGCTTCACAGAGTGTCTACTATTGTAGTGAGGATAGTCATTGGGAATAAATAGGATCCTGTAAGTTGAGATGGGGACATATGGAAAAACACTAATGAAGTTGGGAACATTGAGTCCTAAATTCGGGTAAATCTGCTTTGCCAGTGGAAGAGGTCTCTTCACCCCCAGAAAAAGCAGCCTCCCCACTGTCCCCCAGTTGTATCAACCTATCTGCCTCCATCTGAGGGGACTGAACCTGCATTGCCTGAGGAAATGATAATGGCCTCCTGTAAGGCAGTTCCCATTCAAGACAATATCAATTCTCCTCAGGGCCCACTCCTACCACCCCTTTTTGATTCTAGAGCTATAACTAGACTCAAGTCCCAGCAGACTCATGAGGAGGTATACTACACTCCAAAAGAACTACTTGTGTTTTCTACTTTATACAAGCAGAAATCCAGGGAACCCTTATGGGAATGGATATTAAGGGTTTGAGATAATGGTAGAAGGAGCATAAAATTGGATGAGGCTGAGTTCATTGATATAGACCCACCAAGCAGAGATTCTGCATTTACTGATACTGCTCAGAGACTAAGAAAGGGCTCTATCTGTCTGGTGGTTGGTTGCCTGAAACATGGTTCAAAAGACAGCCCACCTGCCTAATCTCCTCTGCTTTAATGTAGAGGAAGGGATTCAAAGGCTTAGAGAAATTGGAATGTCAGAGTGGATTTGTCATTTAAGACCTAGCTTTTACTAAATTTATTTTGAGAAATAAATGTGTGAGGGGATCCCTAGCATCCTTGGAGACATCCATGATGGTTCTTCTCTGTAGGCCAGACCCTAGAGTGTGAACTGCAGTCACTCAATTGGAAAACCTAAATGCAAAGGAAGTAATTGAATCCCGTGTCAGTACTCAACAGCCAGAGGCAAGGTGGCCATAGTTACCACAAAGGACAATGGCAACCAGAATAGTCTGATTCTCAGAGAACTATGAGGACAGCTAGTTAATAATGTGTTCCTAGAAGTGAAATAGATAGGAAGCCTACTAAATTCTTACTTGATCTGTATAAGCAGATAGTGAACAAAAGTCTAACTCATAAAGACAGAGAGTCTCAGCCCTTCAATTAACTCCCAGACTTGAGCTAGTTCGCAGACCTAGAACTCCTTGAATGAGGAGAGACCGGGTCCCTGCTAAGGAAGAACCCTGGTACACTACCAAAATTTCATACTGTTAATTTTTCTCTCAGCTTTCCCTAAAGGGACCCATGGCCTCTTAAAAAAGTAACTGTGCATTGAAGAAAAAGAAATAATCAGAACTTTGAATAACTGCTGGACAATGGTTCTGAACTAAAGTTGACCTTTGAATGATGTGGAGTCCGAGGTGCTGATCTCTGCACAATTGAAAATCAGCACAAAACTTTTGACTCCCCAAAAGCTTAACTACTAGTGGCCTACTGTTAACCAGAGGCCTTACCAAAACATAATCAATTAACAAATATTTTGTATGTGATATGTATCATATACTGTATTCTCACAATAAAGCTAGAAAATATGTTATTAAGAAAAATCAAAAGGAAGAGAAAATATATTTACTATTCATTTAAGTAGGAGTGGCTTATCATAAAGGCCTTCATCCTCATCATCTTCATGTCAAGTAGGCTGAGCAGGAGGAGGAAGAAGAGCAAGTTGGTATTGCTAACTTAGAGGCAGAGGCAGAAGAGGGAGAGGAGGTAGAAGGGGAGGCAGGAGAGGCTGTCATACTTGGTGTAACTTTGAGGAAATACATTGTAATTTCTGACATTTTTTGCTTTTTCAACTCTCTAAAAATGTTTCTATATGGCACCAAACCTTCTTTCACTATTTGTTTTAGGTTCAATGCCCATAAGATTCCATGTCATAAAAGAAATCAAAAGCAATCTTGAATAATCAGAATGCTTCTGCCAGATTGTCTCATATAAATTTGTTTGTTGGCATTGCTTCTTCTATGTCTTCTTCCTCATTGCCTGGCAGTGATCAAGTCATCTTTTGTTAATTTTTCTGGTGTGTCTATTCATGCTTGAATTTCTTCAAAATCTATATTTTGAAAGCCTTCTTTACCCATCATCTTTTTGCCTGATCCACAATCTCTTTCATGGTTTCCTTGATTGGCTCTGTTGTAAATCCTGTAAAGTCATGCACACCTTGACAGTTTTCTCCAGCAGGAATTTATTTCAGGCTTGATGGCTTTTGTGGCTTTTTCTATAAAAATGATTGCATCTTTAATGGAGTGATCCTTCCAGACTTTAATGATGTTCTCTTTGTCATAAGTTATCTTTCATAGTGTTGACAATTCTTCCATAGAGTAGCATGTGGGATGAACCTTAAAAGTCTTTATGACACTGTGACCTAGAGACTGACTTAGAGATGTTGTCTTTGGAGGCGAGTAGACCACTTTGACACCTTCATTGTTGAACTCATTGGATTGTGAGTGGCCAAGAGCATTGTCTAATATCAAAAGAACTTTCAGACTTCAAGGACAAATCATCAATGGAACCAATCCAGAAAAAGAGTTCTTGTTGTCTAGGTCTTCTTGTTGTACAACCAAAGGCTGACAGCTGGTGTTTACTTTTTCCCTTTAAGGCTTGAGGGTTAGTGGCTTTCTAGATAAGGTAGTCTTGATTATAAACTCCACTTCATTTACACAAAACAGTAGAGTTAGCCTATTCCTCCTTGCCTTAAATCCTGGTTCTTATCTTTCTTACTAATACATGTCCTTTGTGGCTTTTTTTTTTCTACAATAGGACTTTTGGTCTGCATTTAAAAGCTGTTCAGGCAGATATCCTTTTCTCTTCAGTGATTTTCGTAATGACTTCTGGGAACTTGTCTGCTGCCTCTTGGTTGGCAGAAGCTGCTTTTTCTGTTATCCTGACTTTTTTTAAAAACCAAACTGTTTCTAAAATTATCAAACCATCCTTTGCTGGCTTAATTTCTCCAGCTTTAGTTCCTTCACCTTTGCTTTAAATTGTCATGTAATGACTTTGCTTTTTCTGAAATCATATTAGAGTTCATAGATATGCCTTTCTTGTAGCAATCCTGCATCCACATAA
The DNA here is from genome assembly GCF_000001405.40 of Homo sapiens. Taxonomy (NCBI): domain Eukaryota; kingdom Metazoa; phylum Chordata; class Mammalia; order Primates; family Hominidae; genus Homo; species Homo sapiens. The sequence continues at coordinate 155,249,142 of NC_000003.12, forward strand.
AAACTACATTTTCAATACAAGATAAAAGGGTTTTTTTCTTTTTTTGAGATGGAGTTTTGCTCTTGTTGCGCAGGCTGGAGTGCAATGGCACGATCTTGGCTCATTGCAACCTCCACCTCCCGTGTTCAAGTGATTCTCCTGCCTCAGCCTCCTGAGTAGCTGGGATTACAGGCACGCACCACCAACCCCGGCTAATTTTGTATTTTTAGTAGAGATGGGGTTTCTCCATGTTGGTTAGACTTGTCTCAAACTGCCGACCTCAGGTTATCCATCCGCCTCGGCCTCCCAAAGTGCTGGCATTACAGGCATGAGCCACTGCACCCAGCCGAAAAATGTGCAAGGGTTTTATGCAAGCTGAAGTAGCTGCAGCAAGGGCTTTATGAATTCTTTCTCTTTTCTTCTCTCTCTCTCTCTTTACAATGGTTCTTACACTTGATTCATTTATCTTGAAATGATGAACAACCACAGCTGCAGAACTCAATCTATGGTACATATCAAGTAATTACATTTTTCTTGTAATGTTATGACTTTTTTCTGTATCCTAGTAGCACTTCCAGCATCACTACTGGCCCTTTTTTGAGTCCCATGGTGTTATTCAAGGTTTGCAGTATTGCGCTAAACACAATGAATAACAGGAGAAAACTGTGAGACATCATTTTTTACTGCAATATGCAATTTACTGGAGAGATGAACTGCTTATTTGGTGAGGATTAGTATTATATGGTGTTTTAACAAGATACAATACTTGAGCTTGCCACAATAGCAATAGGAGGTGGCTACAAAATTATTACAGTAGTACAGTGTATGCTACAGTTAATATTATGCAGTTATAATGTAATACTGCATCTTTATATTTATTTACATTTCTCTCAACTGCTAGTGGCACCAAGTACTGTGTATCTGTGCATAAGTTTAACTTTTTGTAATAGATCTGTATATATTTTATGGTAGTAAATGATAAAGTATACTAGCATCTACATATATTTTATGAATTCATGACATACTTACATTTTTCTTAATTTTTTTTCTTTTTGAGATGGAGTCTTGCTCTGTTGCCCAGGCTGGAGTGCAGTGGTACGATCTTGGCTCACTGCAGCCCAGCCTCCTGGTTTCAAGAGATTTTCCTGCCTCAGCCTCCTGAGTAGCTGGGATTACAGACACATGCCAGCATGCCCAGCTAATTTTTGTATTTTTAGCAGAGACGGGGTTTCACCACATTGACCAGGCTGGTCTCGAACTCCTGACCTCAAGTGACCCACCCACCTCAGCCTCCCGTAGTGCTGGGATTACAGTCTTCAGCCACCATGCTCAGGCTATTTATTAATTTTTTAAAAATATTTCCAGTCTATGTAGTTCATCTGCAAGTTTTTTTCAAATTGTTGCAAAAACATTTTTAATGCATTTGTTGAAAAAAATCCACATATAGGTGGATTTGTGTAGTTCAAATTCATATTATTCAAGGGTCAACTGTATATTGATTCTGGGAGACCCATAATGTCAGTCCAGTCAGAGCAGGTAGAGGCTTACAGAGGTCAGGTGATCAATGTAGTTTCAGCTTAAATCTGTCTCACAGTGGATTTGGTGGGTCCCAGAACCCATCCTGTGGTTATTTCTTCAAATCCAGACTGCATAATTGGAACAAACATACTTAGCCGCTGGTAGAGTCCCCAGATTGGTTTTCTTACCTATTATGGGGCGAAAGGCCAAAGAGAAGCCATTAGAACTGTTTCTACCTAGGAAAATGGTAAATCAAAAGAAATATGGTATTCTTGGGGGATTGCAAAGATTAGTGCCACCATTAAAGACTTGAAAGATGCAGGGCTGGTGATTCCCACCACATCCTCCTATAATCCCTCCATTTGACCTGTACAGAAGACAGTTGACAGATCTTGGAGAATTATTGTCAGCTTAACTACGTGATGATTCCAATTGCAGCTAGTATGCCAGATGTAGTTTCATTGCTAGACCAAAATAACACATCCCCCTTGGTATCTGGTATGCAGCTATTGACATGACAAGTGACTTTTTCTCTATACTTGTCCATAAAGCTCATCAGAAGTAGTTTGGTTTCAGCTGGCAAGTCAGTAACCCACCTTCTCTTTTCTACCTTGGGAGATTGGGGGTATATCAACTCTCCAGCCCTATGTCATAATATAGTTTGCAGGGATCTTGATTGTCTTTCCTTTCCACAACATATCACTCTGGTCCACTATATTGATGACATTCTGCTGATTGGACCTAGTGCGTGGGAGGCAGCAACTACTCTAGACTTATTGGTAAGGCATTTGCATTGTCAGAGGATAGGAAATAAACCTGACTAAAATTCAGCAGCCTTTACCTCTGTTAAATTTCTAGGGATTGAGTGGTATGAGGCATGTCAAGATATCTCTTCTAAGATGGATAAATTGTTGTACCCAGCCTCATCTACAATAAAAAAAGAGGCACGATGCTTAGTGGGCCTGCTAGGACTTTGGAAGCAACATATTTCCCATTTTAGTGTGTTACTCTAGTGTACTTCCCAACTGACCTACAAAGCTGCTAGTTTCTAGTGGGGTCTTGAACAAAAAGAAGGTTCTGAAAGGTCCAGGCTGCTGTGCAAGCAGCTCTGCCTCTTGGGCCATATGCATCCTTATCTTTAAGCACCATTGTTGCTTAAAGTGTCAGTGGTAGATTAGGATGCTGTTTGGAGCCTTTAGCAGGCCTCCATAGGTAAACTGCAGATCAGGCCTTCAGGTTTTTGGAACAAGGCCCTCCCATCATCTGCAGATAACTACTCTCCTTTTGAGTAATAGCTCTTTTCCTGTTACTGGGTCTTAATAGAAACTGAATGGTTAACCATGGGCCACCATGAGTCCAAGGAACCCAAACTACCTTTGATGAACTGGGTGTTAGATGACCCACTAAGTCATAAAGTTAGGTATGCACAGCAAAACTGCATTATCAAATGGAAGTGGTGTATATGTGATTGGGCCCAAGTAGGCCCTGAAGGCACAAGTTAAGTTACATGAGGAAGTGGTCCAAATATTCATGGTCCCCACTCCTGCTACACTGCCTGCACCTGTGTCCTGTACCTATGGCCTCATGGGGATTTCCCTACAATAAGTTAACAGAGGAAGAGAAAACTTGGGCCTAGTTTATAGATTTCTCTGCATAATACACCGGTGCTATCTGAAAGTGGACAACTTCAGCATTACAGCCCCTTTCTGGGACATCCCTGAAAGACGGTGGAGAAGAAAAATGCCCCCCACCCCTGTGGGCAGAACTTCTGGCAGTGCATCTGGTTGTGTACTTCGCTTGGAAGGAGAAACAGCCAGATGTGTGATTATATATTGATTATATACCGATTCATGGGCTGCAACCACTGGTCGGGCTGGATGAAACTTGGAAGGAACATAATTGGAAAGCTGGTGATAACAAAATTGGAGGAAGAGGTATGTGAATAGACTTCTCTGAATGGGCAAAGAAAATGTAAAGATATTTGTGACTCGTGTGAATGCTCACTAAAGGGTAACCCCAGCAGGATAGGATTTTAACAATCAAGATAGGATGACTCATTCTGTGGATACCAGCCAGCTTCTTTCCTCAGCCACTCCTGTCATCACCCAATGGGCTCATGAAGAAAGTGGCCATGTTGGTTGCGATGGAAGCTATGCATGGGCTCAGCCACACAGACTTCCACTGACCAAGGTGGATCTGGTTACAGCCACCATTGAGTGCTCAATCTGCCAGCAGCTGAGACTCTGATATGGTACAATTTCCCAGCGTGATCAGCCAGATACCTGGTGGCAGGCTGATTACATTGAACTGCTTATATACTGTGGAAAGGACAGCATTGTGTCCTTATTAAAATAAACACTCTGGATACAGATTTTTCCTTCCCTGCATGCAATGCTTCTGTGAACACTACCATCCCTGGACTTACAGAATAACTTATCATCATGGTATTCTTCATATCATTGCTTTTGACCAAAGAACTCACTTCAAAGCCAAAGAAGGGCAGCAATAGCACTTGTGCTCATAGGATTCACTGATCTTGCTGGAGTAGCTGGCTTGGTAGAACAGTGGAATGGCCTTTTGAAGACTCCATGCCAGCTAGGTGGCAATACCTTGTAGGGCTAGGGGAAGGTTCTCCAAAAGTCTGGGTATGCTCTGAATCAGTCTCCAATATATGGTGCTGTTTCTCCAATAGCTAAGATACATGAGTCCAGGAATCAAAGGATGGAAAAGGAAATGACACCGCTTACTATTACCCCTAATGGTCCACTAGCAAAACGTTTGCTTCCTGTCCCATGACTTTATCCTCTGCTGGCCTAGAGGTCTTAGTTCTAGAGAGAGGAATGCTTCTACCAGGAGACACAACAATTCTATTGAACTAAAACTTAAGACTGCCACGCAGCAACTTTGGGCTTCTCATGCCTCTGAGTCAACAGGCCAAGAAGGGAGTTACAGTGCTGCCTGGGGTGATTACTCTGGGATACCAAGGAAAAATTGACTACCACTGCACAATGGAGGTAAAGAAGAGTATGTCTGGAATACAGGTAATACCTTAGGGCATCTCTTAATATTACCCCACCCTGTGATTAAGGTCAATGAAAAATACAGCAACCCAATCCAGGGGGAACCCTTCAAGAACAAAAGTTTGGATCACCCCAACAGATAAAGGACCATAGCCAGATAAGGTTCTTGCTGAAGGCAAAGAATATACAGAATGAGTAGAAGAAGGAAGTTATAAATACTAGCTGTGACCACAGGACAAGTTGAAGAAATAAGGATTATAATCGTCATAATTATTTTCCTCTTATTTTGTTATGAATGCATTTCTGTATATATGTGTATATCTATATATACATATTTAAGCAAATATCTTTGCTTTATTTCTTCTCTTATTCCCTAATTATGTAACATAAGATGTATTCACTTTATATCAGCATTTAAATATTGCAAATTTTACATCATATTACTTAAATTACAGGATATCAAGAGAAGAGTAAACATCATTCAAAGACTTTACTACCTCTTCTGGGGAAGGGATTAATGAATTTTTAGCTATACATAGGATAGTTGTATTTGTTAGGTAGAATTATAACCTCATCGTTGTGTTTATTTTGAGATCAAATATGGTTTAAGGAGATGCTTAAGGATACCAAGTCGACAAGGGATGGACTTGTGATGTTTAATTTTATGTGTCAACTTGACTGGGCTAATGGATGTCCATATAGCTAGTAGAATATGATTTCTAGGTATATCCATGAGGGTGTCTCCAGAAGACATTAGCATTTAATTCAGTGGACCGAATAAAGAAGATTCACCCTCATCAGTGTGGGTAGGCATCTTCCAATCATTGTGGGCCTAGATAAAATAAAAAGGTGGAGCAAAGGTGAATTGTCTTTTTCTCTGAGCTAGGACATACATCTTCCTCCTACTTTCAGATATCAGAGTTCCTGATTCTCAGACCTTCTTCCACCCACACTCTCAGTTCTCAGGCCTTTGACCTCAGACTGGGAGTTACGTCACCAGCTACACTAGAGTCAGGTCTTTGAACTCAGACAGAATTACGCTACTGACTTCCCTGGTTCTCCAGCCTGAAAATGGCATGTCATGAGATTTCACAGCCACCACAATCTCATGAGCCAAATCCCATAATAAATCTCCTCATATGTATCTATATATATCCTATTTGTTTTTTCCCTAACTAATATACAGCCCCTTGGGCTTAAAATGTATTAGGACATTTTAATGAACTAGTGTGTTAAAATCTACTAGTAAATTAGTACCTTTAGTAATTTTAGGAGCCTTAAATGCCAGCCTAGGCAAGATTCTGCCCAAGCTTCCTCTGTTAGCAATCTGTATTCATTTTAATTCCCCATAGTTCATTCCTCTTGAGAGAACTGCTAAGTTAAATAGAAAAGTACCTAAACTCGTGTGATTATTGAAGTCTAATACTGCCAAATTGCACCCCATGGGATAATTTAAGAGGAAATTACATTTTTATCTCCAATCAATGGACCAATGTTATGGCTTATTTTATAACAACAATTCTTTTGCCTTTGCTTATCTTTTGAGTCGATATTTTTAGACTGAGGTGGAAAAGACTGTTTGCTGTAATCTTACCCTTAATATTGCTTTTTTTATGTTTCCATACATATAATTTGTGCTGTGAGAATTAGAGGATAATAAGTTTATTAGTAGGCAGTAATTTTCTCTACAGTTTCATAAGAAATGTTTTGAGTTTCAAAGGATTTATAGAATTTACAGCAATTGTCTTTGAGGAGTGAATTCCCTCTGTCTGCTTCATAGAATAGCTGAGATCAACCTTGATTGCCTTTTAAGTCGAGTAAATTGGAGGACAGGCTGCCCAGTATCTTAGTTCTTCTAAGACTGCTTGCAAACCAGAAAGTGTGAACAGTGTGATGACGAATGCTCTTAAGACCAGGTAAAAGTGAAGTTCTTCAAACTAATTTATTCTTTTGGAACTAATAAATTAGAATATTTCTCAATAGAGGCGTTGAGTTTAACCATGTCTAAATAATGAATACAAGTTTGGTAATATTTTTACTGTTTTCTGCTATAAAAGACAGTTATAAAAGTACTAATTTCTATTGCAACTGTGAGAGGTATATTATTTGATTCAATAGTTTTGAGATGATGTCCCTACATTTTTAAATACCTGATATTCTTCCTACTTGTATTCAGTATCTATTTCAAAATTACATCTCCATTTTAAAGCATAATCTTTCCAAGTCAGAGCTATTCTGTTTCACTCTGCTTTTTTTTTTTTTTTTTTTTTTTGAGTTGGAGTCTCACCCTGTCACCTAGGCTGGAGTGCAATGGCATGATCTTGGCTCACCGCAACCTCTGCCTCCCAGGTTCAAGCAATTCTCCTGCCTCAGCTTCCCGAGTAGCTGGGATTACAGGTGTATGCCACCATATCCGGCTAATTTTTTGTATCTTTGGTAGAGACGGAGTTTCACCATGTTGGCTGGGCTGGTCTGGAACTCCTGACCTCGTGATCTGCCCACCTTGGCCTCCCAAAGTACTGGGATTATAGGCATAAGCCACCACACCCAGCCTTCTATTTCACTCTTACTAAGCAGCTAAAATCTACTCTTTCTAACTCACTCTCTGCTTCATGTCCCTTTTCTCTACAATTTCTTAATGTTGGATAATGCCGGGACTCAATTGTCAAACATTATGAGCTGCTTCTCTGTCTACACTTACTCCTTTGGTTAGCTCATTGGGGCATCAAATGCTATCTTTATACTAGTAGCTCCCAAATTTATAGTTTCAGTTCAGTCTTCACTCCAAAATTCCAAACTCTTATATCCAAATTCCTAGTCAACAGGTCTACCTGTATTTCTAATAAAAATCTAAAACTTACCATGTACAAGACTGAGTTAATATTTTTGAGGATATTCCTACATTTTTAAATACCTGATATTCTTCCTACTGGTATTCTGTATCCATTATAAAATTACATCTCCATTTTAAGAAAGACCTCACTCTGAAATTCCAAACTCTTAGTCAGCAGTTCTACTTGTATTTCTATAATGATAAAAATCTAATATTTACCATGCCCAAGACTTAATTCTTGCAAAAGCTGCTTGACCTAAGCCTTCCTCTTCTCACTTGTTGTCAGCTTTGTTCTTTCAAGTGTCAAAACCTTAAGTCATCCTGGACTCCTCTCTTTCTCTTACTTTACACCCAATCTAACTTGAAATTGATTTGGCTCTATCATCAAAATTGATCCAGATATCACTATGAACTTATGTTTATTTTAATATATTTAATATATTAAATATATAAAATATATTGTAATATATTAAATATATAAAATTGTAATAATGTAATACAATATATTACTATATATATTACAATATATATATTATGTATATATACACACAGAGAGGTGAATACATAAATAAACATAGTTGCATATATGCATAAAGTGGTAGGTGGAAGAATGCCCCCTCTCCAAATATATTTGCATCCTCATCTTGGGCAAATGTGAATATATTACTTTATGTGACAAAAGGGACTTTGCAGATGTGATTAAGTTAAGAGCCTTGAGATGGGGAGATTAACCTGGATTATCTGGGTGGGCCCAACGTAATCACAATGGTCCTTAAAAGAGTCAGAGGAGAAGCGATAACAAAAGCAGAGTGTCAGAATGATGCAATGGTGATTTGAAGATGCCTCTGATGCTGGCTTTGAAATGGAAGAAAGTGTCTGAGTCAAGGAATGAAATCTTTAAAGGATGGAAAAGGCAAGGAAACAGATTCTCTCTTAGAGCCTCCAGAAGTAATGCAATCCTGCCAATATCTTGATTTTAGCCCACTGAAATTCATTTCAGATGCTTGACCTCCAGAACTGTAAGCTGATAAATTGGTATGGTTTTAAGCCACTAAGTTTGTGGTAATTTGTTACAGAGCATAGGAAACTAACATACTTGGGTTAGTAATATGTATTTATTTCCTAGCTGTGTCTGCTGAGACAGGTCTAGAGGTAATGACATCCCACTAGCAGCAAGTCTACCTACTGTCCAGATCTTACTTTCTAAATATCATCCTTCAACAAAAGGTACCAGGGCTTCTTTGGAAAATCACTGATTCTAGGGTTGTTGCAGGGAAAAATGTAAGAGAAGCCTGGAGCATTTTGTAGTGCTAGAAAGTAGGGAAGTGCTCCAAAGAATGGGGGGCCAGGGAGGCGGGTACATCAAAAAGAAACGGGAGAAAATCAGAGTTGCCAATGACCAAAGCTAGAACAATTTGACCAAATAAATAAATAAATAACGATAGCATTGGATTTAACCCAAAAGAAAGTTAAATACGTGAGTTCAGACTGATATAAATAAATTATAAAATACATATACCAGAGAGAAGGGACAAATCCTTCTTACAGAAGAATTTCAATTAATTTATGTTGAAGGATTGAGGGAAATAGAAAATCACTAATAGAACACCACAATAATTTCCACAGGCAAGATCCATCAATTCATGTAAAACTTAAAGAGAAATATGTTATTTGCATAGCTTCAAAGTATCTCCCCCAAAATATTTATTAATTACTATAGTGATTTTATTATATGTCCACAAATTCTTTGATATTTCTCCCTCTAGGAGTTCAAGCTTAACTCCCAACCCCTTGAGTGTGGGCTAGACTTAGTGACCTGCTTCTAAGGAATAGAGTATGGAAAGAGGAAAATAGCAACATTACAGGAGAGAAACCTGAAAGCAACTTAACCAAGTGATCACAGAATCACTGGTAATAACTCTTGTTGATATCATGTGCCCCCAATACAGTATGATGAAAAGACCCATCATCTCGGTGATATTTATCCTCAAAATCTATAATCTTACAACAATTATGAGAAAATATAGACAAACCCAATTTGAAAGGAAGCAAGTCTACAAGATACTTAACCAGTACTTTACAAAAGTGACAAGGTCACAAAAGACAGCACAAGACTGAGAAACTCACAGATTGGAGGAAGCCAAAGAGACATCATGGCTGAGATCATGGTGGTGGAACCCTGGTTTGGATCCTGGAACAGAAAAAAAGAACACTAAGTGGAAAAACTGATGAAATATAAATAACATAATAAAAATCTATAATTTAATTAATGGTATTGTACGACTATTAATCTCTTAAGTTTTAAAAAATGGACCATTATTATGTAAGATATTAACGTCAGGGGAAGCTAGGTAAAGGTTACTTGGGAACTCTCTGCAACTTTTCTAAAATTATTTTGGATGGGTGTGGTGGCTCATTCCCCCTGTAATCTCAACACTTTAGAAGGAAAGGGCAGCAGGATTGCTTGAGGTCAAGAGTTCAGCCTTGGCAATGTAGAAAGACCCCATCTTTACAAAAACGTAAAAATAAAAAATAGCCAGCATGATGGCACCTTCCAGTAGTCCTAGCTACTCAGGAGGCATAGCCAGGAAGATTGCTTGAACACAGGAGTTTGAGGCTGCAAGGTGCTAGAATTGCACCACTGTACTGCAGCCTGGGAAACAGAGGCAGACACTGTCTCAAAAAAAAAAAAAAAAAGAAAGAAAGAAACAGAAAAGAAAAGAAATAGAAAAAATACTTCGAAATACATAGTTAAAAAAATCTAAAATTTGACCACTTTTCGCCAATAAAATTGCCTCTTTGGTACAAGCCACCATGATCTTTCTTCTGGTTTATTTCAATAGCTTCCTTGCAGGTCTCTGCTCTGTGCTCCTCACCCACCACCTGTAAGTCTTAAATCTACTCTCGACAAACCAAGTAGAGTTATTCCTTTAAAATGTAAATCAAATTATTTAAGTCTTTTGCTCAAAACCCTGAGCTGGCTCCCTATTTCCATCAAAGCAAAAGCCAAAATCCTTATGGTGACACACAAGTCCCTGATGATTATTTTTCTCCCATGGTTGCTTTAACCTCATTTCCTACCACCACAGACCTCATTCTCTGGGTTCCCACATGCTGGCCTCCTTGCTATTCCTGGAAAATACAGACACATAGGCCTTGGATCCATTTGCTCCCATGGCCTGGAGCATATATTCAGATATCTTCCTGGCCCACTCCCTTACCTTCTTTCCTAGACAAAGATTTTTATATTGTGAAGAGACCCAAACCTCTGTAATCCAAATCTCCCAATGCTTTGCTAACTTTTCTCCTTCTCAAAGCACATTTAGTGTTTTCCGTAAATTGGGGTTTTTCCTTTCATGATAATTGTTTGCTATTTGTTTCTCCTGATTAGAGTGTAAATTGCCCTCCATGGGAGAAGGAATCTTTGTCTTTTTTTTAATCCACTGATAATCCCAAGTACCTAGAACAGTATCTGGCACATGGGAAATGCATAACAAATTGTTAAATTGAGTTTAAACTGACACATTAAGGTCCCTAGGGTATGGAACAACCTTCAAGTGGTGTCAGAATACCTAGAAACTTTCATATAATTTTTTTCTTTTTCAGTCCATGTGCATTTAAATAGAGCCAACACCTCAGGCTGACAGTGACCAACATTCCTGGTTTACCCCAAAATGAGGCATTTCCAGGAAATATATAAGTTCAGTCTTTGCAAGGGATGCCGCACCAGCCAGTGGGGCATTTAGACAGTAACCCCAAAGAAGGATGTCTCAGGAAATTGTTCCATGGCTCAATACTTTAGGAAAATGCTCCATCTTGCACCCATCATCTCTATAGCCACCAGAGAAAGGGATCATTAAATGCCAGTTCAGAGGATATAACCAGAGAATTGTGCCTAACCCAAATCCTGTTTATTTAAAAAAATTAATATATAGCATTTTAAATACAGAGATTTCACATTAAAGAGAAGATATTTTCAGTTTCTCTTGAAAAATGGGAAGATCTGGTAATGCTGGTCTCAAGTTCTTCCATGCCAAAAATTGCTTCCAAATCTTCAGTCTCCACCTAGCCAGTTTTACTCTTTTCCTCACCTGAGCCCTGACAACATTTGAATTCATAACTCAAACTTTAGCTGAAAGGCAGAACAGAAAAAAAATGCTTTAGGAATGAATTCATATTTTGGATCCACAATTAGTAAATTTTTTAGATAAATGTTTAGAGTTTTATCTACCTGACGTTTGAAAATACCAGAGAATTTCACTGATATTACAATATAAAGATATGAGTTTTAAAACATATAGATTATGTTGTTTAAAGGAAACCAATAAAAGAGAGCCTATACCTAAATCTTTAATTTTATAGTTATAGTTTTTAGAAGCCCAGAATAAATAATGTTTTTAAGCTAGAAAGAAAGAAATGTCTATTTTTTCAGTATGTCTCTTTTTGAGGAAAAGGAAAGGGGGAATTTATGCTAACCAGAAAGTTATTATCTTCTCTTGGAAGGGGAAACACACCTAGAAATGTCATTTTCTTTTCTATGAATTGGATGAAAGGAAATCAGTAACACTTGCATTACTTATATTAACTTTTTATCCAAAAATCCAAGAGTCCTGCAAAATGGTGCTCTTAGATCAAAAAGGTATATATTATGTTAGTTTCTCTACCTCTTCATGTTTTAATTTCTTTTCAATTGGCAGCTGTCTTGGATTTGCTCTTGCATATATTTCTTAGCTTAATGCTAAGTGAAATCAGATGAGGAAATAAAATCAAGTCATCATAAAAAGATCTCAAAACCTGCATAAGTCTTTAAACCTTGTCAGAAACCCTACTTTGATTTTCTAAAGTCCAACTCAAAGCAAATAATTTTATCTTACTATACATTTTCATTTTCTTTTATTTACTCTGAGGTTCATATTTATCTAGAAATATATGCAATTCTAGCAATCAGAATTAAATAGTATCCCTATTTATTCAATACAAATCATTTTCTTGAGATAGGCTTTAAATAGATTTCCTTAGTGTAATAGACAACAGTATAAACTGAAGGCTGTAGTATAAACATGTCTGTTTTGTTTTACCATACAATATTCTTTTAAATATGAGTTTCAATAGATTTAAGCAGGAAGGAATACACTCTTCATTTGTTAACACAGTTGTCACTATTCTCTATTTTCTTACATTGGTTTTATATTACCTATGCCACCTTGTTGGCCCCAAAGACTTGTGAGTTTATGACTTATGAATTATCGATGAATGTAGCTACTTGGTATTCACCACAACTAAATTAAAATGAGATTCAGAAAGAGTAAAACCTATCTGTAATTTTTAACTTAAAAAGAAATCCACGGATTTCAAGAAACAGATTTTGTCAAGTTTTTATAGACACATGACTGTGCTGAGATGATATTTTAGGAAAAGTTAGGGAGGTCACTTGGAAACAGTGTGTATTGGTCAGGGTTCTCCAAAGGCACAGAACAAATAGGATGGATGGATGGGTGGATGAATGGATGGATGGATGGATGGATGAAGAGATAGAGAGATACAGAGAGACAGAGAGACAATACAGAGATAGAGGGAGAAAGAGAGAGATGGGAGTGATTTATTAGGAGAATTGGCTCACTTAATTATGGAGGTTGAAAGCTCCCACAACAGGCCACCTGCAAACTGGGCAACTTGGGATGTTGGCAGCATGGCTCAGTCCAAGTTTGAAAGCTTTAGAAGCAAGGAAGCCAGTGGTGTAATGCTCAGTCCAAAGCTGAAGGCCTGAGAACCTGGAGGTGCCATTGGCATACATTATGGACTCCAAAGGCCCAAGAGTCTGGAGTTCTGATGTCAGAAAAAAAAAGTGTCCTGGCTCCAGGTGAAAGAGAAATCCTTTCCTCTTTTTGCTCTATCTGGCCCCCAGCCAACTGGATGGTGCCTGCCCACATTTTGAGAGAGGATCTTTCCTGCTCAATCCACTGACTTACACACCAATCTCCTCAGGAAATGCCCTCACAGACTCACCCAGAAGTAATGCTTTAGCTATCTAGGTATTCCTTATGCAGTCAAGTTGACATAAGATTAATCATGACACAGTGGGTCTCAACCTTGAGCATCAAAATCATCTGAAGAACTTGTCAAAACATGATTGCTGCGCTCTACCCCCAGAGTTTCTTATTCAATAGGCCTGGAGCCCAAGTATTTGCATTTCTAACAAGTTCCAAGGTGATGTCAATGCTACTTGTCTAGGGAACAAACTTTGAGAACCTATGAAATAAGAAATACTCAGGGACTTTTAAAAGAAGGAAACTTCTTTGTCAAATTTATTTTTCAAGACACACATGCATACCCATACAGATTTTTTCTTTATAAAATGATTGAAAATCTTTTAGATAGAACTTAGTGTCTGTGTAGCTGCCCAAATCTCACATCAAATTGTAATCCCCAATGTTGGAGGTGGGGCCTGGTGGGAGGTGATTGGGTCATGGAGGTGGATTTCCCCTTTGGTGCTGCTCTCGTGGAAATGAGTTATCTCAAGGTCTGGTTGTTTAAACATGTGTGGCAGCTCCCCTGTCTCTCTCTCTTCCTCCTGCTCTGGCCATGTGAAGATAAGCCTGTTTCCCCTTCACCTTCTGCCATGATTGTAAGCTTCCTGAGGCCTCCCCAGCCATGCTTCCTATACAGCCTGTGGAACTGGGAGCCAATTAAACCTCTTTTCTTTGTAAATTACCCAGTCTCATGTATTTCTTTATAGCAGTATGAGAACGGACTAGTACACTTAGAGCAAAAATATCAGTAGCAAATTACTGAGAATCAATAAATAAGATTTAGAGTGACTTCAGGAGATGGGTTAGAAAGGTGGTTTGAGGGAGTAAGTTTTACAAATACGGAGTATGCTGACTTTAGATAAACCAAACTCTACCTAGACATTTCTGGACAAAGACGGGGTTTGGGACACTGACAAAGATGATTCATACAACACAGACCTTTGGTCTGGTTGGGACAAAAACATTTTTATCAACTTGCTAGTAAGAAAAAAAATTGTGTTAACCCACCTCTGTTATGATCTTTTATTAAATGATGGCCAAACATGAAAAAATAAAGCACGACACACAGAATAGTTTTGTCAAAAGTTAATTAACTGCAACAAGATTGATGATTACTGAGCCTTCATGTTTTCATTGTTGTTCAAGTCCTTCCCCAGGCAGTGACCAACTCAATATGCCATCTATCCCAAAGGCAGAGGAATTCTGCCAGATTTTCCAGGGCCAAATATTGAGTAGGATTTTTCTTTACTGTTTTCTTAGACTAAGACAATTAACCAGAAGGACATTAATGCTTTCATTAGCTGGAATATGGTCTTCTTTAAAAAAAAAAAAAAGGAAGAAATTTTAGTTGATAATAGTTAAGCAAAATTGTTTTAGGCAGTAAGTTTAAAATGCTTCTCGGTAGCTAAATTTCTTAAAGTGACATCAGAAGAAAACATGGACATGGTTTAAAATATAACACTTGAGCTTTTCCTACACTTGACCGTGGGTCTGCCTTTCTCGAGATAATGCACCACAGAGCCTTGTTTTCTCCCTTGACTCTCCTTTGTTCCTATTACCTGACATATTTACACACCACACCACACCACACCACTTTTGTTTCTCAAAAGTTGTCACTATCAGTGGCAATGAAGTTATAAGGATTAATGAACTGTAGCTGCTGCTAACGCTGTTGCTGTTGTTGTTTTTAAACTTCTTTGGATTCCTGGATAAGAGTCACCACTGGAATACCCACTGATTTTATTTTCTCTTTTGTCTAACATGAGTTTATTTAGATGTGGATTTTTAAAAAAACTATATGAACGAATTACCTTTGTGAGTATTCTTGCATCATACCTAAATGAGGGGCTGTGACTCAAAGCCTCTAAACTTGAAGTATTTTTAAGTTATAACTTTCTAGATATGTGCACCAGACAACCCCCAACGTGAGACTTTTAGAGCTCTCACATCATCTTCACTATATGCCCACCTGCAGTTCACACTCAATCAAGATTGATAGGAAAATAATATACCTCCCTTAGTCTTACTTTAAAAAGGAGAAGAAGAAAGCTATTGAGCACCTCACACCAAGTAGAGCTGCTGACAGAGCTTTAAGTATGTGAAGATATAGTCTAATCAGATATAAAAATGTAAGCAACATAGAGAAGTACAACAACATAAATTAGATCTAAACAATTTCTTATAGGAGTACCATGCTTTCACCCTTTCTATCAGGCTTAAATATATACCACTGTGAGATGGCATATGCAAAAACAGGAGACTATACAATATAATGCATTTATAACATAGTGATTAATATAACATGGTGATTAATGGAGCCTAGTGAATCTCCAGGCTCAAAAGGAGCCTTGCTGGATTCAAGTCTGACACTGACAAACTGTGTGTCTGGCGCTTCTTATTTGACGTCTCTGAACCCCAGTTCTCTCATCTTTAAATGGAGATTATAATCACACCTACTTAAAGGGGACAGCATGAAAGTTAAATGAGATAACACATGCAAAATGCTTACAGCAATACCTCGCACATGCTTCAGAGACCTGGATCAAGAATTCAACTTCTGCTGAGCAAGTGACCAGCTGAGAAACTCTGGGCAAGTGAGCCTCCATAAGTCTCATCTCGTACATCTGGATATACCTACCTTTCATAAGAAACAAGTGAGATAACATATAAGAAAACACTTTTACAACTGTAACGTGCACCCTATTTTATAAATACATTGAAATCATTTTGGATTGATACCCACTGAGCGGCTAGTACCGCTTAGTGATTACCTCTGGGAAAGAGAGTAGAATTGAAGATAGGTAAAGGGCATTTGAGCTTTTTACTTCATGCTGTATTGTTTAAAATTTTCAGGGAGATGAAGTTCATTTATTACACATGTATCTTTTAATAATAGAATCCTCTTCATATGTTATTGTTATTATGGAGAACTATGCAAGAATCTAAAAACTTTAACATCCAGGGATTGTAGTCTTCTTTCCAGCACCTGTGTGAATATCTCTGTACAGTACTTACAACATAAAACCTCTCAATTCACTATCTGTATCTGCAGATACAGGGAAAGGTTTAAAGTTCCATGTCCTTTTGCTTCTTAGAGAAAGCTCACATTGAGCCAAAATTTAAAAGCTGGAATGAGCCAGTTAAATGAATTTGGGTTTTGGGAAAGGGGATGACGTATATTAGGGTCAAAAGGGGCTCCTATCTAAAACAGAACATGAAACACTGGCTTGAAGCTAGAAATGGAAGCAGGCAATCCAAATATATTTGGCTAAGAACCTTAGTTTCTATGACACAGAGATCTTTATAAGTCAAGGGACAATATGAGACATGATGAAAATTATGATAATAATGACTACAATGATCTCTTACATTAGTTGTAAGATAATATATGATAATATATGTAATTATGATAATAATGATTCAAATAATCTCTCACAGTCTCTGAGCACAGTGTCTAGCACCTATTGAATACTTTTATTGAGCATTCAGTAGGTGCTAGACACTGTGCTAAGAGCTTCACACACTTGATGCATCTCATGAGGCTGTTTTGTTAAAGGTAAATCTCAGGTATTCATTCATTCACTTGACATATATCTATTGGACATCTTCCTGTCATACATAGTGAATTCTACATTGTCACATATGCTACACGAAAATAACTTCCAATCTAGTGTGAAGGTGCAGAGGGAAAAAGGTCTCAGGAGGAACAAAAACCCTGGTTATGTGTGACTGTGTGCACATGAAGGTATAGGTGGTGAAGGAAATCTTTACCAAGATGGTAATATCTGCAAAAGAAATAATCATCAGAGTAAACAGAAAACCCACAGAATGGGAGAAAATATTTGCAAACTATGCATCTGACAAAGGACTAATATCCAGAATCTACAAGGAACACAAATCAGCAAGAAAAAAACAAACCCATCAAAAAGTAGGCAAATGACATGAATAGATATTTCTCGGAAGAAGATATACAAATGGCAAACAAACATGAAAAAATGTTCAACTTCACTAATCATTAGGGAAATGTAAATTAAAACCACAAAGATATCACCTTACTCCTACAGGAATTGCTGTTATTCAAAAGCCAACAAACAATAGATAAGTATATATATCGGTGTGGATGTGGTAAAAAAGGACCACTTTGTACACTGCTGGTGAAAATGTAAATTAGTACAACCTCTATGGAAAACAGTATGGAGATGTCTTAAAGAACTAAAAGTAGATCTACCATTTGATCCAGCAATTTCACTACTGCATATCTACCCAAAGAATAAGAAATCATTATGTCAAAAAGACACCTGCATGCATATGTTTATTGCAGCACAATTCACAATTGCAAAGATATGGAACCAACCTAAGTGCCCATTGACTAACGAGTAGATAAAGAAAATGTGGCATATATACACCATGGAATACTACTCAGCCATAAAACAGAACAAAATAATGTCTTTTGCGCAACTTGGATGAAGCTGGAGGCCATTATTCTAAGTGAATGGAAAACCAAATACCGTATGTTCTCATTTACAAGTGGGAGCTAAGCTATAGATACACAAAGGTGTACAAAGTGATATAATGGATTTTGGAGACTCAGAAGGGGGAGGTTTGAGGGGGTGTGAGGGATAAAAAATACATATTGGGTGCAATATGCACTACTTGAATGACTGGTGCACTAACACCTCAGATTTTACCACTATACAATTCATCCACGCAACCCAAAACCACTTGTACTTCAAATGCTATTGAAATGAAGAAAAAAGTTTAAAGAAGATAATGTCTGAAAACACTGAATCCTTCAAATTGTTGATCAGTTCACTGGTTTTGAAATCAGCTGGGTGGAGGAAGACCTGCATTTTGTTTTAAATGATCACTGAGCCCACCTGTTTGCATCAGGAGACTCTGAGAATCCAGACATGTTGCTTGAGTGGAAGTGTGATCCAAACATTTTTGCCAACCTGATGGAGCAAATAAACCCAAGCCTTCTTGCAAAAACCTGAGGAGCCTCCTGGGAGAGCTTAACTTTGTCAAAAAAGGAGCCAGGCACGATAAGCTTCATGTAGTGATTCTGAGTTCAGTGTGGCAAGTGCCACTTGAGTTCGTCTGGCCCTGCCATGGATGTATGTCTGGGTTCTAGGGAGAGAGTAGGATAAGAAAAAAACATTGAAGGGATTATTAGCTAAGCTCTGAGGAGGGGACACAAGAGCCAGAAAACTTTAAATTATCATTATTAAGGTGATCCCATTACTCCCCAGGGGCTACTGGGATCAACAAAGTGTCGGTTACAATAAATGAGAGTAGGAAAAGAAATGAGAGAGAATAGCAAATAATAAGAACAAAACACACAAAAAAAAACAAAATTGAATAAATCTGGCCACATGCTTGAAGAGGCAATAGTAGTCTGACCCAAAGCCATCTATCCATCGAGTTGACACCATTATTGTATGCTTGTACCTTTAGCAAGATAAATGAGGAATATGCACAATGTCTATAACATGCTGATGAGATTATGCTTATTAGACTAAGAGACTGTGTTTTCTAAGTCAAAATGCATCCTACTCTGAGGACACCTCACATGATAGGGATGAGATAAAATGCGTAAGGTACTAGTTTAGGGGTTTTGAGCACATCAATATGCAAACCACCAAAAAGTCTATTTCCATTTGCTCTCCACTTCTAGACCAATTTCACAGGCAATTTTGTTGGTTATTATTGTAATCTATAACAACTAAAAATGGTTTCTCCATGACCCTCTTTCACTCAGCATCAAGATTCCAATCAATATCCTATTTCCCCTAATATTCATAGGAATAAGTTCCAAAAAAGAACTTCGTTAGATACATATCTGTGTCATTTGGAATTTATAAGGGTCTGTGTGCCCAGCCCAAGAAAATGATTGAAAATATACTTAAATCTATCATAATGACCAAAGTCCTAATCCCTAGAATAGACCTGCCCTTCCAAGAAAATCACAGGTCTGTGCTCACCCATAATTTGTTGAGATAATTTATAGAAAATTGCAAACCCATCTCACTTTTGCAAAACTAAGAAACACGTTTAAAAGAGAGTGGAATAAAAATAAAACGTTCATTCTTCTCATTCTCTGAGAAATTACCTACTCAAAATATTATTCTGCTTTCGATGTTCTTTTCTTTTCCTCTACAGAAACTTTGGGCTAATGTATATTTATGTCTTAAGCAGGACTCCCCAGCCTGTCCAAAACAGAAAAGAAAGAAAAAGGAGGAAGAAATATTTGAGAAACTACAATAAGCAAAAATAAGGGTTTTGAGTACATATAAATAGAAAATGTCTTTGCAAAATAAAAGAGAAATTTATTTTATAAGATCTATAAATATATTTTACTTGAATATGTTACTTCTGTTTATGCATGGGAATCTCTCCTCTAGGATTTTGTCCTCTAGGGAGTTTTCTGTGCTCTACCAGGCTTGGTAGCTCATGAGGCAATTCATTAGACATTTCAAAATTCATTGCAATTTATCTCTTTCTCCAGGCACAGAGAGAAATACAAAACTTTCTTCAAGAGGTCTTTATATTTCATATTCTAATACAGGATACACAAAGAGTAATCTTTCTCAGCTCTGACATCTGGTATATTTTTAACCATAGGCATCAATGAAACAAAAAAAAAGTTTGAGAAACAGTCAACTCACTATAATCACCTTCTCAAATATTTATATGTGCAGTTTGACAGAATGTAAGCTAAAGATTCTGGAAACTTAAAAACATGCAAGAATCTATGCCTGGTGAAATCTATGTGCCGTTACCTACCTGAACCTATTGTTTGCAGACTACTAATCGTTTATTTGAGATATCCGATCCAATTTTAATTGCCCACAACAACATCTTTAGAGTCTAAAGTTAAAACATTGACATAATGTATTCAAGAATATCATAAGGGGAAAGTGAATTAATCATACATTTGATGCATATTTATTAGTTGCCTATTTTGAACCATATTCTGTAAGTCAGGAAGATGAAAAATGAATTCACCTATAAAAAGCTTTAAATGGAATGGGCAAAATATGAATCACATACATGAAAGCATTAGTGATATGGTTTGGCTCTGTATCCCCACCCAAATCTGATCTGGAATTGTAATCCCCGTGTGTCAAGGGAGGGACCTGGTGGGAGATGACTGGATCATGGGGTGGTTCTCCCATGCTGTTCTCCTGATAGTGAAGGAGTTCTCATCAGATCCGATGGTTTAAAAGTGGCAGTTTCCCCTCCACTCTCTCTCTGTCTCTCCTGCCAACTTGTGAAGATGTGCCTTGCTTCCCCTTTGCCTTCTGCCATAATTGTAAGTTTCCTGAGGCCTCCCTGGCCATGCAAAACTGTGAGTCAATTAAACCTCTTTTCATCATAAATTACCTAGTCTCAGTAGTATCTTTATAGCAGTGTGAAAACAGACTAATACAATTAGTGACAAATTAATATTATATATTTTCATTATACTTTGTGTAATTACAAAATACAATGTAATATTATGCAATGCAATAAACTGCTAATTTTTTCTTGCAGCGATAAACAGAAAAGTGGTTAGGACTTACCAACACAAGCTGCCATGGATCATTGTCTATCTGTATCGGAAATTAATGCTTACACGTGCATATGCATTATATGTGTGTTTTTCAAATTTCTGTGATAATAATAAGTCACCTGGGGAACTGGTTTTTCTTGTAATAGGCCCTTTTAAGACATACTGAAATGAATTTGCAGAGGAACTGGATAATCTGCATTTTTAACAAATGACTCCTTTGATTCAGATTAGGCAGGTTTAGAAAACACTGCAATCTACAATGCCATGACAATATTATTATTCCCGTGTTATAGTTGAAAAAACTAAGGTTAGAGAGATTAATTAACTACTCCAAGGACTTCCAAGTTAGGAGAAAGCAATCTGACTTCCAAAACTTTTGTTCTTTTCACCGTACTAAGCTTTCTTTGTTCTCTGAGAAAATAATTAGGTGAGATGTAGAAAAATGGAAATAAAATGCTTATAGAAAAATTTATTTCTATTGCTGCTTAAAAACAATGTTATAGAAAAAAAAAACGTGAAGATGGCAGATAGGAGGCAGGACTAGCTTGCAGCTTTCACTTGGACAGGCAGAGCAGCGTGTGGAGACTCACATTGTGAACTTTTGCTCCAAGAACTACCGCAGGAGCATATCAGGAAAGCCAAGAGAATCCACAGACTCTTTGAAAGAACTGGATCACCATGGCAGGCTCCCCGAGACACCGAAAAACTGTAAGTCAGCTTGCTTTCTCAGCAGGGAGGCTCGTGGTCTAGGGCAAGTTCTCAGCCCTGGTCACCAGCTGCCTGGAAGTAGACATGGTGCTGTTGGTGGGGCACGGTGGGAGTGAGACCAGCCTTTAGGACTGTGGCTGTGTGGGAGTGGAGTGAGGCCTGTGACTGCAGCTTTCCCCCACTTCCCTGGCAACCTGTATGACTCAGCAGAGGCAGCCCTAATTCCCCTAGAAATATTACTCCTTTGGACTGGGAACAAAACCCCATCCCCCACAGCAGCCACAGCAAACCCCACCCAAGGAGACATTGAGCTCAGGCATGCCTATCCCTGCCCCAACCTGGTGGTCTTTCTCTACCGGGCCTGGTAGCCAAAGACAAAGGTCATAATCACTTGGGAGCTCTATGGCCCTGCCCATCACCTGAGAAACCTGAAGGCTTAACCAGGCCTCCCTGGGGCAAGTTTGCATCCTCCCTATGGGAATGCAGCTATGTACTCTTCAAAGTGCCACCTCCTGGCTGCAAGCCAACCAACACAAAACCAGCATACTAAACAAAAACACAACTGAGAACCCCCACAGGGTTCTCCACCAGAGCAGGTGCTGGTATCCACAGCTGCAAGACCTGAAGATGGATCTCATCACAGGATTCTTTGCAGACACTCCTCAGTATCAGTCCAGAGCCTGGTAGCTCGGTAGCTCACTGGGGACTAGACCCAGAAGAGCAAAAACAATCACTACAGTTTGGCTCTCAGGAAGCCCCATTCCTTGGGGAAGGGAGAGAACAACACATCAAAGCAGCACTCCATGGGACAAAAGACTCTGAACAGCAGCCCTTGAATCCCAGATCTTCCCTCTGGCATAGCCTACCCAAATGAGAAGGAACAAGGAAAACAATTCTGGTAATATGATAAAGCAAGGTTCTTTCATACCCCCAAAAGATCATACCAGATCACCAGCAATGGATCCAAACCAAGAAAAAATATCTTAATTGCCAGAAAAGGAATTCAGAAGGTCGATTTTTAAGCTAATCAAGGAGGCACCAGAGAGAGGTGAAGTTCAACCTAAAGAAATCAAAAACATGATACAGGATATGAAAGGAAAATTCTTCAGTGAAATAGATAGCATAAATAAAAAACAATCACAACTTTTGGAAATCAAAGACACTCTTAGAGAAATGCAAAGTGCACTGGAAACTCTCAGGAATAGAATTGAACAAGCAGAAGAAAGAATTTCAGATCTTGAAGACAAGGCTTTCAAATTAACCCGATCCATCAAAGACAAAGAGAAAATAATTTTAAAAAATGAATAAAGTCTCCAAGAAGTTTGGAACTATGTTAAATATCCAAACCTAAGAATAATTGGTATTCCTGAGGAGGAGGAGAAATCTAAGTTTGGAAAACATATTTGAGGGAATAATCAAGGAAAACTTCCCAGCCTTGCTAGAGATCTAGACATGCAAATATGAGAAGCTCAAAGAACATGTAGGAAATTCATTGCAAAAAGATCACTGCCCAGGTACAGTGTCATCAGGTTATCCAAAGTCAGGATGAAAGAAAGAATCTTAAGAGCTATGAGGCAAAAGTGTAGGTAACCTATAAAGGAAAACCTTTCAAATTAACAGCAAATTTCTCAGCAGAAACCCTACAAGCTAGAAGGGATTGGGGTTCTATTTCTAGCCACCTTAAACAAAACAATTATCAGTCAAGAATTTTGTATCTAGTGAAACTAAGCTTCATAAAAGAAAGAAAGATACAGTCTTTTCCAGACAAACAAATGCTGAGAGAATTCACTACTACCAAGCCAGCACTACAAGAACTGCTAAAAGGTCTAAATCTTGAAACAAATCCTCAAAATACACCAAAAAAAAAAAAAAAAAAACTCCTTAAAGCATAAATCTCACAGGACCTACATAACAATAATACAATGAAAATAAAGGTATTCAGGCAACAAATAGCAGGATTAATAGAATAGTACCTCACATCTCAATACTAACATTGAATGTAAATGGTCTAAATGTTCCACTTGAAAGATACAGAATTGCAGAATGAATAAGAATTCATCAACCAAGTTTCTGCTGCCTTCAGGAGACTCACCTAACACATACAAACTCACATAAAAAGGTAAAGGGGTGGAAAAAGATATTCCATGCAAATGGACATCAAAAGCAAGCAGGAGTAGCTATTCTTATATCAGACAAAACAAATTTTAAAGCAACAGCAGTTAAAAAAGACAAAGGGGCCGGGTGTGGTGGCTCACACCTGTAATCCCAGCACTTTGAGAGGCCAAGGCAGGCAGATCACCTGAGGTCAGAAGTTTGAGGCCAGCCTGGCCAACATGGTAAAACCCACTCTCTACTAAATATACAAAAATTAGCCAGGCATAGTGGCAGGCACCTGTAATCCCAGCTACTCGGGAGGCTGAGGCATGAGAATCACTTGAACCCAGGAGGCAGCAAGCCAAGATTGCATCATTGCACTCCAGCCTCAGCAACAAGAGTGAAACTTCATCTCAAAAAACCAAAAAAAAAACAAACAATAACAACAAAAAAAAACAAAAACAAAGAGGGACATCATATAATGATAAAAGGACTAGTCCAACAGGAAAATATCACAATTCTAAATATATATGTACCTAACACTGGAGCTCCCAAATTTATAAAACAATTATTACTAGACCTAAGAAATGAGATAGTTGGCAACCCAATAATAGCAGGGGACTTTAATACATGACTGACAGCACTTTAATACATGACTGACAGCACTAGACTGGTCATCAAGACAGAAAGTCAACAAAGAAAGAACTGACCTAAACTATATCCTACAACAAATGAACTTAACAGATATTTACAGAATATTCTACCTGACAACTGCAGAATATACATTCTATTCATCAGCACATGGAGTATTCTCCAAGATAGATAATATGACAGGCCACAAAACAAGTCTCAGTAAATTTGAGAAAATCAAAATTATATCAAGTATTCCTTCAAACCACAGTGGAATAAAATTGGAAATCAACTCCAAAAGGAACCCTCAAAACCATGCAAATACATGGAAATTAAATAATCTGCTCCTGAATGATCACTGGGTCCGCAATAAAATCAAGATAGAAATTAAAGAATTTTTTGAACCGAATGATAATAGTGGCACAACCTATCAAAACCTCTGGGATACAGCAAAAGTGGTGCTAAGAGGAAAGTTTATAGCATTAGATGCCTACATCAAAAAGTCTGAAAGAGCACAAATAGACAATCTAAGGTCAAACCTCATGGAACTGGAGAAACAAGAACAATTCAAACCCAAACCCAGTGGAAGAAAATAAATAAAGAAGATCAGAGCAGAACTAAATGAAATTGAAACAAAAAAATACAAAAGTAATGAAACAAAAAGCTGATTCTTTGAAAAGATAAATAAAATTAATAGATCATTAGCAAGATTAACCAAGAAAAGAGAGAAGATCCAAATAAGCTCAATTAGAAATGAAATGGGAAGTAGTATGACTGATACCACAGAAATACAAAAGATTATTCAAGGCTACTATGAATACCTGTATGCACACAAACCAGAAAACCTAGAGGAGATGGATAAATTCCTGAAAATATACAACCCTTCTAGATTAAACTAGGAAGATATAGAATCTCTGAACAGACCAATAATTTCATGCGCATCCGTGTGAAGAGACCACCAAATAGGCTTTGTGTCAGCAACAAGGCTGTTTATTTCACCTGGGTGCAGGCGGGCTGAGTCTGAAAAAAGAGTCAGCGAAGGGAGATAGGGGTGGGGTTGTTTTATAAGATTTGGGTAGGTAAAGGAAAATTACAGTCAAAGGGGGGTTGTTCTCTGGCAGGCAGGAGTAGTGGGTGGGGTCACAAGGTGCTCAGTGGGGGAGCTTTTGAGCCAGGATGAGCCAGGAGAAGGAATTTCACAAGGTAATGTCATCAGTTAAGGCAGGAACAGGCCATTTTCACTTTTTTGTCATTCTTCAGTTACTTCAGGCCATCTGGATGTATACATGCAGGTCACAGAGGATATGATGGCTTAGCTTGGGCTCAGAGGCCTGACATTCCTGTCTTCTTATATTAATAAGAAAAATAAAATGAAATAGTGGTAAAGTGTTGGGGCAGCGAAAATTTTGGGGGTTGGTATGGAGAGATAATGGGCGATGTTTCTCAGGGCTGCTTGGAGCAGGATTAGGGGCGGCGTGGGAGCCTAGAGTGGGAGAGATTAAGCTGAAGGAAGATTTTGTGGTAAGGGGTGATATTGTGGGGTTGTTAGAAGAAACATTTGTCCTATAGAATTATTGGTGATGGCCTGGATACAGTTTTGTATGAATTGAAAAACTAAATGGAATAAGACAAGGAGAAAAACAGGTTTGAAAGGACTAAGAATTGGGAGGACCTAGGACATCTAATTAGAGAGTGCCTAAGGAGGTTCAGCATAGCCCTGCCAGCAAAGATTATTTATTTATTTTAAGAGGGAGTTAAGAGTGGCGGTTTGGGGATAGCACCAGGCGATAACAGCTGTGATGGCTTGGAGAAACAGTGTAAGCCGGCAGTGTAAACAAGAGCAGGGCATTTAGGAGTAGTTGAGAATGGTGAATAGGAGTATGACTAGACAGAAGATAGCAGGGATGACAAGTTTTTTGGGGCACAGTCCAAGTTGGTCTGGTGTCTGGAATGAGACTGGGGCCTAATAAAAAGGAGCATCTACACAGGAGCTCAAATGGGCTGTACCCTGTAGCATTCCAAGGACAGGCCTGAATTCTGAGAAGGGCAAGTGGTAAAAGTATTGTCCAGTTCTTTTTAAGTTGGTGGCTGAGCTTGATGAGGTGTGTTTTTAAAAGACCATTAGTCAGTTCTACCTTTCCTGAAGATTGAGGACGGTAAGGGATATAAAGATTTCACTGAATACCAAGAACCTGAAAAAACTGCGTGGGTGATTTGACTAATAAAGGCTGGTCCGTTATCAGACTGTATAGAGGTGGGAAGGCTAAACTGAGGAATTATGTCTGACAGAAGGGAAGAAATGACCACAGTGGCCTTCTCAGACCTTGTGGGAAAGGCCTCTACCTATCCAGTGAAAGTGTCTACCTAGATTAAGAGGTATTTTAGTTTTCTGACTCGGGGCATGTGAGTAAAGTCAATTTGTCAGTCCTGGGCAGGGGCAAATCCCTGAGCTTGATGTGTAGGAAAGGGAGGAGGCCTGAACAATCCTTGAGGGGTAGTAGAATAGCAGGTGGAACACTGAGAAGTGATTTCCTTGAGGATAGATTTCCATGATGGAAAGGAAATGAGAGGTTCTAAGAGACAGGCTAGCGGCTTGTAACCTACATGGAAGAGGTTATGAAATGATGACAGAATAAAATGGGCCTGTGAGGCTGGAAGGAGATATTTTCCTTGGTCTAAGAACCATTTGCCTTGTGTGGGAAGAGATTGATAAGTAGAAGGTTCAGCGGAGGAGTAGGTGGGAGTGACTGATGTGAAGGAGAAAAACTGGCCATGAGGGACAGATGTTGGAACACTAGCTGCTTGTCTAGCCACCTTATCAGCATAAGCGTTGCCTAGAGCAATGGGATCTGACGCCTTTTGATGGCCTTTGCAGTGAATGACTCCAGCTACTTTTGGAAGTAAAGCGGCCTTGAGCAGAGTTTTTATTAAAGAGGCATTAAAGACGGAGGACCCTTGTGTAGTGAGGAAACCTCTTTCAGCCTATATAACAGCATGGTGGTGCAGAATATGGAAGGCATATTTAGAGTCAGTATAAATATTGATGCATAGTCCTTTTGCAAGAGTGAGGGCCTGAGTTAAGGCAACTAGTTCGGCTTGCTGAGAGGTAGTGGAGGGGGGCAGAGTGATAGCCTCGATGATAGATGTGGAAGATACTATTCGCATAGCCTGCCTTTGCTGGTGAGTGGCAATTAGGCCTGGTGGAACTGCCATCAATAAACCAAATGTGATCAGGGTGAGGAACAGGGAAGAAGGAAATATGGGGAAATGGGGTGAATGTCAGGTGGATCAGAGAGATGCAGTCATGAGGGTCAGGTGTGGTATCTGGAATAATGTGGGAGGCTGGATTGAAGTCTGAGCCAGGAACAATGGTAATTGTGGGAGACTCAACAAAGAGTGAGTATAGCTGAAGGAGCCAGGGAGCAGAAAGTATATGCATCAGGTGTGAGGAAGAAAATAGATTTAGGAAGTTATGAGAGCTGTAGACAGTGAATTGAGCATAGTTTGTGATTTTGAGGGCCTCTAAAAGTATTAGGGTGGCCACAGCCACTGCACAGAGACATGATGACCAGCCTAAAACAGTAAGGTCAAGTTGTATGGACAAAAAGGCTACAGGACGCGATCCCGGTCCTTGTGTAAGAATTCTGACTACACAGCCCTGCACTTCAGCTGTGTGTAATGAAAAAGGTTGGGATGAGTCAGGGAGAGCTAGGATGGGGGCAGTCTCTAAAGCTGTCTTCAAGGAATGGAAAGAGGAGTGGGGAAAGGATTTAGAATCTATGGGGTCAGCTAGGTTTCCTTTTGTGAGTTTATATAATGGTTTTGTTAGGATGGCAAAAGCAGGTATCTAAAGTCGAAAGTATCTAACCATGCTTAGGAAGGAAAGGAGTTGTTGTTTTGTAGAAGGTATTGGGGTTTGAGAGATCAGTCGGACACGATCAGCAGGGAGAGCACATGTGTTTTTATGAGAATTATGCCGAGATAGGTAACAGATGAGGAAGAAATTTAGTCTTGACTGAAGTAATGGGGGCTGTCTGTGAGGCCTTGCGGCAGTACAGCCCAGGTAATTTGCTGAGCCTGATGGGTGTCTGCATCAGTCCAAGTGAAAGTGAAGAGAGGCTGGGATGAAGGGTGCAAAGGAATAGTAAAGAAAGCATGTTTGAGATCCAGAACAGAATAATGGGTTGTGGAGGGAGGTATTGAGGATAGGAGAATATATGGGTTTGGCACCATGGTGTGGATAGGCAAAACAATTTGGTTGATAAGGTGCAGATCCTGAAATAACCTATAAGCCTCATCTGGTTTTAGGACAGGTAAAATGGGGGAATTGTAGGGAGAGTTTATAGGCTTTAAAAGGCCATGCTGTAGCAGGCGAGTGATAACAGACTTTAATCCTTCTAAAGTGTGCTGTGGGATGGGATATTGGCATTGAGCAGGGTAAGGGTGATTAGGTTTTAATGGGATGGTAAGGGGTGCATGATCGGTCGCTAAGGAGGGAGTAGAGATGTCTTATACTTGTGGGTTAAGGTGGGGAGATACAAGGGGAGGATGTGAGGGAGGCTTTGAACTGGAGGAAAAGGCGGCAATGAGGTGTGGCTGTAGCCCAGGAATAGTCAGGGAAGCAGATAAGTTTGTTAAAGTGTCTCAGCCTAATAAGGGAACTGGGCAGGTGGGGATAACTAAAAAGGAGTGCTTAAAAGAGTATTGTCTAAGTTGGCACCAGAGTTGGGGAGTTTTAAGAGGTTTAGAAGCCTGGCCGTCAATACCCACAATAGTTATGGAGGCAAAGGAAACAGGCCTTTGAAAAGAAGGTAATGTGGAGTGGGTAGGCTCCATATTGATTAAGAAGGGGATGGACTTACCCTCCACTGTAAGAGTTACCGAAAGTGTCTGTGATGGTCCTGTAGGCTTCCAAGGTGATTGAGCAGCATCAGTCTTCAGGTGCTAAGCCAAGAAGATCTGGGAAGGAGTCAGTCAGAGAGCCTTGGGCCAGAGTTCCAGGGGCTCTGGAAGTGGCTGCCGGGAGAGTTGGATGGTCCAGTTTCCAGTGGGGTCCTACACAGATGGGACATGGCTTAGGAGGAATCCCAGGACGTGGGCATTCCTTGGCCTGGTGGCCAGATTTCTGGCACTTGTAGCAAGCTCCTGGGGGAGGCAGGCCTGGAGGAATGCCTGGCCGTGGGGTTTAGGCATTTGGAAGTTCCTGTGTGCTGGAGATGTGTATGGGGTTTCTCTCACAGTGGAGGCAAGGAATTGCAACTCAGAAATATGTTGCTACTTGGCTGCCTGTACTCTATTATTGTACACCTTGAAGGTGAGGTTAACTAAGTCCTGTTGTGGGGTTTGAGGGCTGGAATTTAATTTTTGGAGCTTTATTTAATGTCGGGAGCAGATTGGGTAATAAAATAAAATGCATATTGAGAATGAGATGGCCTTCTGACCTTTCAAGATCTAGGGCTGTAAAGTGTCTTAGGGTTGCTGCTAAACGGGCCATGAACTGAGCTGAGTTTTTCATATTTGATGAAAAAGAGCCTAAACACTAACTGATTTGGGAGAGGTCAGAGAAAGAAAAAGGAGCATTAACATTGACTATGCCTTTAGCTCCAGCCACCTTTTTAAGAGGAAATTGCTGGGCAGGTGGTGGAATGAAACTGTAAGCCGGACTGGGTGTGAGGAGGGGAGGTGATAAAAGGATTATAGGGTGTAGGAGCAGAGGCTGAGGAAGAATTAGGACCTAGCTCAGCCTGGTGAGGAGGGGAGAGGTCAGATGGGTCTGTAGAAAAGGAAGATTAGAAAGACTCAGCGATGCTTGGGGTTGGGACGGAGGGGACAGGTGGGAGGGAAAGAAGGAAGATTTGGGGCGAGTTGCATTGGGAACAGAGACTAGGGAGGGACCGATGTGTAAAAGAATGCCTGGATGTCAGGCACCTCAGACCATTTGCCTATTTTACAACAAGAATTATTCAGATCTTGTAGGATGGAAAAATCAAAAGCACCGTTTTCCGGCTATTTGGAACCACTGTCAAGTTTGTATTGAGGTCAAGCAGCATTGCAGAAGAAAATAAGGTATTTAGGTTTTAGGTCATGTGTGAGTTAAAGATGTTTTAGACTTTTAAGAACACAGGCTAAGGGAGAAGAAGGGGAAATGGAGGGCGGAAGCTTGCCCATAGTGAAGGAGGCAAGCCCAGAGAAAAGAGAGAGTAGAGACATGGAGAGAAGGGGTGGGGGTGCTTGTCCCCCAGGAAAGTGGAGAAGGGATAGAGACACGGAGAGAAGGGGTCAGGGGGTTCTTGCCCTCTAGAAAAGTGGAGAAGGGGTAGAGACATGGAAAGAAGGCGTCGGGGGGTTCTTGCCCTCCAAGAAAAGCGGAGAAGGGGTAGAGACATGGAGAGAAGGGGTTGGGGGGGGTTCTTGCCCCCCAGAAAAGTGGTACTTGCCACTAAGGATGAAGGACCAAGGCAGGCATTCCCAAGTGGTCAGACACCTCTGAAATGTGGGTGAATAATCAGGTAGGCGTCCCCGCAATGATTAAATACCAAGGGAAGACTGTCTTCCCAAGTCCGTGACCAGCACCGGAGTTTTGGGTCCACGGATAAAACTCATATCTTGTCTCTACAAGAAAAGGAAAGGAACTGAAATTAAGAGAAGGGAGAAATTGAAGTTTGGTGCCAAGATTGAAAGGACAAAGAGGTTGAGGGATAGTGAGAGAGGTTGGAGAAGAGAGTAAAAAGAGGCCGCTTACCTTATTTAAAATTGGTGTGATGTTCCTTGGGCTGGTCAGTCTGAGGACCTGAGGTCGTAGGTGGATCTTTCTCATGGAGCAAAGAGCAGAAGGACAGGGGATTGATCTCCCAAGGGAGGTCCCCTGATCTGAGTCACAGCACCAAATTTCACACTCATCTATGTGAGGAGACCACCAAACAGGCTTTGTGTGAGCAACAAGGCTGTTTATTTCACCTGGGTGCAGGCGGGCTGAGTCCGAAAAGAAAGTCAGCGAAGGGAGATGGGTTGGGGCCGTTTTATAAGATTTGGGTAGGTAAAGGAAAATTACAGTCAAAGGGGGGTTGTTCTCTGGCGGGCAGGAGTGGGGGGTGGGTCACAAGGTGCTCAGCAGGCGAGCTTTTGAGCCAGGATGAGCCAGGAGAAGGAATTTCACATGGTAATGTCATCAGTTAAGGCAGGAACAGGCCATTTTCACTTCTTTTGTCATTCTTCAGTTACTTCAGGCCATCTGGATGTACACATGCAGGTCACAGGGGATATGATGGCTTAGCTTGGGCTCAGAGGTCTGACAAATAACAAGCAGTGAGATTGAAATGGTAATTTTAAAATTGCCAACAAAAAAAGTCCAGGATCAGATGGATTCACAGCTGAATTCTGTCAGATATTCAAAGAAGAATTAGTACCAATCCTTTTCGATAGAGAAAAAGGGAATCTGCCCTAAATCATTCTATGAAGCCAGTATCACCCTGATACCAAGACCACAAAAGGACATAACAACAACAACAACAACAACAAAAACTACAGATCAATATCCTTGATGAACATAGATGCTAAAATTCTCAACAAAATACTAGCGGACTGAATCTAACAGCATAGCAAAAAGATAATCCACTGTAATCTATTTGGTTTTATCCCAGGGATGCAGGGATGGTTCAACATATATAAGTCAATAAATATGAATCACCACAGAAACAGAATTTTTTTAATCACATAATCATCTCAATAGATGCAGAAAAAGCATTTGACAAAATCTAGCATCCTTTATGATTAAAACCCTCAGCAAAATTGGCATAGAAGGGACATACTTCTATTGGCATAGAAGGGACATACATACAAAATTGGCATAGAAGGGCTTAAGGTAATAAAAGCCATCTATGACAAACCACAGCCAACATTATACCGAATGGGGCAAAGTCGAAAGCATTTCCCCTGAGAACTGGAACAAGACAAGGATGCCCACTTTCATCACTTCTATTCAACATAGTACTGGAAGTCCTGGCTAGAGCAATCAGACAAGAGAAAGAAATAAAGGGCATCCAAATCAATAAAGATGAAGTCAAACTGTCACTGTTTGCTGATGATATAATTGTATATCTAGAAAACCATAAAGACTCATCCAAAAAGCTCCTAGAACTGGTAAGTAAATTCAGCGAAGTTTCAGGATACAAAATTAATGTGCACAAGTCAGTAGTTCTGCTATACACCAACAGTGATCAAACTGAGAATCAAATCAAGAACTCAACCCCTTTCACAAAAGCTGCAAAAACAATAAAATACGTAGGAATATATCTAACCAAGGAGGTGAAAGACCTCTACAAGGAAAACTACAAAACACTGCTGAAAGAAATCATGGATGACACAAAACAAATGGAAACGCATCCCATACTCATAGATGGGTAGAATCAATATTGTGTAAATGACCATATTGCCAAAAGCAACCTACAAATTCAATGCAATTCCCATCAAAATACCACTGAGGCTGGAGAATAGTGCCTGGAGGCAGGGAACATAAGGCCGATCCAGGCTGACTTCCTAGAATTAAATCAAATGGAAGCACTTCAGCAATGACAGGAATGTGAATGGTTTTGTAACTTCACTCCATCCTCTCCACTTACACCATTTACACTTTGTAACTTCACATTCATCGTCTCCATTTACATAGATCATACACACCAAGTAACATCCTCTCCATTTACATAGGGTGCATTCTGAGTAAATGACTTTGTAACTTCACTTCATTCTCTTCATTTACACAGAGCATGCACAAAGTAACCAGTGGGAAAACTCTAGAGAGTATTGAAACCCCAGAAAATTCTGTAACCAGGTCTCTTGAGCCCCTCTGCTTAGGCCCACTCCCACCCTGTGGAATGTACTTTCATTTTCAATAAATCTCTGCTTTTGCTTTCCTTGCTTTGTTTTTGCATTTTGTCCAATTCTTTGTTCAAGACGCCAAGAATCTGGACACCCTCCATGAGTAATACCATCATCATTCTTCACAGAGGTAGAAAAAAGATCCTAAAATTCATATGGAACCAAAAAAGAGGCCACAGAGTCTTGCTTTTTGCAAGACTAAGCAAAAAGAAAAAAATGTGGAGGCATCACATTACATGACTTCAAGCTAAACTATAAGGCCATAGTCACCAAAACAGCATGGGACTGGTATAAAAATAGACACATAGACCAATGGAACAGAATAAAGAACTCAGAAAGAAAGCCAAATACTTAGAGCCAACTGATCTTCAACAAAGCAAACAAAAACATAAGGTGAGTGTCAAGTGCATCCGTGTGAAGAGACCGCCAAACAGACTCTGTGTGAGCAACAAGGCTGTTTATTCACTTGGGTGCAAGTGGACTGAGTCTGAAAAAAGAGTCAGCAAAGGGAGATAGGAGAGGGGCAGCTTTATAGGGCTTGGGTAGGCAGTGGAAATTTACAGTTAAATGTGGTTATCTATTGTTAGCAGGAGAGGCGGTTACAAGGTGCGTGGTGGAGAGATCACGGGACTCATTGTCCAGGAGAAGAATGTCACAGGGTGGATTGATCAGTT
Source organism: Homo sapiens (assembly GCF_000001405.40). Classification (NCBI taxonomy): domain Eukaryota; kingdom Metazoa; phylum Chordata; class Mammalia; order Primates; family Hominidae; genus Homo; species Homo sapiens. Next base: position 155,283,053 of record NC_000003.12, read on the forward strand.
GGGGCAGGGCAGGAACAAGTCATAATGATAGAATGTCATAAGGTGGGTTAATTAGTTAAGGCAGGAACTGGCTGTTTTACTTCTTTGTGGTTTTTTGGCTGCTCCAGACTTCTTGGTTCCTGCAGGCCACCTGGATGTATATGTGCAGGTCACAAGGGTTATAATGGCTGAGCTTCGGCTCAGAGGCCTGACATTCCTGTCTTTTTATTTATAAAATATAAAGTTATAAGAGAAGATAAAGAAAATGAAAGTTTTTACTGAGGGTTATTGGGGTAGGGGCGATGTTTCTCAGGGCTGCTTCAAGCATGACTTAGGGGTGGCATGGGCACCTAAAGAAACTTTAATTTTATAGCAAGTTGGTCTAGAAAGTTTTTGAGTACAATTTTATGTGGTTAACAAGGCATCAGTCAGCATATTTTTGAGTTTGGAATTGTCCTAATAGAAAAATTTTTTAAAAATAGCAATTAAGCATAATACCTTTAAGGTAGGTGGCAGTGAGTTTTTTAGGCCAAGGAAGGAATAATGTTTTACATACGAAAGCTTTTTGTCCCCATTTCCCATCGTATGATAGGATTCCCTGTTGTTAAGCCAACGATCTATTATATCACGCTTTTTCCATAGGTGTGAGTGGAGGTCTGAATGGAGAAGTTTAATAGTTCTGATTGCAGATCCTATGCAGGAGAGATAATAAGTAAAATAATCTTTGTCTCCTGGATTAAGCTGAGGAAGAATGAAATTTCCATGATCTAAGAACCACTTGCCCTGAGTTGGAAAAGACTGGTAGAGCAGGTTTTCAGAAGAGGAGTAGGTGGAGGTGATAGAGAAGAAAGAAAAATACTGGCCTTTTGGAGTGAGGGCTGGAATATTTGCGGGTGTGGAGGCATTTACTTTCTTTTGCTGTCCTGTCGGCATAGGCATTTCCTTTAGCAATAAGATCAGTTGGTTCCTGATGATCTTTCCAATGAATGACCCCAGCCTTGGCAGGCAGGAGAGCAGCCTTAAGGAGGGCCTTCATTAGAGAGGCATTGATAATGGAAGAGCCTTGTGTGGTGAGAAAACCTCTTTCAGCCCAAATGGCAGCATGGTTATGGAGGATGTGGAAAGCATATCTGCAGTCAGTGTAAATGTTAATGTACATTCCTTTGGCAAGAGAGAGCACACGAGTTAAAGCACTCAGTTCAGCTGGTCGGGAAGTAGTGGAGGGAGGAAGTGCAGTAGCTTCGATAATAGAGGTGTGGGACACAACAGCATCACCAGATTTAGCTGGCAAGAATTGGTTGGGTTTAGAAGAAATGCCCTCAATAAACCAAGTGTGGTCTGGGTTTGGGATTGGAAAAATAGAAATATGAGGAAAGGGGGAAGATGCTATGTGTATTAGGGAGATACAGTCATGTGGCTCAGGACTTGTGCTGGGTGCTAAGTGAGAAGCTGGGTTGAAATGGGGCCCATGGGTAATAGTTACTGTTGGGGTTTCAATAAAGAGTAAATAGAGCTGGAGGAGTCGAGGGGCAGACAGCAAGTGTGAAAGGTGTGAGGAGAATATTAATGCTTGAAGGTTGTGAGAACTGTAGAGGGTAAGTGGAGCATAGCTTGTGATTTTGAGGGCCTCTAGAAGTATTAAAGCGGCAGCTGCCACCGCACGTAGACATCAGGGCCAGCCTAGAACTGTAAGGTCAAGTTGTTTGGATAGAAAGGCTACAGGTCGTGGGCCTGGCTCCTGTGTGAGAACTCCAGCAGCACAGCCTTGTATTTCAGCTGTGTGTAAGGAAAAAGGTTGGGATAAGTCAGGGAGTGCTAGTGTGGGAGCTGTTTCTAGGGCCTTTTTGAGAGAATGAGAGGAAGAATGGGTAAAGGACTTAGGGTCTATGGGATCAGCTAAATCACCTGTAATCGCAGCACTTTGGGAGGCTGAGGCAGGCAAATTGCTTGAGGCAAGATGTTTGAGACCAGCCTGGCCAATATGACGAAACCCCTTCTCTACTAAAAATACAAAAAGTAGCCGGGCGTGGTAGTGCATGCCTGTAATCCCAGCTTCTTAGGAAGCTGAGGCACGAGAATTGCTTAAACCCAGGAGGCAGAGGTTGCAATGAGCCGAGATCATGCCACTGCAGTCCAGCCTGGGCAACAGAGCAAGACTCTCCCTCAAAAAAAAAAAGATTTCTGGGAAAACTGAAGATCTCTGTGTTTCAGAGGAAGTTGTGCACATATTTGAGCAAGAAATGAGCTAGTCTATAGCTTCAGTGAGCTAAAGAAAAGGACCAGTGCATGTGGAGAAAAATACTCCAGACTAAAGAAAGGAAAGTTACTCTGACAAACATAGGACATAGATTGCCACGATATTTTGTCTTCTAACCCTGTCTGTTTAAAAACCAAAGAAATCAAAAAAGCTGACTGGTAATGCCAAGTTGTGTCAGTAGAAAGAAGTAATAGAAACACCCAGTCTTCCGTTAGAGAAAACGTTTCCATTAAAATCAGAACTGTAATATGATCTAACAATCCCACTACTTGATATATATCCAGAGGAAATAAAAGCAGTATGTCAAAAAGACATCTATACTCCCATGTTTATTGCAGCATTATTCACAATAGCCATGATATAAAATCACCCAAAGTGTCTGTCAGCAGGTGAATGGATAAAGAAAATGTGGTATATATACACAATGGTATGTTATTCAGCCTTGAAGAAAATTTTGTAATTTTTGACAACATGGATGAACCTAGAAGACATTACGCTAAGTGAAATAAACCAGGTGCAGAAAGATAAATACCAAATTATCTCACTTATATGGGGATTTTAAATGAAAATTGAACTCATAGAAGCAGAGAATAAAACGGTGGTTGCCAGGGTCTGAGGGAGGAGTGGGTGGGGATTGAAGATGTTGGTCAAAGGATACAAAATTTTAGTTAGACGGGAGAAATAAGTTCAGAAGATCTATTGCACAATGCAGTGATTATAATTAATAACAATGTATCATATACTTAAAAATTTCTAAGAGAGTAGTTTTTGTTGTTGTTGTTGTTGTTTTAGAGATGGGGTCTTGCTATGTTGCCCAGGCCGCAGTGCAGTGGCTATTCACAGGCATGAACATAATGCATTGAAGGCTTAAATTCCTGGCCTCAAGTGGTCTTCTCGCCTCAGCCTCCTAAGTAGCTACGACCTATGGGCATGTGCCATTGACTGGGGCAAGAGAGTAGACTTTGATGTTCTCACCACAAAGGGATGATAAGTATGCAAGGTAACATATATGTTAATTAATTTGATTTAGTCATTCCATAATTTATACATATATTGAAATATGTACACCCTAAATATATACATTTTTTGTCCATTAAAATAAATGAATAAATAACAATTTTTTTTAAAAGGGTAAAAAGAAAAACTGGTCTTTATCTAGAAAGAAAGCTTAAACATGAGGACATGTCTTTAACTCCAGGTAAAACTGGAGCCAAGTTGTGAAGAAGCCTAAAGGCTTCAGAAAGTAGGAAACACTTAAGGAGTTACTTAACCCAAGGTGTCTTTTCTATAGATATCAAGAGGTCCATAAACACCTTGAAATAGTATCTGCAATGTTTTTTGAATGTTTGGTTTCTGGGAGAGTTTATAGCTTTCACAGATTTCTCATTAAAGTCTATAGCACAAAAAGAGCTCAAGTAAATGAAGAGATCATCTTTCTAATTATCTCAAGAAGATTTTTTTTCAAAAGTGGCTGGTCTTGAATCCCTGACAAACCTGTATAAGCATCAGACAAAAGGATTCAAGGCAGTGGTGTGCTGGTAAATGTTTAGGAGCTGGCGATTTAGCAAAACAAATCCTAATATATAGCATTTGTTGATTTTTGTGGTGTACATACTCCACCATGGCCAGTTTCAAGCTACAGATGAGACACTGACTAATACAAAATTCCTGAAGATATTAACAATCAGCTTCGAGAAGCCTGTAGGAGTCAACTGCAGCAAGACCTCTGATTGAAGGTGAGTTAGTTTTTGTCAGGTCTGGAGAAAACTTAAATTAGGGCAAGTCATTAATGAAATGAGTTGAGCCTGATTTTGTGTACATTTTCTGCTTAAATTTTGTAAATATTTCTCTAAATATATTTAAGAAGCATTTTTGAAGTGTTTAGCCAAGTTTAAAAGATCAGAATCAATGAATAGAGCAAAAGCTTTTTCTAATTTTTTCATAAAAGGATTAATTTATGTAGAGAAATTAATCAAATGGAAGATAGCGTGAAAGTTATGAGGAATAAATCAACTCCCTTCTAAACAGCAGTTCTCAAAATACAGATCCCAAGGCAGCAGCAGCAGCGTCACCTGAAAACTTGTTAGAAATTAAATTCGCAGGCTCCCACCCCAGATCTGAATCAGAAACTCTGAGAATGATGTCCAGCTATCTGTGCTTTAACAAGTTCTCCAGAGGATACTGATGTGCACTAAAGTCTGAGCACCACTTCTCTAAAACAATGGTTCTTAAATTTTAGTGTGCCCAAGGATCCCTGGAGGAATTTGTTAAAATGCAGATTTCTGGACCCAGTGCACACCTGCTGAATCAGACTCTCCCAGGGTGAGGTTCAGGAACAGCACTGTGTTTTATTTTGTGTAATTTTGCTCACTTGTATTAATTACACTTTGCAACACAGAGTCACCGGGAGGAAAAAGGAAACTTCTTATAAAAATGTTTAAATATTCACAAAAGTAGAATAAAGAGTATAATAAATCCTTATGAGATCACCATTCATCTTAAGCAAATGTCAACATTTTGCCTGTCTTATTTAATGTTCCCCACTTCATTTTTTAGCTTTTTTTAAAGTTTTTATATAGTTTCAGTTTTATAATTTAGTTTTATAGTTTTAGTTTTTCTATAGGAATATTTTAAGATAATATTTTAAGGTAAAGGTATCCTAATATCTAACCAGCAATTATTTCAGTATTGTCTCTAACAGGTAAGAGTCTTTTCTATTGCCAAGTCATTATTATAGTGTCTTAGTCCATTTCGTGTTGCTAAAAGAAATACCTGAGGCTGGGTGATCTATAAAGAAAAGAGGTTTAATAAGCTCATTCCACAGGCTGTATAAGAAGCATGGTGTTGACATCTTGCTCAGCTTATGGTGAGGCTTTTGTGCTGAGTCAAAACATGGCAGAGGTCAACAGGTAAGCGGCCAAGTGTGAAGAGGGGCCAAGCCCAAGGGGCATTCTCGCTTCATAACAACCCACTTTCTAAGGAGCCATCCTAGTCTCTAGGGAGTGAGAACTCTCTCATTACCAAGAGAAAGGCACCAAGCCTTTAGGAGGGATCCATTCCTGTGACCCAAACATCTGCCACTAGGCCCCGCCTCCCAAAATTGCCACTCTGGGAATTAAATTTCAATATGAGATTTGGTGGAGAAAAACAAACCATATTCAAATCCTAACATGTAATGTTTAGAATAAATAACAATTCCTTAATATCTTTATCACAGACATGCAAAAATGTGTCTTTTGTAGTTGATTCATATATTGCATTTGTTGGCTATCCTTTTAAGTCTCTTTTATTCTGTAATAGTTTCTCCTTTCCCACTTCACTTTTTTTTTTTTTTTTTTTGAGATGGAGTCTCACTCTGTCACTAGACTGGAGTGCAGTGGTGTGATCTCAGCTCACTGCAACCTCCAGCTCCTTGGTTCAAGCAATTCTCCTGCCTCAGCCTCCCGAGTAGCTGGGATTACAGGCATGCACCACCACGCCCAACTGATTTTTGTGTTTTTAGAAGAGATGGGGTTTCACCATGTTGGTCAGGATGGTCTCAATCTCCTGACCTTGTGATCCGCCCACCTCGGCCTCCCAAAGTGCTGGGATTACAGGCGTGAGCCACTGCGCCGGCCCCCACCTCACTTCTTAATGTTAGCTATTTGTTGGAAAAACCAGATCATGTATCCTTTATAATTTTCCACACTTTGGACTTGGCAGAATATATCCTCATGATTTTCTTTAAAGTAGCCTTGTAGATTGATCCAGAAACTTGTTCTGCTTCAGGTTCACTTGTTTTGGCAAGAATACTTCATAGGTGGTACTCTGTACTTTCTACCATATCCTATCAGGAGAAACACAATGTTGAGTTGCAATAGTTTTGGTGATGTTAAATTGATCAGTGGGTGCAGGTATAATCAGACTAATCCATTCAGTATGAAATTGCAAATTACACTGTACATTTTCTGTCCCAGACTAGGGCAGGGATCCCTGCCTCCTTTGAGTGGAGACTGGACTTACAGACTGGACTCCTTCCTCCCAGGCTTTTCCAGTGGACAGAGTTTGAATAGACTTTTTGTTTTAGAAGAAAAAGAATTAGTTTATACTGATATTTGCAATTCAGATTTAATATCACCAATTATTTACTTGAATTTATGCTGATGATATGAATTCAAACCAACCATATCAATATTACCATGAACAAAAAGACTACTGAATGTGGTTAAGATTTTTATCCCATAAGAGGTGTACAGTCAAATATGCTGTTATAAAGATGTATGAAATATGTCTTTTCTCTGTGTGGTTATGCCACAACTTGATATACTCTCATATTTGCTTTAGTTTGTTTTCAATTTTGAGAAATTATTTTTTTCTTTTTAACTTATAAAATAGTTATATGATTCCAAAAATAAGAACTATAAAACAAGGCATATTCAGAGATATCTAGCCTCCATTTGTTTCTCCTCAGTTTCAATATTCTAATTTCAACAAATACATGTACACATTGGTATAGCCCCTTCTTCTCTCATATAAAAGGTAGCATACATTGTCCTATACCTGGCTTCTTCACTTAACACTTTTGTCCTGGAGATCTCTTCATATCAGTATCTAAAAGTCCTTTTCATTCCTTTTTACAACTGCGTAAGTACTACATTATGTAGACATACCACAGTTTATTCAGTTAATCCCCTATTAATAGATATTTGGCTTATTTCCAGGTTTTTGCTAAACAAATTATGCCAGAATAAATAGCCTTGTATATGAGCCATTTTGTATTTTTGCTCATGTACCTGTGGAAATTGCCATATTCCTAGAAGAGGGATAGCTAAGTCAAAAATTAAATATATATGTAATTTTGATAGATATGTACTGCCAAACATCCCGCAAAATGTACCATTTTGAATTCCCAAAGACAATGTATGAGAATGCCTAATTGCACACAGTCTTACCAACTCATATGTTGTCAAACATCTTTATTTTTTTCCCATCTGATAAGTGAGCAACAATTCCTCAGTGTAGTTTTAATTACATTTCTCTTTTTGTGAACAAGAGATTAAGTAAGTGTACTTTTACATTATATGTTCTCTGAATTGTCTGTTTTTATCTCTAGCCCATTTTCTTTCTTTTTTTTTTTTTTTTTTTTTTTTTTTGTAGAGATGGGGTCTCTCTCTGTCGCCTAGGAAGGTCTCCAATTTCTGGGCTCAAAGGATCCTCACAAAGTGCTGGGATTACAGGCATGAGCCACCTTGCACAGCCTCAGCCCACTTTCTCTATAGTTTTTTCCAGAGGGAAGGGGGGATAATTTTTTGTAATGTGATTAAATTTATCAAACTTTTTTTAATGACATGCATTTTTCATCACAGCTAAACATTTTTCTCACTCAGAATATAGAGAAATTCACTCATAATTTCTTATTGTCCTGAAGAAATTCTTATGCATACCAAAGTGCCAGTTTATGATCCAAGTTTGTAAAGTGATGTCAAACATTGCATTGTTTAACATGAGACATTTAATAATCAGTCATGTTCATAGTTTTCTTAATTCTTCTAAATGATGTCAATCTGATATCTTCTTGCCTGAAAGACAAAACATTCCATTAGTAAAATAGAAAAGATTGTTTCTGGAGTAATTTAGACTATAAATAAACATTCAATTATTAAAACCCTTACCTTTCTAAGAGAAGACAACATAAATCATTATGATGCAGCCCACAATCCAGCCAATCAGGAGAAGAATAGGAACCAGAAGGTGTGAAAATGTAGACCCCGCTTTAAAATAAACCGTAGAAAACAGATTATATTGGTCATTTTCATATTAAATTTTCTGTGTCAAGAGAATAAAAGGAATTTGGTAACATTAAGAAAAAAGCATACACTCTCTAGTTATACCCATACATAATTATTTTTTCTTTTCTACAGAGAATACGTGAGACTGTCATAAACCCTGGGTATTTTGAATCAAACCATGGGTCTTTTACTGTTATGTGACCTTTGGCAATTCTGGGCTTGAACTTTCCTACTGGTAAAATATGAATAATGAAACTTGTGCTCTCTACCTCCTGGAATAGTTTTGAACATCAAATGACATAACATATGTGCAAAGCTTTGTAAACTCTAACCACCGTGTGTGTTTAGTGTATACAGAACACATTCATGCATTTGTGCAATAACATATACAGCAGCTATTTATATAAAAAACAATCTAATACAACTCTGAGGCAATTCCCACTAAAGTAAATAATTATAACACAAGGAAAGGTATTGAGAACTGTCCTTGGCCTCAATAGCTGAATGTAATTTTAAATATCACAGGGAAAAGGAAAGTATCATACATTATGTAACCATTCTTGACTACAGAAAAGAATTTCTATTGTTTAAAAATTGTTCAGTATAACAACCAGCACTGAACCTGAATCAATGGGCAGTAATAATCCAACACACACATAAATGGCGTTTGTTATATATGATTCCTTCTGTGCCTCCTATTTGTACTCTTACCTGTAAAAAGCAATTTATACAAGTATCTTTTTTAAAGTATGCACTGCATGTAACTCTTGTTCTTTCAAGCAAACATACACAGGCATACACACAGAAATCCACACCTACATCACACAAAAAGATTTAGAAAGAGCGCAGAAAAACATTCTATGGAATTAATGTCCCTGTGTTAAGGACTCAGATATATTCTTAACTGCAAAGCATAATTAGATCTTATGCCATTAGTTAAAAGAGAGAATGCATATTCTTAGCAATTATACTCCTATTACAATTTCCATCACTTTAAAATGTGAAATTTTTAAAAATGCTATTAAAATAAAATCATCAGGAGATGAGACACATTTAAAATTAGAAGACACTTTTATAAAAGCAAACTTTCTGAAGTTGAAATAAATTTTAATACTTTAAATCAATTTTTCCAAGAATGCTAGAGTCTCTCTTAACTGACAAAATTCAACATGCTTTTCTTGTTTCTCCATCTCACTGTGACCTTGTATAAGGCATTAAGCACTAAATGGAAAACTCTTCTCTTTACTTGACATGTGGTATTGCTTAAGGATAAAGCAAACAACATGAGTTGCCCTTTACTCTCATTTGGACGAAAGCCTTTTTATGAATTAAGGTACCATTACAATGGAAGTACATAGCAGTAATTTTTTTGAACTGTCTAGGTATGTGGCTTTATATTTTTCCCAATTTCAAAGAATTTGAAAATTAATATTAACCCTTTAATTGTGCATTTATATTTTATACATGCATATTTTAATAAAATTTACATATCACAAAGCCCTAAAAGTATCTCATTATTTACTTTCCTTGTAAAATAGTACCAGTAGCACTAACTGTGCATTTTAACACCCAAAGTATACATTCCATTGTTTTTTTAACACTAATGTTTTCAACTTTACTAATACCTGTGGAATTGTTTGGAAGTAGAAATACGTAAGAGCACAACATACTTTGCATATGTCACTTACATTACTAGCACAAATAAGAACAAAACATCTCTTAAACATGAAGTGTAATTCTAAAATGCTTCTCTCTTGTCCAGTTCTGAGCATATCAAAGTAGTTACAGCTGGAAGTGTTCTTGAGGACACTGTGCTCTGGAAAAGACTGTCCAGGTTAAACACCTGGTGCCACCACTCTTTAGCGATCATGAACAAGTTACTAAACTGCTGTGTCTCCATTTTCTTATCTATAAAATGGGGATGATGATGATATGCATATTTCACAAGGTCATTGTCAAGATTCAAAGCAAAAATTCCTGTTTAATATTTAAAAACCATTTCTTAGATACAGTATATATTCAACTTTTTGACAAATTGGAATCAATTATTTTATATAACTATAAAATATAAATACAAAAAAATGTTTAAAAACCAGAAAAAAGTTAGATGTGGAACAAAAATTTTAGGTGTGGAATAGATGCCTGAGCCCAATATTCTCATTTTACTGTCAGAAAACAGACTCAGAGAGGTATAGGGACTTCTGCAAACTCACATAGCCATTTACTAGCAGGTCTGACACAGAACTTAACTGTCTTCAATTCTGGCTCAGAATTGAAATCAGGAGAACTGATTTCTAACTCACCTTTCAAAATAAGTATTAACAAAATTAAGCTCTTTTCCTTTGTTGATCATTTTAAAATTATTCATAACCTATAGACCTGATCCATAGATTACATAATTAATGCATTTTTGCAGCCACACTAACATATATGGTTAATGGTCATTTAGCATAGATATCACATTTTTTAGAGTGACTGGGAAACACCAAGAAACATAAATGAACCAAAGTCAAGAAGCCTTTTTTTTTTTTTTGCCAAGAGAATCCTATGCCTTAAATCTTACCTTTTTCAGCCATTATTCCTGTTGGTGGGTGGCTAGGTCAGGCCACGCTTACCTCTTTCTTTTGTTATCCAGCGTCTCTTTGAACTTTAAATAGAGAGAAATCTGAAGATTGCGGCAGCTGCCCGTCTCCTGGCTGCCAATTGTCTGCAGAGTGATGTAAGTCATGGGAAAGCAGAACTCCTCTGGCTCTTTATTCTATTATTATGGAGGAAACGAGGGGCTACATGACCTAAACAATTAGGTAAGCTGAATTATCCTAATGCAGATATTCGCAGGTTTTTAATTTGCACCATGCCTTTAGGTAACATGAAGAAAATGTTCTATAAAGAAGGTGTACAGAGGAAAAACAACATTCCACCTATACAAGTGCTATCAAGGAGAAGGGTGATATATTAGAAAGAAAGGATTTTGATGTTGGAGAGACTTGGGTTCAAATTCCAGCTCTTTCTGTAATGAAAGCCAAGTTGCTTAACCTGGGAATCAGCTTCTTTAGTTTTAAAATGAGGATAATAATACCTACTCATGGGAGTCGCATAAAGATGAAATGAAAGTCTGTATGAAATGTAGACAGTTCTTTATTACTTTACAGGTGGAAAACATAAAATGAAATGGTGCCCCTTTCTTTGAACTATTCTAAAACAAAAAGTGTTAATATAAATGTACTAGAAACTAAAACAATACAGACGTCGCCTAGAATTTTTAGGAAGCAGTCATAAGCTTGTTGTTTTTATTAGCAATGTATAAAAATAGGACATTTCATTTTTCAAAGTCCAAACTGGTTTATGTAACTGACCTAGACTATTCTCTATATTCTCATTGGAATAACTTTAAATTGGGGATCTGGCTGGAAAAGTTTTGCAGAGTGACCCTGTGAGCATCTTCCCAAAAAAAATTTGACATAAGATTAAGACCTGTAAAGGCAGGTCTGGCCTGATCAAATTTATCTCCACAGAGTTCCAAGAGTGATATTGCCTTGCAAATGACCATGTTCCATCACTGCTCAAAAATCCACCAATAGTTCTTCATCTCCTAGACAATAAAAATCCCAACTCTTTGTTTAGACACCTAAAAACCCTTATTTCTCTACTCTTCCATTTGCAGTGATAACTTCAGTGACACTGAACTCCTTGCTATTATATGAATTCAGAATCCTCCCACTCTCACAGGCAAGAAGAACATTTGACTTTCTACCTCAAATAATGTACCTATAGATTAGAGTGTGCAGCCAAGAATCTGGCACATTTATATCATTTATGTCAAGTTGTCATCTCTCTCCTCAGTCTCTCTCTCAATATATTATTTAATATTGAAAAAATGTCTGGCTATGTCAGGTAAGCAGAAAAACTACGTATTGTTTATGCAACAAAATCCCTTGCTTACCTGGCAAAGTTGGGTATTTTTTTCAATATTAAATAATAATACGTTAAACAAAGGTTAACTGAGGCCAAAAGAGAGAGAAGAAATAAAAATGTTATTGATCTCATTTAAATATAAAAAATGTTAATTCAGTAAGTTCAAATGAACACTAATTATCTTAAGGAAAAAAATGATATTTAAAACAAACAGTGTGGTACCCACAAAGAGCACAAACATACATAATAAAATAAAATAATTTGCCTGAAACATATGAAAAGGTTTCTACATTTTAAATACTCATTTCCATTTCAATTATATTAAGCTTTCTTCTTGACATGAAATTGACTATTATTAACATTATTGCTGTCAATTTGGAGTTTGAGGAGGGATTAGTTTATAATTCATCATTTATTTTCCTTACTTTTCTATGGAAAGAAGAAGAGAAAAAACTAACTTAATCAACATGAATTTCTCAGACTTCAGAAAAGAATTCAACCTAGAATCTCATTTCCTTGGTTATATCATCAGTAAATTTTTTAAAAAATATAAGTTTTATAATATTTAATCAGGAAAGGATGTTTTATTCATTAATAGACTGGTTTCACTTTGAGCTTATAAACCCAAGGGCCTATATTTGACCGTTTTCTAATCTTTCTCTTAGGACATACTAATTAGGAACATTTTCTACTTTTTTACTTTACATACTGTCTTAAACATTTAGCTCTCAAATCCCTTATTCTCAAGGTGACATTAGATTCTTCAGAGATATGTGAGCCGAAAAATTTAAATATTTGGTTTTTCTTTAAAATATTTAAGAATTCTTCACTTTTCAAATATTTTTCACTACTAATGTCTGGAATTATAGTACATAGACCTGACCATGGTGGATGCTCATGGATCTTTGCTTCATGGCTGGCTGACTGGGTAGGTGGATGTAATAAGTGCAGTATAAGGTAGCTTAGTTTGCACTCTAAACAAAGGTTTACTTATGGCAATACCTAAAAGAGTAATAAGAAATAAAATGATCTTAACTATACTCTAGCCTTATAATATATGCATATATAGATAATACAGTGTATTTAATTACCAGTAACATTAGAATAATCTATAAATAAGAATATAAACAAATAAAAGAAAGTGACATCTGCAAAAATAGAGGAGTGGGGGACTCCAAAATATCTTTCCTTCATAAGAGCACCAAGAAAGCCATCTAAAATTTTTGAATCAATTTTTAAGAATTGTAGAAATTAACCAAGGACTTACAGCAACTGGGGGAGCTGGAATCTAGGTAAGAACAGCAAGAGTTTTGTGATGTTTTAATTTGGCCTATTCTCATCTCCCCCATCTCCAGCTTTGTAGCAGCCTTAAACAATATCCCAAAATCTCAGTGAAAACTAGCAGACTAGCAGCCACCAGAGGAGACAGAGCAGAACAGAACTCTTTCAAAGTCTCAGTTTCAGAGAACAGTAATTATTTAAACTGTCTGGTGGTTCTCCCAAAGACCTCACCTGCAAGGCTGTCTTTATTTGATAAGACTCAGAACTTCCACTGTGTGAAAAGTACCCACTCCCAGGGCATTTGTTGAAAACAATTAGAGGCAATTGTTTAACATCACAGCTGCCTAGGTAACAGAGTGAACAATAGGCTAACTAAAAAGCTTAAAAGGAGAATCTAGGGAATGAGATGTCAATAGGGGTTTGAAAAGTTTCACATATCCTTAAGAATCTAGAAGGCTACATGCATATGTTCAGCTATGGGCATGACCTCATGGCTGTGGGTATGCTTAGGAAAGACCTGAAAAGGCCCTAAGCTTTCACCTCTGGCTAACCTTGAGGCTCAAAATGGAAAGCAAATGGTAAGGCAGTTGTCAACTGCCTGGCTGAGTGTTAAAGGCATACCTCAACACATACACAGAGCCCATCATTAAAGTCTGGAAGGCATACTAGTTATAGGCATTTAAAGAAATCATTGTCCAATCATTAGTTGATAACTAATCTAATTGAGCAAAAATTTTAGTGGTCACATACAACAAAGAATGCAAATTGTACACAATCAGTTCAGAATAATAACAACAACAAACAGCAATGACAACAAACTCTTGGGAGGAGGTAGAATCTGATTTAAGAGTTGACATTATTTAAAACTACTAACTTTCAACAAAAAAAAGTTATGAGATATGCAAAGGAACAAAAATGTATGCCCATACAAAGGGATAAAAAAACTATCAAAAATAACTATTTCTGAGAAGGTCTATAAATTAGACTGACTAACAAAGACTTTATGTCAGCTATTTTAAGTATTTTCAAATAACTAAAAAAAGCAAAAGAATGCCATCTCAGCAAAGACAATATCAGTAGCCAGATAAATACTATTTTTAAAAGAGCAAACAAATTCTGAAGTTGAAAGGTGCAATGACTGAAATGAAAATTTTACTAGAGGCTCAACAGCAGATTGAGCAGGCAGATGAAAGAATCAGTTAATTTGAAGGCAGTTTGATTGAGATTATCCTGTACAAGAAACAAGAAGAAAAAATAATAATGAATATGGCCTTAGAGATCTGTGGGACACCATCAAGCATATCAACATATGCATAATTAGAGTCCTAAAAGAAGAAGAGAAAGGGCAGAAAAAATATTTGAATAAATCATGGCCAAAAGCTTCCCAAATTTGTGAAAAATGTTAACGTACATATTCAAGAAGCTCAATTAATTCTAGGTAGAATAAACCCAAAGAGACCAATACCTAGACACAAAATAACGGTCAAGAACCAAAGACAGGTTGGGTGCAGTGGCTCATGCCTATAATCCTAGCACTTTGGAAGGTGGAGGCAGGTAGATCACTTGATGTCAGGAGTTGAGACCAGCCTTGTCAACACGATGAAATCCCATCTCTACTAAAAATACAAAAATGAGCCAGGTGTGGTGGTACACACCTGTAATCCCAGCTACTCAGGAAGCTGAGGCACAAAAATCACTTGAACCTGGGAGGTGGTCATTGCAGTGAGCCAAGATCACACCACTGCACTCCAGCCTGGGCAACAGAGTGAGACTCTATCAAAAAAAAAGAAAGAAAGAAAGAAAGAAAGAAAGAAAGAAAGAAAGAAAGAAAGAAAGAAAGAAAGAAAAGAAACAAACACAAAGAGAAAATCTTGAAAGCATCAAAAGAGAAATAACTAACTCACTATATGCAAGGGATACTCAATAAGATTAACAGCTGATTTCTCAATAAAAGACATGAAGCTCAGAAGGCAGTGTTATGACATTCAAAGAAAAAATATTGTTAGCCAAAAATTCTATAACAAGCAAGACAATCTTCAAAAAGTAAATAAAAAAATTATGACATTCTCAGTTAAGCAAAAACTGAGATAATTTGTTGCTAGCAAAGCTACCCTGCAATAAATACTAAAAGGAGTCCCTTCAGAATTAAATAAGAGGACACTAGACAGTAACTAAAATCCACATGAAAAAATAAAGAATATCTCTACAGGTAACTACATAGAAAAATATGATAAATGTATTTTTTGTTTGTAACTCTTTTTTCCTCCTAATTTAAAAGACAACTGCAATAATTATAAATCTGTATTGGTGACACTCAATATATAATAATGTAATTTAAATTAAAATGACAACACAAAAAAGGGAATGGAGCTCTATAAAAGCAAAGATGTTGTGAACTACTAAAACTAAGTTGGTATTAATCAAAACCAGATGGTTATAAATTAAAATAATCACTGTAATCCCTAGGGCAACCACCAAGAAAATAACTCCAAAAAAAAGACAGCAGAAGAAATTACAAAATAATTAAAATGATATACTAGAAAATATCAATTAACACAAAACAAGACAGTAATGAAGAAATAAAGAAACAAAAAGATGGCATACATAAAACAAATAGTAATTGTAAATCCTACTTTACAAATAGTTACATTTAAATGGATTAACCACTCCAAATACAAGATAAGAATGGCAGAATGGATTTTTAAAAGTAATTCAACTATAAGCTATCTGTAAGAGACAGTTTAGATTCAAAGACACAAATAGGTTGAGAGCAAAAAGATGTAAAAATACATGTCATGCAAATTATAATCAAAAGAGACATGGAGTAACTGTATTAATATTAGATGGAATTGATTTTTTTTTCTTTGAGATGGAGTCTCACTCTGTTGCCCAGGCTGGAGTGCAGTGGCACGATCTCGGCTCACTGCAAGCTCTGCCTCCCTGGTTCACACCAATCTCCTGCCTCAGCCTCCTGAGTAGCTGGGACTACAGGCACCTGCCACCATGCCTGGTTAATTTTTTTTTTTTTGTATTTTTAGTAGAGATGGGGTTTTACTGTGTTAGCCAGGATGGTCTTGATCTCCTGACCTCATGATCCACCCACCTCAGCCTTCCAAAGTGCTGGGATTACAGGCATGAGCCATCACACCCAGCCTAGATGGAATAGATTTTAAGAAAAAAATGTACTGGCAACAAAGAAATATATTTTCTAATGATAAAATAATCAATTATAAACATATACGTACCTAAAAACAGAGCCCCAAAATACATGAAGACTGACAAAATTGAAGCAAATAGGCAATTCAACAATAATGGTTGAATGAATATACTGCTTATAATAATGGACAGAAAAACTAGACAGACTATCAGCAATAGGGAACTTGAACAACACTATAAGCCAACTGGACCTAATATGCATTTATTGAATACAATAATAAACAGTAACACAATACACATTATTTAGAAGAAAATTTGGCAAATTCACAATTATATGAAATTAAACAACATTCTCATCAAAAAGGGGAACAAGGGATGAGCCAGAACAAGGTTTGTGTTTATGATGGATCTAACTAGTGTAGTTTTGACAGGTTGGATGAAACTTTTCCATATTATCAACTTTTGTTGACTAAGTTGTGTGAAGGAATTTGTGTTCAAAGTCCCATAGGATTCAGCAAATTGCAGTAGAATGTATTGAGAAATGTAGTAGTCCATTCTCATATTGCTATAAAAAGCTACCTGAGACTGGGTAATTTATGAAGAAAAGAGGTTTATTCAACTCACAGTTCTGCAGGCTGTATTGGAATCATAGCTGAGTAGGCCTCAGGAAACTTACAATCATGATGGAAGGTGAAGGGGAAGCAGACACATCTTCACATGTTGGAGCAAGAAAGAGGGAGCAAAGGGAGAAGTGCTATACACTTTTAAATAACTCACAAGAACAGCAACGGGGAAGTCTAGTCCCATGATCCAGTCACCTCTCACCAAGCCCCTCCTCCAACACTGAGGATTACAATTCAACGTGAGATTTGGATAGGGACACAGAGCCAAGTCATACCAAGCAAGGTTTATTTGGTCTGAGATGTCCAAATATAAAATGTATTGGGATTAATGAATAAGAGACAACAAAATATCACAGACTATGGCCAGACACAGTGTCTCATACCTGTAATCCCAGAATTTTGGGAGCCTGAGGTGGGTGGATCACTTAAGCTGAGGAGTTTGAGACCAGCCTGGGCAACATGGCAAAACCCCATCTCTGCAAAAAATTTAAAAATTAACTGGGCTTGGTGGTGTGCACACCTATAGTCCCAGCCACGGGGAGGCTAAGGTGGCGGGATCACCTGTGATCAGGGGGTCGACCAGCCTGGGCAACAGAGTGAAACCCTGTCTCAAAAAAAAGAAAAAAAAAAGGAAGTCACAGACTACCTGATCTTCCTCCCTGGAGACTCCTCTTTGCATTTCAGAGCAAAAAAGTGTGGCTCAAAACAAAAGGCAGCACTATATTGTGGCAGGAACAGGGACTTAGGATCAAGTTTGAATGTCAGGTCTGATAATAGCTGTATGAACTTAAGTGGTCACACAAGCTGAGTCTATTTCTTCATTTGGAAAATGATAAGCATAGCATACAGAATTAGAGATAAACATATACAAAATTCTCAGCACCAGCCTAACACGAAGTAGGTTCCCAATGCATGGTAGTTGTTATCATTAAGCCATGATAAACAGGGATAAAGAGGAAGGAGAAGCAACATCTACAAAGAACCAGATATCCCCCTCTGCATGCTTCCAAGATCATTTTGAGGGTCATCTAAGAGGGACCATATCTACTGATCATCAGGCCAGGACATAAGGGGGGATGTGGGAGTCCATTTTTCAACTCCCTGCTCATTCCTGAATCTGTTATTGAGCAATTAATGCTGTGTTCAGTTATATAGATTGAAAATTGGAGAGGGTGGTGGAAGGAGGGAGAGCATTAGGAAAAATAGCTAATGGATGCTGGGCTTAATACCTAGGTGACGGGATGGTTTGTGCACAAATCAACATGTAACAAACCTGCACATCCTGCACATGTACCCCTGAACTTAAAATAAAAATAAAAGTTGAAGAAAAAAAAACAAAATGATGTTGCTAAAAATTTAAATTTGCATGATCTAATACCTGTATGTGAATTTGCAAAAATGTGAGCCAGAAAAAAACTTACGATAATCATGATATCATATTATTAAGTATTATATATTGTACTACATAAAATTATGACACCAAAAATATTATTTTTACAATTTGTAAGTTTATGTTACTAATTTATCTTGTCTATACCTATTACATTTTGAAATTCACTGAATATTTTTAAAGGAAAAAGCTTTATATTTTAGTATATTTAATGTACTTTTTGTTTTTTTTTAACAAAGAGCCCCATATTTTTCTTTTGCACTGAGCCCTGCAAATTTTGTACCAAATCCTGATTCCTTCCATAAGGGAAGGAGAGAGCAGGGTGGTAAGAAGTCTGGGCCATCCACATCCCTTTCTCCCTCAATTCCTTTAACCATAGCATCTCTCTGTCAAATGTAACCCCTGAATGTGCCATGCCATGTATCATATATAACTCTTGAATGCATTATGCCATCATGTATGATATATAACCCCTGAACACACCATGCCATGTATGATATATAACCTCTGAACACACTAAGTCATGTATGATATGGCATCATATTTTGGGGTCATGGTGCTAAAAAGTTTAGAAACCTCCCATCTAGTCCAATCACACACATAGGAGGGAACAAACTAATGCATAGGAAGGTGAGGTGATTTTTCTAACGTCAGAATTTGTCTGAAAACAACCTCCCACCACCATGCTGCTTTCTTGGTATCCATGACTTCAACCTGGTGATATGATATGTTCAGGAGTTGAATCTAACACATAGCATGGTGTGTTTGGGGTTATATATGATACACGACATGAGGTGTTCAGGGATTATATACGAAATCCCTTTTTCTGGAACCCAGTTTGAAGATCCCTATTATTACCCTACTTTAAGCATAAAAGTTGAAAAAGTTTGGCGAGGGTATGCCCAAAAGTGAGCATTAATTTATCTATTTCTTATTCTAAAAGATATTACCTAATCTTAAAGCCATTTGCAAAGCAGGTAATAAAATATGCTTTCAACCTAAATTTTTCTATTTCCCTAATATTTTAATGTTGATAAAGACAGACATAAAAATAGAGTGTTGTCTCAGTGTCATTCTTACCATAGTGCTCATGTTCTTCGAGTCTGGTATCAGCAATCTCCTCTAAAGCAGAAACAAAAAGTGTTACTACTTCAGATAGATGTTTATTGACTGAGTTGGATGATTTCATCCTCCAGAGAATCTTTGTGCTTCAGAGAAGTCTTGGCTGTGAAAAAGAATTATTTGCAAAGACCTGATAGATTCCAACATTCTTAAAAATACAAACTAACTCATTGCTGAGTCATAACAAAGGGTTGAGTACAAGGTCTGTGGAGTCACAGAGACTGAGGTTCAAATCGCTGCTCCACTAGCTAATATTTGTGGGAACAGGTTACTGTCACAAAAAATTTCTCCAAACTTGGAAGTAAGGGAAAAAAGGTGGGAACAGAGCTTTTCAATATCATATGGGGACAAAGGTCCCCCAGGATTGTCTAGACCTGTAATTAGTTCATCTCATTTTCACTATTGATTAAAGGTCTCGTACTTAAGGAATTTACTGATTAATTTGCAGGGTTTTGTCCAGTAGAGATGCAAATAATTTCCAACCAATGGAACAGACAATGTAAAATATTAATGGCCTGTTAAACATTAACCAGTTTTACATCTAGCTCAGCAATTTTATCTTAACATTTCTTTGTCAAGCTGCCAATAACTGCCATCACTTCTTAAATGCTCTTTGAACTGATTATGACATCTTACTTGTTCCCTCATTAATTAATTAGTTCAATAAAATATTTGACATATGTCCCTTTTATATTTACCTGAGAGTTATTATTTTATCCTTTTGAAAATTATACCCTAACACGACTTAACTCTCTTTACCTCTGTTTCTCTATCTGTAAAATGGAAAAGACCTACTTTTTAAGGTTTCTGTGAGAATTAAGAGACAAGATATGTAAGACACTTAGCACAGAACCTGTTCCAAGTAAATGCACATGAGGCCTTAAGCTTTCAATGTAAATCTAAAGAGAGTATTTAAGGCATCTGAAATCGGGATTGGAGTCCAGTTTATCACTGTTCACCTTCAGCTTCTTTCCTAAACACTCACATACACTAGATTTTACAAACTTGCCTGAAACAACTTCTCCTTTTTTACAATGACATTCTTTAAAATCTTATTTGCTGATTCTTTGCTAATTATATACCTCACACCTCATGGAAATAATGTCCAATGAGAACTACATGTAAGTGGCAGAGCTAGGTGACCTTTGTCACTGGAAGCTTTCCAGTATTTCTCAGGCAGGCATATGGTTTAAAAAGCCCACAATACTGTCAATCAAGTAAATGTAAACCAAAAGATAGAGAAGGTTTTTCTCAGAAACTATGCATCAGCATTTCCATATTCAAATGGTAAAATTATTCAAGATGTTTAAAAGGGTGACATCAAAGATGACATTTTCAACAAAAGATATGCTAAAGAAATAAATCCAGTTGTAAACACATTCTGTCAACTGTTTTCTTTAATGTGTGCCCCTCCCTGAGAGCTCTCAAAACTAGAAAGTCCTCATATATTTGAATTTCTAGTGTTTCCCTTTTGCCACCAAAATACATATACTCCTTCTCACCCCCATTCCCCAAATAAAAGCAGCCTCAAATTTACCTATCAGAGTCCAGGTATACCTTAAAGACTGAGGAAGCCTAGCTAATTCTCTCCACATGCTGACAAAGTTTCTACTGCTTGAAGCTCAGGTGAGTCCCCAGGAACCCCAGTTTTTTGAAACTGTACACGGAATAGCAGAATGACACTTCTCCCAACACCCATTCTGTGCGGTCTTTGAAAAATATAAATCCAGGGTCAAGTAACTAAAAAAACACAGAAGACAAATAGCTAAGTAATAGCACTTTATAAACTACTCAGAACTCCTGAATAAACTGTTGTAAAATCCTAAAGTTGTTAGCTATAAAGCAGCAACTTAACAACAAAAAAAAAGTCAAAGGAACAAAAAAAGTTAACAAACAACTTAACAGAACAAACAACAACTTAACAAAAAAAAAGTCAAATCACCATGCTTGAAGAACAGAACTGCCCTTGGCCTGCACAACATGTTCTTTGTTACAAGGACTACTTTGTTCTTCCAGCTCTTTGGATGCGTGTGTAGTTCCTGGACCTGTGCTTGCCTCATAGCCAACATGGCCCCTGCTAGTAGGAAAGCAGTGGCCCAGCACAGTGCTCTCAGGGACTGGGGTTCCAGAGTTCCTCCTTAGCCTCACGAGTCAGAACATCAGGAGACACCATAGAACCTGGAAGAGTCATTCCAGGGGCAACTCTGTCTACACCCAACCCTTCTCATCTGCATCCTGGTTCCTGAAACTGTTATAATAAGAGACAAAATCTCTCATTCTGTAGATAATGTTATAACTTACAGATCTTCAGTTTTGTCTTTATTGTATACTAAATTTCTCTACATATTAGAGTCTATTTTCCAACATTTTATTATGAAATTTTCAAGCATACAGCAATGTTGAGATAATTTTATATAATTACATAATTTTTCATATATGCAACCCTCTAGCCATCTTATTTTCTGATTCTTTTATTTGTTTCTAAATGAATTACAGATAGCAGCATACTTCTCTCCAAATACTTTAGTATACATATCATTAGATTAGACTCCAATAATTTTTTTCGATTTTTTTCTTTCAAGAGAAACTATATACAATGAAATGTACAAATCTTAACTGTACATTCACTGAATTTCACAAAGTGAAATTACATCTTTATAACCCAAACTCCTATCAAGATATAAAACTGCTGGAAACCATCATTCTCAGCAAACTAACACAGGAGCAGAAAATCATACACCACATGTTCTCACTCATAAGTGGGAGGTGAACAATGAGAACACATGGACACAGGGAGGGGAACATCACACACCGGGGCCTGTAGTGGGGGTGAGGGGCAAGAGGAGGAATAGCATTAGGAGAAATACCTAATGTAGATGACCGGTTGATGGGTGCAGCAAACCACCATGGCATATGTATACCTACATAACAAACCTGCACGTTCTGAACATGTATCCCAGAACCTAAAGTATAATAAAAAATGAAAAAATAAAAGATATGAAAATACCCTAAGAAAAAAGGTATAAAACTGAATCTATTTCTTTGGGTTGCCAGCTTTTAACCAATGACCTGTCTTTTCATGCCCTAGTAACACTGTGTTTTAAATATTTCAGCTTTAAAATATGTTTCATAATCTGGGGCCAGGAGCAATGGCTCAGCCCTGTAATCCCAACACTTTGGGAACCCTAGGGGGGCGGATCACTTGACGTCAGGAGGTCAAGACCAGCCTGGGCAACATGGCAAAACCCCATCTCTACTAAAAGTACAAAAATTAGCCAAGACATGGGGCGAAACCCCATCTCTACTAAAAATACAAAAATTAGCCAAGGCTGAGGCTGAGGCAGGAGAATCACTTGAACCTTGGAGGCGGAGGTTGCACTGAGCTGAGATCTTGCTGCTGCGCTCCAGCCTGGGCGACAGAGACAAAAATGAATAAATACAATAATAAAATCTGTATGCCTTGTTCCTTTTATTATTCTTATTTTCATAATGATTTTGGCTATTCTGGCATGTTTAACTTTCCTTTTCAATTTTCAAATCAAGTTATTTAATCCCCATCCCCACCCCTCACAGAAAAGAAGGTGAAGGAGGAGGAAGTGGAGAAGGAAGAAGACTCCTGTTATTAATTCTAACTAACTTGCATGAAGTGTAGAGATTAATTTAGGAATGAGTAAAATGTTGTGATATTCAGTCTACCTTTCCAAGAACCGGAAATGCCTTGCCATTTAGTCAAGCCTTCTTTGACGTCCCTCAATCATGTGTCAGAACTTCCTTCATAAAACTCTTGCACATTTCTTATCAAGTTTATTCTCTTTTAAAATTATTTTTGGTGGTTATTATGTTTTTCGCATCATACTTTTTAAAATGTTTTAAATTATATTTTAAATTTTTGTGGGTACATGGTAGGTATATATGCCATCATACTTTTTTATATGGATTCTGTATACAGATAACAAATTTGATTATGGTCATTAGGAATTTTTCAGTTGGTTCTCTTGGGTTTTGATATATACAATCCTTATCTACAAACAATAATTTTATCGCCTCCTTTCCAATTTCCATATCTCTTTTTTTCCTTTTTTATCATAGCATCAGCTTGTACTGATAGACGAATGCTTTCATTAGGGAGGCATTAGTGCTTTTAACAACTTTTATCTATCTCCTTATAGTCAATGATCTCTAAATATACTAAATGACCTTCCTCTTCTGAGATGGTTTTATCAATTTACCTTTTTCTAATATTATTCCACTTCAGTTTAGTTGAACAGAGTCAATTATTCCCATTTCCTCTATATTTGTGGTAATTTTTCTATTCTTGTTTCTTATTTTGTGTAATTGTGCTTTGCTTGTTTTAACTAGTTTTTCTTTCCTCTGTTTTTATTTTTATTTTTATTTCAATAGGTTTTTGGGGAGCAGGTGGTGTTTGGTTACATGGATAAGCTCTTTAGTGGTGATTCCCGAGTTCTTCATACACTGTACCCAATGTGTAGTCTTTTATCCCTTGCCACCCCCACTTTTTCCCCCAAGTCCCCAAAGTCCAATGTATCATTCTTATACTCTTGAGTCCTCATAGCTTAGCTTCTACATAGGAGTGAGAACGCACAATGCTTGGTTTTCCATTCCTGAGTTACTTCACTTAGAATAATAGTCTCTAATTCCATCCAGGTTGCTGCAAATGCCATTATTTCATTCCTTTTTATGGCTGAGTAGTATTTCATGGTGTATATATTTTATATATATATACACACACACACACATACACGTATATATGTATATATATACGTACGTATATACATATATACACATATAGGTATATGTGTATATATACATATATATACATATATACATATATACGTATGTATATATAATACATGTGTATATATATACACGTATATGTGTGTATATATGTATATATACATATACGTATATATACGTATATACACATATGTGTGTATATATACTATATATGTATATATATACACATATATATACTTTTCTTTATCCACTCATTCATTGATGGGCATTTGGGCTGGTTCCATATTTTTGCAATTACAAATTGTGCTGTTATAAACGTGTGTGCAAGTATCTTTTTCACTTAATGACTTTTTCCTCTGGGTAGAGTAGTGGGATTGCTGGATC
This sequence comes from Homo sapiens, assembly GCF_000001405.40. Lineage (NCBI taxonomy): Eukaryota > Metazoa > Chordata > Mammalia > Primates > Hominidae > Homo > Homo sapiens. The sequence continues at coordinate 155,307,683 of NC_000003.12, forward strand.
AAATGGTAGATCTTTAAGGAATATCCTCACTCTTTTCCACAGTGGTTGTACTAGTTTACATTCCCACCAGCTGTGTAAAAGTGTCCTGTTTTCACCACATCCATGCCAACACCTATTTTTTTTTTTATTTTTTGATTATGGCCATTCTTACAGGAGTGAGGTGGTATCGCATTGTGGTTTTGATTTGCATTTCCCTGATTATTAGTGATGTTGAGCATTTTTCCATATGCTTGTTGGCCATTTGTATATCTTCTTTTCAGAACTGTCTATTCAAGTCTTTAGCCAACTTTTTGGTGGGATTTTTTGTTGTTGTTTGTTTTGTTTTGTTTTTACTTGATGATTTGTTTGAGTTCCTTGTAGATTCTGGATATTAGTCCTTTGTCAGCTGTATAAATTGTGAAGGTTTTCTCCTACTTTGGGGGTTGTCTGCTTTAACTAATTTTTGAAAACTAGCTCTTGAATGTATTTCTTAGTTTCTTGGTTTTTCTGTTTACATTCCATTAATGTTTGCTTTTATTTTTATTTGTTCTTTAATTTTTCTTAGGCTTAATTTCTTGTTCTTTGTCTAGTTTTTAAAATGTGATGCTTAATTTATTTGTTCTCATCTGTTCTTGTTTATCTGTGAAAACATTTAGGGTTATATATTTTTTCTCAGAACACAGCATTAGCTGTATCTCTTGAGTTCTAACATGTAATAATTTAATTAATGGTATTTTCTAGATATTCTGACCTTTAAAGTTTGATTTTCTCTTTAATCAAGAAATTGTTTAAGAGAATTTTTAAATTTCCAAGTGGTGCTGGGCACAGTGGCTCACATCTGTAATCCCAGCATTTTGGGAGGCCGAGGTGGGCAGATCACCTGAGGCCAGGAGTTTGAGACCAGCCTGGCCAACCTGGCGAAACCCCATCTCTACCAGAAATACAAAAAATTAGCCAGGCGTGGTGGCAGGAGCCTATAATCCCAGCTACTTGGGAGGTTGAGGCAGGAGAATCACTTGAACCTGGGAGGCAGAGGTTGCAGTGAGCCAAGATCGAGCCATTGCACTCCAGCCTGGGCAACAAGAGCAAAACTCCATCTCAAAAAAACAAATAAATAAAATAAATTTCCAGGCGGTATTTTGCTTTTTAAGATGATTCCACCAGCACAGTGGCTCATACCTGTAATACCAGCTAATGGGGGCGTATCGCTTGAGCCCAGGAGTTTGGGACCAACGTGGGCAACATAGTAAAACTCCGTCTTTAAAAAACGTTGTTTTTAATTAGCTGGGCATGGTGGCACATGCCTGTGGTCCAAGCTACACAGGAAACTGAGGCGGGAGGATTGTTTGAGCCAAGGAAGTTGAGGCTGCAGTGAGTCGTGATTGCGTCACTGACCTCCAGCCTGGGTGAAAAAGCAAGACTGTCTCAAAAATAAAATAAAATAAATCACAGAGTAAAATGTTTTATAGAAGAAAGATTTTAATGTAAAATATTATGTATTTATGAATCTGTTCAGGGACTTTTGTTTCCTCTATGTTGGAGCTTTTCTTTTTGGCACGATCATGGCTCGTTGTGTTGGAGTTTTATTTATAAAGTATGCCTATATAATGTGTGCACATGTATATATGCATATGTTTTAAATACATTTTTAACTAATATGCATTAACTACTATGCCCTAACATTGTATTTGTTACACAAATACATTGACTAGTTTATTCCTTAATTATTGTCCATTATAATAGAAGACCAAATCTCAGAGAGATTTGTAACGATGTTACAAAAAGCAGAAAATGTATCATACAGTGTTTTATTATCAATGGATTTGTCCAGATTTTTAATGAATATGTTGCCCACTCGACTTTTGCGAAGTGATGGTTCACACTGAGACCACATGATGCGTACTGGCTTCCCGTTTATAAAATCAAAATTCATGGTGTCCAAAGCAAAGCGCACTCCACATCCGCTGGCTGCTGGAAGTTCACATACTCGTAGCCCAAGCAGCGGCAGGTAATCAGGTCCCTACAGACCCGGATGGAGAGGATAGGCCCGGCCACGCTGAGCTTAGAGCATCGCCTCGGTCACGTCGGGGTGGAGGTCCCCCACGTAGAGCGAGGCCATGGGGTAGCTGGGGGCGCTGGGGTTCATCTCGGCACGGCTGCCCGCAGGGCCACAGGCCGCCACCTTTCCGTGACAGGAGGAGAGCGAGTGCCGGGGCCGGGGCCGGAGCCGATGGGAGGGAGTCGGGGCAAGCGCAGAGAGACAAAAATAATCCAGAATGGAAAACTCAGTGGCCGCAGGACTGGGTAGATCTGCTGCCGCTGGCTGCCAGCTGCAGGCTGGGAGTGAAGGTGGTGGTGTCGGGTCCAGGCAGCGGGAAGGCCTTGATCTCTTGGTTCCTTCTTGGAGCTGCTAATGGGCTGCAGCGGGCGGGTCGGTCTCGGCTGCTTCACCGGGTTATTTTATAAAAGAGGAAGAAAAAAAAAAAGTCTCCTGAGGGGGAGAGGCGAATTTTTTGTAAAATCAGGGAGGGGGGTGTTGTTAAACGATTTTTTTAGATTTTTATTTTTTATTTTTTAATAATAAATGTGTGTTCCAAGCGCACACTCCGCACTCTCAGCACTAACCGTGGGGTAGAAGGGCCCACAGGTGAATTTTAAAGGAGGATCCTCCATCAGATATGCACTGCTGGCTCAAATCAGCATGTCCCCTCAACCAGTCTCCTCTGGAATGCACTTGGATTTAATCCACTCCAACCATAGTGTTTCTACTTTGAACTTATAGTCACACCAGTGTCTCATTCCTTTGACGGGATTATTGTATTATCTGTGTATGCATATGCCTCTATACCACTGGATTAAAGCTCCTAAAAAAGCAAGGATACTGCCTTCTTTATGTTTGTATTACCAAGCATCCAACTCTGTAATGTTTCTTCCCAACAAGCAGGGGCTACCCAGGCCAGTGATCACGTGGGGCACAGAGTGAGTGCAAAGTACCTTAAACCTCTGGGGTGGCTGGCATGAAAGATCAGATGTCAGGTGCAGAGACCTGAGGATGCTAACACTGAAGCCAGATAAATAGTCCAAACACCATACTGTCGAGTCCACAGGTTGAGATGGGAAAGCGGGAACAAGTGGAGCAGGAGAGAAGGTAGGCACAGGGAAAGTGGGTTAAGACCCAGAAATGCCAAAGTAAAATCAGACATTTGTACATCATCAGACAAGCATATTTCATACAATTCCCATAATAAAGCCTTTTAAATGCCACCAGTTCCTTTGTGGCTCTCTTGCCATCTTTGTCTGTACAGAAGTATTTATTCAATTATTTCAAGGATTTTTCCTATTTCATAAAAAATAAGTGGGAAATGGAAAACTGCAGTGCACCTTATTGTAGTAAAAAGAGCACAGATCTGGCCCGGTGCTGTGGCTCACGCCTGTAATCCCAGCACTTTGGGAGGCAGAAGCGGGCGAATCACGAGGTCTGGAGATCGAGACTACGGTGAAACCTCGTCACTACTAAAAACACAAAAAATTAGCCGGGAGCAGTGGCGGGCGCCTGTAGTCCCAGCTACTCGGGAGGCTGAGGCAGGAGAATGGCGTGAACCCGGGAGGCGGCGCTTGCAGTGAGCCGAGATCACGCCACTGCACTAAGACTCCGTCTCAAAAAAAAAAAAAAAAAAAAAAGCACAGATCTTATAAAATTGTTACACAGATGAAAGTCATTCTATGTGCTTTACATGCTAACTCTTCAGCTTCCATCTAGGGTTCACTGTACTTAAGCTAATTCAAGTGTAAGTTTGACTTTGAAGGAAAAATATAAAGTTGTAAAACATAAAAATTGCTGCAACAGCATCTTCAAAATGTGCTACTGAATGCAACGGTAACTATATAATTTAATCTTTCTGGTTTGCTTGTATTACAAATCTCCTTATAATATGTAAATATGTTGTTCAACTTTCAGACATTTGACTTTCAAACAGATTTTTTCAGAAACTCATTATATAAAAAAGTGGGAGACGCTCTGGTATAAAACTTTTAAAAATAGTAAATATTACTGTATAAGTAGGCTAGTGGTCCTCAGTGGCAGTTTTGCCCCAAAGGGGATATTTGAAATGTCTGGAGACATTTTTGATTGTCATGGCTGGGGAAGGTGGAGCAATTGACATCTGTTGAATACAGGCCAGGGAAGCTGCTCAGCATCCTACAATAAACAGCACAGCCCCCAAAACAAGGATATACCTAGTCCAATATGTCAATAGTGCTGAGGTTGAGAAACCCTGATGCAGGTAAAATACAAGCTGTAAAATACAAACAACCCTACCATCTCTGTGACTTAACACACCAGAAGTTTATTATCCCTGTAATAATCCTATGTGGGTTGGCAGTGAGGGTCTCTGCTCTTTATATACATACAGGAATCTAGGTTTTATCTATCCAGTGCCCCCCTGACAAACCATAGGGCTTCAGAATCTTCCACCAGATCTTTCTGGAAAGTCAAGAAAGAAAAGAGGCCTTTAGAGAAACGCATGGGAGACCTTTTGGGCTCTTGCTGGAGGTGGTATCAATTCTACCCACATTCCATTGTACACAAGTCAGTCACATGCCTGTATCTAATGCCAAGGGAGGCAAGGAAATGTAGTCTAGCTGTTTGTCCAAAATGGGGAAACAAGTTTGATGAGTATCTACCCAGTCTCTGCCACCATTTCTTAGTTGTCTTTGTGTTTAACAAAATGCTTTGCTCACAGGTGCTCAATAACTGTAAATTAACAATATTAATTAATACAAAAAATTTTTCATTAATACAAAACAATATTGTCTTTTTTAAAAAATATGAACTAGAATCTGAAACTAACATTTAATATGAGGTCACCTGCAAATTTTATTTTAAGCAATACATGTCTTACTAAAATGAAATATGGTAATATGATAACCAGATTTTTGAGCACTATGTTTAAAATACAAGTATATATCATTTGATGTTTATTTCATATTTTGTGTTTTCAAACTCTTACCTATATTAGCTAACATAACCTATGTTTCTTATCTAATTTAAAAATTTCTTCTTTGTAAATTTTTAAGTGCTCAAATTTTAAAATATAAAGCATGTAGCATTTTACACAAACAGCAAAATTACAATTTTTGTAAAATTAATGTGCAATTAGATATTGACTTTCTACATACTATTCTTACAAGGAAGAGAGACAAAACAGCAACCATAACCAACAGAATAATGTTGTAAGTATTTTGACCTTTTGACATCTTTAGAGTTATTTTTAAAGCAATTGCTTCCACGTGCCCCCTTCTTTAAAAAAAAGAAAAAGAAAACAAAGGCTAACATATAAATGGTGAGTCTTGCATCATATCCCTAATATCAGCAATCTGGCATTTCCAGGTCCAAATGAACGTTTATTTCTAAAAGGAAGAAAAATAAAATTTTAATACCATCAGAGGGTAAATCTAATTACCAGGCAACCACCTTTTTAACCAACTATATTGACATTGTTCTGAAATTAACAATTGGATTTAGTTTAGCAATGAATAGCATTGGATAGATTAAATACAACCAGATTCAACAACTTCAATTCCGTGTCTCCCTTCATTCCTTTCTAAATTCCCAAGTTCCTCTCACTAATGGACTGCTTATGATATGCTAAGGAGTCCATCAACAGTATAGAGTAAGGGTAGAGATAGAATGTGATCATGATGAAATTGCTGCATTCCATTGCAGAGGTGATAAAAATGCAGGGCACCTCATAAATATTTCTGACCCATTTGCTTAGAGGAATGGAAGTATTTATGGTTAGGAAATCTCTGGCTATAAAAAAGCATTCCAGTTTATTCTATGCTATCAAGTAGCCTTTTGTTAAAGTAGAGTTTTATAGGTAAGTTATTACTGGGAAACCTGCCTTTGGAACATTAGTAATGCAATAAATTCTGTCCAGCCCATCTAGGCTATTTTGGGAATAACTATGTCTAAATGAGCCAAATACATTTCACCAAAGATATTATATTATATTCAGAGGCCTATGTATGATCTTCTTGGTCCTTGTCTTTTTGAGATTAGTAATGGTAGAAATATTCATGATAGTTTTTTTATTTAAAGAATTTTAATCAAAATATGACACAAAAAATTACCTAAACAAAGATTTGTAGTTAAATCAAGGAAGTTAACTGATCTTAATTACCCATAAAATCACATTGTAGCTCATGAAAATAGCATGTGGGATTCATGAAAATATTTTCCTATCTTGAATTCTTTGGTATGAAGTTTAAATCATATGTTTTCAAAATTGTATGGGCATTCTGAAATCTATATATGGTGTATTTCTGGTTTGCTTTCAAATTAGGCTATAAACTCATTGGCATAAGGGATTGAGTACAAGAGGCAGTTCGCCTTTGAAGTCAGATGTCTTGGGTTTCAGTAATGGCTCTGCCACTTAATAGCTGTGTGGCCTTGGGTAAATTACACAGCAATCCTGTGCCCGTCTCTCCTGCATTATAAAAGGACAATAAAAATACATATTTTAGAAGATTAAGTTATTGCAAATAATGTTCTTAGAGTAATATCTGGCACATAGTAAGCCCCCAATAAGTGTTTGCTACTATTATGGTTATTTTCCTTCTGTATGTTCCCACACACAGCATTCAGCAGATTATTGGCCCTAAAGGAGGCACTTGGTATATATTTACTGAATAAATCAGTGATAGCGTATCTTGCATGGTTATCTCACTTCCATGAGACACATGGTAGTATACTAGTATGGGAAGTGGGAGGGACTGGGAATCAGAGAGAACCAATAATCCAGTTTATTAGAAATATATGGCTACAAAGCTTCCAAAGAAAAAAAAATTGACATATAGCCTTTTCTAACTAATTAAGTTTTGTTTTTTTCTTCCGTTAAATGAAGACAAGAATATTCTTATGAGATCATTGTAAAAATTAGGAACAATATATGGTGAGCATTGGCAAAAATATTTGGCACTCAATAAATGATAGTTACCACTAACTTGTGCAGGCTGACACTATAAAGAATGACAGCACTGACTACAAATATGATTCCCTCACTCCACTACATTTGTAAATGTCTACCCAGTACAAGGCAATGTGCTGGTGACTGGGAATGGAAAGATAAAAAGACATGATTTCTGTGTCTCATACTATGTTGAGAAGTAAGATTTTTTTAAGGTGATAAAATACATAATTTTATACAGAAGCATAAATTTTCTTTTTATCTTTTTTTTTTAACTTTTTTTTTTTTTTGTAATTGCAGAGATGGGGTTTCACCATTTTGCCCAGGTCGGTCTTGAACTCCTGAGCTCAAGTGATCCGCCTTCTTTAGCCTCCCAAAGTGCTGGGATTACAGGCATGAGCCACTGTGCATGGCCTAGAAGCATAAATGATTTAAAGTGACCCAAGAATAAGTAGAAGGCAGAAATATAGATCAATAACCATATTGTAGTAGACCATGGCCAGGCCTGTTTCATCAAAACCTTGTGTAGGTACAATAGTACAGTAAAAAATTTCAAACTGGGTTATATTATTAGATGCTCTATAGATGCTAGATGCCTCAGTGGTACTAAGTGGTATTCGAAATTTTGTAAATCTGGTACCAAGAAGATGGTAACATGGTTTAAAATTGAAATGTATCCTTTTTTAGTATAGGCCCCTATGTGCTGATATGTACCCACCTACATTCCCCCAGCACATAAGGTGTTATCAGGCAGTCAGCTGCCAGGGGCAGCTTCTTCAACATAGTAGACCCTTTCCTCCATGTGGACTACTGAGGCCTCCAGACAGCAGCATGCCTGCATGGGAAACAAGGACAGTGCCAGAAAGCCCAATTCACTCACACCACCACGAATCCTTGAGTCCATGAATCGGTAAGTGAATCCATGAATCTTTGCATCCACTCAATTGCTTGTTTGCTGGTTAAAAAGTCAAAACACAGAGAAATGATTTTGCTTAAGAAAGTTGTGTTGCTCAAAATATAATTCTCATCAATCCTCAAGTGCAGGACAGCTTATATCGTCTGGCTCATCTTATCGTAGAAGAAACTGAAAGAAGTACAAATTATTTGCATATTATAGCAATTTTCAATGCACTGAAAAAAAAATCTAAAGTTTTGAATTCCATTTACAAAGCTAGAAAGCCTCAAAAATATTATGCTCAAAAAACAAAACTGTAGGTCAGCATTTTCAAAACAGATCCACAAACCTTTTTCAGATAGATGTTAATGAATGGCCACATAAAAAAAGATTTTGTGATCTAACAATTTAGATCAATGCTACCCACGATAGCCCTTTCTTGAAGACTCATAATACATTTTTATATAAAAGGTTTTGAGAAGTCCTACAGTAAACAAGCAATTTAACAAAGAATTTCCCAAACTTATTTGACTCTAAGCTCTCACTCTCTTTTTTATGCCCCATAACATTTTCTGCAACCAAAGAAAACACAGTGGAAAAATAATAACCAAATCAATTTGGAAACATATCAGATTTCATCAGGACAACAGAAATAGGCAATATTTCCTGCTTCTAAATATTAATAATGAATATGTAACACCTCATAAATCTGACAAATACTTAGGTGATTCTTCCATTTATTCATTCATATATTGGATTATCATTTAGCTCTTTCAAGGAGTGTATTATTCCCTTAAATATCAGCATTAATGCAATTTATATTTATGTTTGGTTTTTCTTCATTGGCTCTGAGAGACACAAGTGAAATGTGGAAGAGCTGGAATTGGTCTCAGAGAAAAACGTTGATCAACCTAGGTTAGAGAAGGTAAGAAATAACAATTATTTTCTGAAACTTCTAACCAGAGTCCCCTGATATTTAATGTTCAAGTGGAAGCATAGATTGAATAGAACAGGCTTCCAAGAAAGATTATGGGAGCCTAGTAAAATTCTTTTAAAAGGCTACTCTCTGAACTCTATAAATAGTATGTGTGTCTCACATGCTATTTGAACACTTGGCTCTTTTTTCCCATGCCATAGCCATGGTGCCTTTTTGCCAGGTTCATGATGGCAGGGCAGGCTTTAACTGCAACTGCTTTCATGTAGCCTTCAAAGTGGGTGTTAATGACACAGTATTCTTTGCCCCAGTCTGAACATCATGACTCTAATACTATCAATTCATACAGATGTCTGGCATTTGATAAAGGAAAGCATCTATTATACAAACTATATGGGGCTAAAACATCTTGGGTTTGGAATAATCCAAATTAAAGGTGTCAAATATTACATTCGATGTACAAAAATTTTGGGAGCTTCAGTTTAAAATAAATTTTTAAATGCATCTTTATTTCAATTCTGCCTAGCCATGATTTTGGTTCATAAGAGAAAGTTATGCATTCTTTCATTTACTAGAGAAATAGAATTACTATTCAATTGGTATATATACATAACAATTGAAATTTCAGGCTGTCATTTTGATGTAAAATCTATTTTGTTTGCTAATTTCTAAATCTTGTAAGAGATCATAATACTAAAACCCCAACATCTCTTTAAAAGCCAGATATCATTTATCTCAGTTGAATATCTTTTTTGGCTTGGTTAAAAGGTGGACAAAAGTTACCAAGTTCAATTATGACCTAAAAAAACTCCAAATATTTACAAAATAGAAAAATGGACTTTTCATACTAAGTCCAGGGCATGGATGCATGAACTGGTACTAATTAACACCAGCTTAGGCTATCTCTTTGAAAGTTTCATTTTTTTTATGTTTGTCATTTGAATCACAACAATGAAAAAATAAATAATTAATCATAAGACAAAAATCCAGTTACGTATGTGTTCAGCTACATGAATTATTTCTTATGGAACCAAGGTCAAGCATTTTAATTTTTCATTCTAATGAGGATAAGAAAGGCAAGTGAGCTAAATCATACATAGACATGATTAAAAGAGGCAAGGATTATTATACTGAGCAGTATCTTGTAATTGTTTAAAGACTAGTCCGATATGATGTCAAAAGAGGGAATTAGGGTTTTCTTTTTTTTGTTTTTCGTTTTGTTTTGTTTTTGAGATGGAGACTTGCTCTGTCACCCAGGCTGGGGTACAGTAGCACGATCTCGGCTCACTGCAACCTCCACCTCCCGAGTTCAAGCAGTTCTCTTCCTCAGCCTCCCAAGTAGCTGGGATTACAGGTGTCTGCCACCACCCCTGGCTAATTTTTGTGCATTTTTAGTAGAGAAGGGGTTTCACCATTTTGGCCAGGCTGGTCTTGAACTCCTGACCTCGTGATCTACCCGCCTTGGCCTCCCAAAATACTGGGATTACAGGCGTAAGCCACAGCGCCCGGCCTGGGAATGAGGTTTTAAAGATACTTGCAATAAGTAAAAGGAGTTATTTTTACCCAGAATTATAAAATTACACCTATGTATTTTTTTTTAAGGTACTAGACACAGAGTGAAAAATACAAACACTTAATATAATGGATTAAGATTCTGGGCAGCCAACACTCACTTTTTTAGAAGAGTTCATCTTACTAAGGATCCAATGTAGACAGTAGAGAAGATGCTTACAACATTAAATGGGAAAAGGGTCCTGTCTTTGGTCTGTCCCTGCAAAACAGAGGCTTAAGCTGAGATTAGCCTGCAAGGAGGCTTACTGGGAAGGGCTCTAGGGAACAATACCTGTGAGGTAGAAATGAAAGCAGGACTGAGTAGAGAGGAAAAGGGTGAATGATGATTGGCAGTGACCAATCATCATTGGCTGAGCTTCCATGAATTGTATGGAAAGCCATAGAAGAGGGATGGCCCCTCAGAGTTGTCCAAACATGTGGCAAGGGAACCAGGCCTTTGTACCTCCACACTGACCAGTCAAGTGGATCGTACTCACAAGGGGATAGAAACTGAGCCAAGACCACCCCTTTTGTCCAAGAGCAGTGCCTGAGGAAGGACTCAGCTATGAACAGTCAGCATGCAGCACTCAGGGCAGCTGGTGGAACAAAGGGGTCCTGGGTGGTGTATAGAGCATCCACTGCAAGTCCCTGGAGTGGAGACTGTTACTAATAGGTAATATTGAGCTGCAAGAATTCCTGACATTAGTAAAATGCAGTGAGAACTTCATTTTATGCTTGTCTACTCAGGTAAAATCCAAAGAAGAGAACGCATCAGGACAAAAAAATAAAAGCTGTAGTATAAGTTCCAGAAAAACAAAAATAGGTGTAATGCAATTCCAAGATAACTGACATCTGCAGAAGTCTCACATTAGGTATGTGTTTAGATTCTCTCCCTCCCATGCATATACATTCCCTCCCATGCATATGCATTATAGACCTTGTGATCCTTAAGTCAAGAAAATTTAGTCCAGCAATACTCCTGGTCAGAGAAATATGACATCACACTCACAAACAAACATCAAATGAAGAACTCTCCATGCTCTCTCTCATTCGGGCCAGAACAAAAACCACACACTTGCAGATAAGTAATATGAATGTGGAGGGGCTTTGGCTTAGCAACAGCATTTTATTTCCCCTATTATTGTGTTGGCTGCTGAAAAGATCCCAAACACCTAATTCAAATAAAATGTAAAATGTTTGCTCCTTGCTTCTTATTTCTCATTGTCTTCACTGCATTTCAACTGGAATGTTCTGCCACCATCTCAAACTTAAAATGGCCCATGCCAGCCTCCTCACCAAATTTACTCAGAGAGTTTTTCAAATTAACAAACTGTAATACAGACAAGATAGATGCATGGTGCTCTAGGTTGCATATCCACCAAAACAAATCTGAAAAGCAGAAAATAATTAATTGTTCTTGAGTCAAAGGTACAAAATGTTAGAAATTATATTGATTTTTCTCCAGTTTTATTGAGGTATACTTGACAAATAAAAATTGTATATATTTAAGGTATGCAATGTGACTTTCTGAGATATGTATACATGTATACATTGTAAAATGATTACCACAATCAAGCTAATTAACATACCCATTATCACACGTAATTACCATTTTGTGTGTGTGGTGAGAACACTTAAGATAAACTTTCTTAGCAAATTTTCAAATATAAAATAGAGTATTATTCATTATAGTCAGCATACTGTACATTAGATCACCAGAACTTCTTCATCCCATGTAACTGAACCTTCGGACATTTTCGTCATTATTTCCCAATTTCCCCACCCACCTCCTGGCTCCCAGCAACCACCATTCCACTCTCTGAGTTTAGCATGTTTAGATTCCATATAAAAGTAAGATCATGCAATGTTTGTCTTTCTGTCTCTGGCTTATTCACTTGGCATAATGTCCTCCCAGGTTAATCCATGTTGTCAAAAATGGTAGGATTTCCTTTTTTTTAGGCTGAATACACACACACCCCCCCCCCCCACATTTTTAATCCATTCATCTGTTGATGAACACGTAGGTTGTTTCCAATATATCTTGGCTATTGTGAATAATGCTGCAATGAACATGGGTGTGCAGATATGTCTTTGAGATACTGATTTTATTTCCTTTGGATATACCACCCAGAAGTGGGATTCCTGGCTTGTATGCTAATTCTGTTTTTATTTTATTTTATTTTATTTTATTTTATTTTATTTTATTTTATTTTATTTTATTTTTTGAAACATGTTCTCATTCTGTCACCCAGGCTGGAGTGCACAGTGGTGTAAACACCATTCACTGCAGCCTCAACCTCCCGCCTCAGCCTGCCAAGTAGCTGGGAGAACAGGCTCACACCACCACATCCAGCTAATTTTTTTTTTTTCTTGGTGGAGATGGGGTCTTGTCATGTTGCCCAGGCTGGCCTGGAACTCCTGGACTCAAGTGATCCTCCCAACTAGGCCTCCCAAAAGGCTGGGATTACAGGCCTGAGCCACTGCACCTGGCTTATTTTTAAGTTTTTGAGGAATCGCCATACAATTTTTCCTTAATAGCTGTACCAATTTACATTCCCACCCCAGTGTTCAAAGGCTCCCTTTTCTCCACAGCCTCACTTGTTTTGTCCTTTAGATAATAGCCATCCTAATAGGTGTGAAGCGATAGCCCACTGGAGGTTTGAATCATGTTTCTCTGACGATTAGTGATGTTGAGCACCTTTTCATATACCTGTTGGCCATTTGTATGTTTTCTTTTGAGAAATGTCTATTCAGGTTCTCAGTTCATTTTTCAATCTGGTTGTTTTGTTTTTTGCTATTGAGTTGTTTTCATTCCTTATATGTTTGGGATATCAGTTCCTTGTCAGATAAACAATTTGCACATATTCTCTCCCGTTCTGTCAGCTGCCTTTCAATTGATTTTTAGTGACACACAGTTTTTAAGTAGAAGCATAGGTGAAAAATAAATTATGCATTTTTTCTCAACCAGAAACTTTTTCTTTTTTCAAGGCTAATATACACAGATGGTTTCAGAATCATTCATACCTAAAATATATTGAACAAGCTATGATGCATAAAACACACAGTTTCATAGCAAGAAAGAATCTTAGATAACCTATTTCAACCTACCCATTTTACAGATAAGGAAGGGAGGCCAGAAATGGAAGTCACTCAGCAATGGACTTAGAGTTAATTAGTAGCCATTGCCACACAGAAGCCAACTCTCAAAACAGTGTTTTTTGTACAACAATAAGCTCCATTCACATTTCAGGAAGTTTCAGTGTGTCCTTGTTTTCTATCATCACTGCAATTAATTAATATTTAATCTGATAGGAGATTGTGATTCCTAATGTCCTGTTCAATAGTAATGTTAAATGTTTAAGCTGCTTTAGCTTTTGGAATACAATACAGAAAACTGTGGTGAGATTTTATATCTTGGATAAACCTTGTTCCATATTTTGTATAAGTCATAAAGCTGGGAAATGTGGTTACCTGGTCACAAAAGTTAAATGCATTGAATATACGTTCTTTACGTAGGCCCCAGACCCATGGAAAAGAGCTGATCCCATGAGACTCCAGTGCTGAGGGAAGTGGCAGCTCTAATAACCTCCAACAATGTTCTGCCTGGAAAGAGGTTTGCAACTTAAAAGGATGCATGGCCTAAAGCCAGCACTGATCACATAGCATGAAAAAATTAAAACCAGGATCTAGTTTCAAATTCTGAAAGGCATTTTAAATGACTGGCTGACCCTGCATTGTAATTTTCATTATTGTTTTCCTACTTCATTCAGAACAGGATTTTGTATTGGGATTTTAAAAGGAATACAAGTAGAAAAAAATCCATAACCATACATCCTCCCAGCCTCTAAAAGTTCTCTTTATTTATTACTTTTGGCTTTTATTCTGGATCTTACAAGGAAAAATTATGTGTATATATATATACACACACACACATATATGTGTATATATATATACACGTACGTATGTGTATATATATATATATGTGTATATATATATACACATACATATATATCCTCTCACATTTCACATTTTATCCTCATTTCCAGACATGATACACTGTTGGCTAACATATTTTCTATATTATCAATAGCAGATTAGCTTATTCCTTGCCTATGAAGGGCAAGTTAAAAGTTCAATGTTAGTAAGAGTCGGTTCACCCTTCACCCTGATCTGTGACCCTAGACAGTGTTCCAGAACCTAACTATCCCTCTAATAAAAAACAATAGGAAAACCCCATGCAAGAGTGAATGGCCTCCTAACACTACTGGAAAATATCTCCAATGACATATGTTCATCTAGAGGCTAGCAGCACCTTCTTTACACACAACAGGCAGTAACACTGACAATTTCTTTAAAACCAGCTGCATTCCATGCCTTTCCCTGGACCCTGGGAATGCAGCAAGGAGAAAGTTAGACCCAGTCCCTGCCTTCTTAGAACTGCATTCTAAATTCTGCTTCTTCCAGCAAGTCTGTTGAAAATTTCAGATAATCTTGATTTCTTTCTTCTCTGAGCTTCTGTAGCACTTAGAATCTGTAACTGAATATAAGACCACTTTATACTGGAATTTTATGTGTTTCACTTTTACTCATTCAGGCAACACTAATCTCCTTTTCCCAATGAGATTATAAATGCCTTGAAATCAAGGAATTTTTTAATTTTCTGTTATACTTAATGCTTAACACAAGAGTGGTCACTCCGATTTAATGTTGCCTTTTTGTTGCTGTTGAGCAGCTAAAAAAATTACAGGTAAAAAAGACTAAGCAATTTTAAATACAATTTTGAGAACTTTGAATAACACAAACTAGTAAGTAATATATTCATACATAAATATTTAATTCACAATCTCTCTATAGTATTAAATGAAAAGCAAATTCTTATCACTGTATACGCATAGGAAAAAGAGACAGATACCAAAATAGTACGTTAAATCATATGAAATTGTGAGTTTTGTTGTCTAGTAGGTCCATACGGTTAAACACAATATAAATTCAGCTTGGTTATAGGTGGAATTAAATTTTCTTCATATTTTAAGGTACTTTATTTTCCTATAGTAAACATTTATTTTTAATTAGAAAAACAATTTAAAATTACTCTGATTTGTTAAATACACTAATAAGGCACTCTTTTTTGAAATCTGTGAAAAGATGATTTGTCCACAGCAAGTCTGACATCTAGCCTTCTAAAGACTTGGTGGGATTTGCTGCATTAGATCCAGCACAACTGTCCTTGACAAGGTGACTATTTGGTGTCTAACACCCTCTAGTGAGCGGATTGCGAACACTCAGTTTATTCTTGTAATTACACTTGAAAACAGAGGACCTCTCCAATTGATGCCAGCATTGTTACTAATGGTTTTTAGTTGCAGAAAATTATGATTATGAGTGTGAATTTCTAAAGGAGCTCAGTTTTCATTTTTTTGTGAGTCAAATGAGTCCAGTGTTTCTATTATTAATAGATACAGCCTTTACCTTCAATTCAATTTGAATTGCAAAGACTCAAGATAAAGAATGGTATAACATTTAAGGACATCAGGATTAACTGGATTATCTACCACCCTTCTAATTTCAATGCAACCAGTCTGTATTACCTATGGCACATGCCACAGGGATAATGCCCACGTGACTGACAGGAACAACCAAGTACATAGCCTAGAACAGGAGAGCTGGGGGTGATCATTAAATGCTACACAATGGAGCTGGGGCCTGTGCCACATGGCTTTCAACGTTAATATTTATTCAGAAATTGGATAAATGTCATTCATTTATATAAATTCAATATAGCCAGTTGGTTCTTTGCACTTTAATTTTTACTCTTCCTTTGAACTAATGCTGTGAGTTTAGATTTATTGTGCAAATTTCAATTTGATGAATTAAATAAATAAATGAACATTTAAAGATATGTATTCATTTACAATCTGAACCTCACTCAGTCCTAAATTTAGTATCCATTACTTTCTGAGGTTGAATTTCTTCTGGTAAAGACCTTTTGTTAGCACCATTCCCAGGGTAATTCCCCTTTCCCCCAAGAAGATCCCAAGCAGCAACTCTTCCTATCTCTTGTTTCTCTTTAAACTGGGAGGGTTCTTTGTAATACAAGCTGCAGGCTGAAACCATCTCACCTTACCTACTTGTATTGGTTCAACACATATTTACTATAGTGCTATTGTAAAAATCTGGATCAATATTCTAGTTCTGAGCAATTATCCTGTAAATCCTGCCAGGTGATGAGAATAAATAGGATGCCGATCACCCAGAGGTTTCCTTTTGGGGAAAGTAAGACCGAGGGAGCTAACCAAATCCAAGCCCCATGCACCCAAATCTTAGCAAGCATAACTATAGCCACCAGTTATCTGGGTGTGTCACAAGACATTCTTTCCTCTCTCTTGGAGGACGCAGTTCCACGGCTTCACCTTAGCATTCGGCTTATGATAAGGAGTCCATGCAACCCCTCCAAGACACATTTTTGTCCCAAACTCTATTCCAAGCTTCGGGTCAAAGCCCTAGGAAAGAAAACTGGATCTAAGGGATCCAGAGGTAGACGATAACAGAGGTTAAAAGGCACAGTGCAGGTGAACATGGCTAATTCCTATTGATTAAGCCAAGCCTCCCATTTCATGGATAAAGGTAATGCTAGTATCCATGGCATAAATGAGGTCTAGGGAACTCCAAGGCTACTGACAGTAGGGGGGGATAGAGACATAGGTGAGAGTGGATAATTCCTATTCTCTAGGCCCTCCCTGCTTCATGGGTGCAGGCCTCTTTGGCACCCATGGGTGGTGGCTGCCAAGGTCGCCAGGACCCAGGGATGCAAGGAAGAAAGAGGGCGCTCTTCCTTCTTTCCCTCACGTACCCCAGGTATTTGCTAGGAAAAGAAGGGAACAAGGGATGTCTGCTCCCCTCTTTCTAGATGGGTAGCCATTCATCTTCAGTCTATACCCCTTTCAAATGCATCCTGAACCCCTTTGAAATAACACCTTCTTTTTTCCTTTCTCCTCCTCTGTCCTCTCTCCACTGATAGGTAACTGTGTCTCCATACTATAGAACACTCCCCTCAGATGCATCCTCCAAACTGGAAAGAGTTAATTTCCCAAACCTTAAACTGGTGGATTTAGGATTGGGCTCAGGGGAAGAGAACCCAGAAGCCCAGCATGCTGGCAAAAACGCAAAGGTTTTTTACCAGTCAGGCTTTTAGCCTCCCTCTCCCTGTGCAAACTGGTAAAAGGCCTCGGGATTTTTTAGCTGTCCTTACCCCTCCCATTTCCCAAAATGAAAATGCTTGTTCATTTTGATACATGTTTTCTAATAATCAGGTTTGTCTCTTTTTGCCCTCAGGCCATCAAACTCCAAATGGTCATGCAACTGGAGCCTTGGATGATGGCCCCTTCTATTGGGGACCTTTAGATAGGCCGCTGAGAGAGATCTATTTTTCCCAAAACAGCACCCCCTGTCAGCAGGAAGCAGTTAAGATCCATCTTCATCCTCATCCTTATTTTAATGGCAGTTAGATGTACTTCTTTAGAGTGCGGGAACCAGACAGCCAAGCATAAAGGGGTCCCTGGAGAAACTCCAACCGGCATGCACACTAGGAGGAGTGCACACTGGGGCGGAGCCTCGGGAAGTTCAAGCGTTTGCAGTGGAGAGGACCTGGCCCCTCCTCTTCCTGGTTAGTACCTGGGATTCAAGCTGTGAGGCAGGAAGCCAGCTAGCAGGACTTTCGGTTTTCTGAGACTCCCCGTTTTCTTTTCTTTTCTTTTCTTTTTTTCGCTTTACACCCGGTAAACCCTGCCCTTCTCATCCTTCAAAGTGTCTGTGAGCCTAATCTGTTATGGTCGTGTGACAAGGACCCTGTTTTCAGCTGAGCTAAGAACAGTTTTACAATACTATTGGAAGTAATTCAGGGTGCTTTTTGCTGTATCTGATACAAAGATAATTAAATTGTTTTTAAAATGAGAAATTAACCTAGGATAGCTGGTAATTTAGAAAAGGAATTCTTGTCTGTGTGTAAGCAACTCTAAAGTAGAATAGAATGCATTAAGCCCCCTCCACACCCCCACCCCACCTCCACAGGTGCAAGTGACGGCCATAGAGCATGAGGAGGGAGTGGTGCTGTCATTCACAAGTGACTTTGGGGGGGAGCTGGCACTCCAGCTGGATCTTAAACAATGACCCAGCTCAAAATCTTTTCTCTGCCCATCCCCACTCCCACTCGCCCCTGCACCAACCTTCTCTGCCCTCTCAAATGCTTCCTTTTTTTCTTACTTGAAATTATAGTGTTATCTAACCAAACTGGGGTCTGCTGGCCCAGAGTAGTAAGACCAGATATCCCCACCGAGGTTTGCACCAGAGAAAGGAAGGCATTTATTTGCAGGATGCCAAGCAAGGAGGATCAGGCAGTTAACGTGCAAGTCCCAACCTCCCCAGTGGCTAGCAGGCAAGGGTTTTTAAAGGCCGGGGTAGATTTCAAGAAAGCAGAAGTCATAGGAGATTACATATTGATTTTGGCCTAAAAGCATGACCTAGAAGTTCTCTCAAAGCAGTTCAAGATTTTCTTTTATTTCCGTGCTTGTCCCCCTTCCCCAGCAGACCCCTAAGAGGGTGTCCCTAATCTGTCTAAAGGAAAAGAGAAAAAGAACGGCCGGACGCAGTGGCTCATGCCTGAAATCCCAGCACTTTGGGAGGCTGAGGCAGGCGGATCACCTGAGGTCAGGAGTTCGAGACCAGCCTGGGCAACATGGCGAAACTCCGTCTCTAGTAAAAATACAAATATTAGCCAGGCATGGTAGCGGGTGCCTGTAATCCCAGCTACTCAGGAGGCTGAGGCAGGAGAATTGCTTGAACACAGGAGCCAGAGGTTGCAGTGAGCTGAGATCACACCACTGCACTCCAGCTTGGGTGACAGAGACTCCGTCTCAATAAATAAAAAAATACATGAAAAAATGACAAGAAAAAGAACAAAAAAGGCAGGAGCCAGGAGAATAGAGAAAAAAAACAAAGTGTGTTCAGGGAGACGGGTAAAAAGCTCACACTTCAGGACTCTGGGGCAACAGAAACCCGTTGCAGGTTCCCCTTTTGATGTGTAGTTTGGTGAAGGTCCAGAGGCAAGGGTATTGGGCATGTAAAACATACTTCTGCCAAGACATTTATGTGCGTATGACTCAAGTCAAGCACAGTCCTTCTTTCTGCCAAGCTGTGGTGCAAGAAAGAGCTTCCTCTACCCTCATGATACCATAGGGTCTCCCAGCCCAAGGAAGAGGCAATACTTCCTAGGTTATCCCAGCAAATTCAAAGCTAAGAGCTCAGGTGCATTTGGTTTGGATCATAACATTTCAGGTATGTTGAGAGAACAGGAAAGGACTCACCCTTCGTAAAACAGGAAATAGCATGGATTTTTTTCTTCAATGTCTCTAATAATCTTCTGTTGTGTTAGGTAAAAGATAGGGTGGAGTAGATCTAAGGGAACCATCCCTCAAGGGTCCAGTCCCACTTTACACCCTTACATAACAGCAGAAACCCAAAAGGACCAAAGCATGCAGGGAACAAGCCAGTAGCTTTTTCTACTACCTTATTCATACCCCCTCCTGCTCCCTGGTCCCCTGCCTCTGGAAGATAACCAGGGCCTGTGTCCCCTCCACTCTCCAAGCTCTCAAACTCTGCCCTCCAGAAAGGCTTGGACTTAATCCTCTGATTACTATCCAGGTGTAAACACCCCCACCCACAAAAAAAAAAATTCTAAGCCCCACAACCAACTAAATGGATGCCTCCTCTCCGCCAAGGGGATTTCAAAGATTAGTTAAAACTAATTTTAATTAGTTTTAATTAGATTAAAAACAGTAGTTCAGGCCACAATGGGAAGGGGAGTGGGACAGGCCTCATTATTTTCTCCTGCCTTTGGAATTCAGACAGAACCGACCAGCATTAACAGCAAAACAGAGATCTTAAGACTGACATAACAGACTCTTTGTAGAATAAGATAGCGAATTCCAACCTAAGTCTAGCATAGCATCATATGACAAATAGCAGGCCCTGAAAGTATCAAAGTATTTTATCCCAAAATATATTTCTTTGACATATTTTGAAATAGCCCTGCAAAGCTGCCTCTTGTGGGGAAAATCTACATTCTGTAGAAAATCCCCTTCCCTTTCTAGGTCTTTTCCTAATCCAGGAGAGGTTTAACTAAGAGTCTGGCACCTTTAAATTCTGGTGAGAGACATTTACCATCTATTCTCTCTGAAGCCTGCTACCTGGAAGCTTCATTTATATAACAAGAACCTTGATCTCCACATTCTCTTATCTTAACCCAGACACTCCTTTCTATTGATTCCACATTTTTAGACAATAACTTAAGTCTTTCAACCACTTGCCAATCAGAAAATCTTTGACTCCACCTATGACCTGTAAAGCCCACCCCCACCTCTACTTCAAGTTGTCCCACCTTTTCCTACCAAACCACTGTACACCTTACATGTATTGTTACATGTATTGATTGATGTCTGCCTGTAACTTCTGTCCCCCTAAAATGTATAAAATCAAATGCAACCCAACAAACTTGGGCACGTGTTCTCAGTACCTCTTGAGACTGTGCCTCAAGCCATGGTCACTCACATTTGGCTCAGAATAAGGCTTCAAATATTTTACAGAGTTTGGCTTTTTTCATCAACACAGGTGTCATTTAATCTCAGTTCCTTGGTTTCCTTACCTGTAGAATATATACCTTAAAGAAATGTCAAGAGGAATACATGAGACAATGTTTATAAATTCAGTGATAGACCGTACTGTATGTCAATGATTTTTAAGTGAGGTGTCCTGTATACATTTAGGAAATGTTGTCTAGCACACAACCATTCTTTAGTCCCATCTCCACCATCACCTTAGAGTTGCTGTGTTTTATGCTATTATGTAAGTTAAGCATTAACATGGGTGAAAATGATTTATAAAATGTAAAAACCTATGCAAATGTGATATTGCTAATAGTTTATGTACTGTGAGGTGTTACTCTTCCTAAGGGATATTTGCATTTTATTTGGAGACAAAAATCTTAAGCTAAAATTGATGCCTAATAAAGTTGGAAATTTACACGCCAGTCTAACATGTTGGGGAAAGAAAATGCAGGAAGGGTGGATGATCTCCTCAGTGTCCCCTCAAAACATTCTAGGTAGGAAGAGTAAATAGACTTTATAACTCTCTATATATAAAAGCAACACAGAGTGGCAACACAGGCCCTGGAGGTCTGGAACAGGGCCATGATATATGCAATGAAGAATTAGATACCTTCTGAAAAACAACTCCTGCTTTGCTCTTGAGCTCCAGGAGGGAAGGAATGCTTGGCCATGGAGCACCAAGAAACCATGAATCCAGAGCTTATCACCATGTGCTTGGTACTATCAGAGCTACCAAATCAGAAACAGAGTTTGTTTCTAGAAAAGGAACTCTGGTCTGTGTGTAAGTAATTAGAGGGTTACTTGGAGAGATAGACGAGTTAGTTGCAGAGACAGATGGGTCCAAACAATTCCTCATAAAAATAGGATGCTACACTTGATCTTAGTCAAAAGGCCAAGAGGTAATTACGTTTGTCAATGTAGGTTCATAAGTTATAACAAATGTACTACTTTGTAGAGGTGTTGATGGTGTGGGAGGCTGTGCGTTTGCAGGGGCTGAGGGCGTTTGGGAACTCTCTGTACCTTCTGCTCAATTTTGCTTTGAACCTTAACTGTTCTAAAAAATAGGCTTTTTTGTTAGATTTACAAATTAGTCTTTGTGCATCTCAGGCCCCCTTGTATCTCCAGCATCACACCCGTAGGCACGCGTGTGCAGGCACCCTCATAATCTCAATCACAGGGTGCTGAGCCTGCTTCCCTCTCAGATTTGCTCTCCCCTCAGGCAATTGGGAAGGGATGATGCACTTTGAGTTTAAGGATCAGAATAATTCACTATCAAAGCATCCAAATTTTATACCAGAAGTGTAGTCTGGGGAGGCCAGAGAAGAGATGCAGCTGAAAAAGAATCACATGACTGGAGAGGGGCAGACCCAGCTGAAATCCATGCCTCCTTATTCCTGCCACCCCACACACCACACTGCAGCCTGGTGGCATCTGGTATTTAGTCTTGGGTCTAGGGCAAATACGAGTGCCAGCGGAATTAGTCATATAAGCTGTTTGAAGGTGAGGGGCTTCAGTAAATTATGCCTATTTGGAGTTAATGCAGTACTGATTCCAGCAGATAGCAATGAAGGACTTCCTAATTCCTACACAAGGTTGAGAAACCCAGTATAAGCTCTTAAATCATAAAATGGTTTTTGTTCTGATCTAATATAAATAGTTTTGTTCTGATCTAACTTTTTTACAGTATCATTGTTCAGGTACAAGAAAAAAAATAAGGCCCTGGTCCTTCCCTTCTGAATGACATTTTTCCCTCTTTGACAATAAAAGATCTGAAATTCAAGTTTATTAATTCATTTGACAAAAATGTGTTCTGCTCTTGTCTGAGCAGGCTCAGAGGAGGCTGCTGTGGGAGGATATTGAGGACAACAGGACATGATGTCCCATCAGATAAAAACTGAAGAGTCTGGTTTATCCATGCAGATACATTCAAAAACAGTTCAACAACCAGATTTTCAAGATAATGGGTTTTTAACAAGACTTGCTTACTTTTGACTCTAAATCTGAAGACTTAACAAAATCATGAAGGTGACTGGATTATGCAATTCTCAGATCTGGCTGAGTTTTTTCAAAACCCTCATCCAGATATTTTGAATTACTAGACCAAAATAGGGGCTGAGATATATCTAGTTTTAATCTCCCCAGTGAATTTCATAAATGTGCTGTCAGGTTTGGGATCTTCTGATGATCTTTGATGTCTCTTCCAATACCAAGGGCCCTTGCTACTGTGAAACACCTTCCAGGGCAACAGAACCAACTCGTACTGGGCCGCTTATCTGCTCAGCTGAAGCCAGAGCGGAGAGTCATGAGAGTCATGAAAGCAGTATATTTGAAAATAAACATGGGCTTTTTATTCTGCACATAGATCTTGAAATGTATAATGTATACACATGTGTATACAAACATTAGTAATATATATCAACCAAAGGTGGTAATCAATATGAAGATTAGAAAATGCTATCGATGCCATTTCCAAAAGTGATCCACTATTTCAGTCTTTCAGAAACCAACATATGGAGCAAATTAATTTTTGAGGAAACACCAACATTTATCATTATCAAACAGAAATCAACATGACACATAATATTGTTCATCTGTTTCACTTGTAAGCCATGAGAACACTGAGAATTGGCATATATTCCATTTTCAGAGAGCCAATTTAAGTCCCAACCAGACAGCACAAAGCTCTGTAACTTACATGGAAATATTTATTAAAACAGTCAAGGGTAACACGCTTAAGGATGAAAGTAACCCTACAGATGATACCTTCTTGTCATCTGCTCATAGCCATATTCCCCTGGATCTGTGCTTGTCAATTCAAGATTGCTAAGTTCCAATAAGTTATTTGTTTGTTTTGATGGAAATACCTGGGATTCTTTTGATAGGGAGCTTGGGACTGTTTGTTTCAGAAATAAAAATAATAATGTACTACTATTAATTATTAGTAGATTTCTTTTTACATGTAAATCCTCAAAGAATCCACTTCAGGAATATGCTGTATTTATGTAGATTTTAGGGTAATAGTCTTCAGCTCTGATGTTCTCCTTCCAGTTCTTGTACCCATCTCTATCAGTACCATCAGTACCATTCTCTTTTTTTTCTTTTCTTTTTTTTTTTTTTTGAGACGGAGTCTCACTCTGTCACCCAGGCTGGAGTGCAGTGGCGTCATCTCAGCTCACTGCAACCTCCCCCTCCTGGGTTCAAGTGATTCTCCTGCCTCAGCCTCCCAAGTAGCTGGGACTACAGGCCTGCCACCACGCCCAGCTAATTTTTGTATTTTTAGTAGAGACAGGGTTTGACCATATTGGCCAGGCTAGTCTCGAACTCCTAACCTTGCGATCTGCCTGCCTCAGCCTCCCAAAGTGTTGGGATTACAGGCATGAGCCACCGCACCTGGCCAGTACCATTCTGTTGATATTTGCTCTATATTCTTAATTTGTGATAATTTATTTATTTTTGTTTTGTTGTTTTATGTGAGGCATTTCCTGGTAGACAACTGTTCACAGGCTGTGTCCTCTCCCCAGATTAAACAAAAGGGACTGTTAGATACAGAATCTTAGTTGAGATTGATGCTCAAAGATCTGAGGTGCCTTCCCTTAGGGGAAGGAGATATGAGAAATACATAGAGTCCATTTTGTCTGGGAACCCACCAACTGAGCATTTACCCGGCCCCTGAATTTATAACTGAGATAGGAGTATTTAGTCAATTTCATAGTCAGTGGTTATAATGTCAACATTGCGTCCTTGGCATGTGGAGTAAGGGGTGTCATGGTGGGGAAGGTCAGATTGAAGCCTCTGAAACTGCTCCCCTCAAATTAAAAAACGTTACATCATATACTAAGGGCAGAGGGATGGCAAAAGTCAATGCTACCCTTAAGGATCTAAAGGATTCAGGGGTGGTAGTCTTTGTGTTATCTTCATTTAATTTTCCAGTGTGGTCCCTGAAGAAACCAGATGGATTCTAGAATAGACTATTGAAAACACAATCATGTAGTAGCCCCAGTTGCATCTGCTGTGCCAGGCATGGTGTTTTTCTAGAGCAGATTAATACAGCCTCAGGTACAAAGGTATGCAGCCACTGACTTGTAAAATATGTTTTTTTTTTCTATTCTAGTCAGAAAAGTGTGTCAAAAATAGTTTGCAGTCACATGAAACAGGCAGCACTATACTTTTACAATTTGCCCCAGAGCTGCGTTAACTCCCGTGTTTCTGGCTGGAATATATTACAAAGACATCTGGACCACCTGGACATCCAACAGAGAATCACAGTGACGCATTGCATACATGTCATTATGCTAATTTATCCGGATGAGTAAGAAGTCTAGCAGGCTGGAGGTCTTAGTAAGACTCATGCACTAAAGAGAGTTGAAGATAAGACTTATGAAGATTCAAAGGGCTACATCAGAAAACATTTGGGGGTCCAGTGGTGAGGGGCATGCCAGTAGATCTTCAAATAAAAGACAAGTTATTGCATCTCACACCTTCTATCCTGAAGTAAGGAGCTCAATGCCCTAAAGTTCTGAATGTGGAATATTCCACACCTGAAAATACTCCTCTAGCCTATCTACCAGGTGACACAAAAGGCTGCTGAACTTGAGTGAGGCCAGGGGAAGAAGAAAGCTCTGCAAGAGCTCCAGGCTGTGGCGGTGCAAGTAGCCCTGACACTTGGGCCTTCAGCCAGAAATCCTTATAGTGTTCAAGATTCTAGTAGCGAGAAAGATGCTATGTGTAATGTGTGGTAAGCTCCAGTGAAGAATGACAGTAAAGCACTGAGGGTCTGGAGCTGGGCCGGGCCATATGCAGTGAATTATTAGACACCTTTTGAAAAACAACTCCTGCTTTGTTCTTGAACTCCAGAAGAGAAGTATTTCTTGGCCATGGGACACCAAGCACCCATGCATCCAAAACGTATCAGCATGAACTTGATCCTATCAGACCTACCAAATCATAATGTCCAGTGCGCCCAGCAGCAATTCATCAAAAGATAAAAATAAACAAGATCAGAGGGCCATTAAAAGTGAACAAGGCTGGGCGCAGTGGCTCATGCCTATAATCTCAACACTTTGGGAGGCCGAGGTGGGAGGATCACTTGAGGTCAGGAGTTCAAGACCAATTTGGCCAATATGGTGAAACCCCATCTCTACTAAAAATACAAAAATTAGCTGGGCATGATGGCACATGCCTGTAGTCCCAGCTACTTGGGAGGCTGAGGCAGGAGAATCACTTGAACCTGGGAGGCGGAGGCTGCAGTGAGCTGAAATGGCACCACAGCACTCCAGCCTGGGTGACAGAGCAAGACTCTGGCTCAAAAAAATAAAGGAAAGGAAATGAACAAGATCAGAGGCCCTAAGCAGGTGCTTGAACAGGTAGCTCAGACACCCTTGTCAAGCACCATGCCATTTCAGCTCAAACCTACAGCCATGTGGGTAATCACTTAGGTGCAGCTGACAGTAGGTTGGTTCAGTAGGTGGTACAAGATGAAAGTGGATAGTAGCTCTGTTGTAGCCTCACTCATATAAGTCCTCGAAAGAACAGTTTCAGATATTCTGGATGTCATCAGAACCAGAAAATAATCTGGCCCATGGAAGTTCGACACTGGCCACACCTGACCCACATTGAAATGATTTATTTTTCAAGTGACTGAGAACCACAATCATTGTCACAGGTGTTCATTATCCAGCAGATGCTATCTTTTTTATATTAACTGGCAACCTGGAAGCCAGGCAGCTGAGCTACCCTCAAGCTAATAGCAATTGATGTTTTTCAGAATCCCAAATCTCTTCAGTTTCTAATATTATCATCTTTATCTGCTGAGGGTATAAGGCTTTTATGTTGGTTCACTGCCCATCAAAAACAAAATGAGTTTTGCCAGAAGCCCACAGGCAGCCTAGGATGCACACACATCCCTAGCAATTCACAGGAACAAATGCAAAGCCTCTTCCCATGTTAATTACATTAAGATGAAGAAGATCTAGCTGCCACTTAAAACAAGAAACTCAAAAAGGAACCTGAAAAGTGGTAAACAAAGAGACTTTATTCGTTTTGTAAAACGTATTCAGAAAAGGAATTACATTTTAGATAGAAGAAAATAAATGCATAGTCATTTCAATTACACCATTTTTAGGAAACCAGCCCAACACCTACTTTTATACCATCTAACCAACTTCATTAGGTTTCTGGTTATAACTTTATTTTGCTGCCACCTTTTTGGAATAATCACTTTTCAAACAGAATCATACTGGCATGTAACACGCTGCTTTGTGACATGGCCCTTACTCCGCTGCAGCACTTTGTGCCAAGTCTGACATGTGCTGCTTCTCCTGGCTAACTCATCTTATCTGAACCTGACAGAAACTGAACAAAACCTTTCTGTTTCCTGTCCAGGAAGCGGTGCACACCACAAGGCCAAATCATTCTGCTTTCTTAATCCTGCCTTCACTTAGCATATGGTAAGAAACAAGACAGCTTTACTGAACTGACTCTGAGCAAAATTGTCAACCAGTTCGAGAGAAATTTATAGCTGAATAGAATCATGGAATTCACCCAGAATAATCCTTATATTTTGCAAATTGATAGCCTGATTCTTAAGGAATGGATAAGACTTCTTCTGCAAGGCTACTCAGCCACAGAGTAGAAAATACCAGAAGGAGTGTCATTATAGCAATGCATTCGGCCAAAAAGAAGTCATCAGCTGAATAAGCCAGATTGCCCTAGAAATCCACCCTCCCAATTACTGCATCCCACACAGCCTTACTTTTTTTCTCTTGTCACTGACTCTCTGCTCTATCTTTGCATCTCCCTAGCTGGTTCCAGTTGTTTCTTCTGGCATGTGGTATCAGTTAGGGTCTGGTTAAGAGAAAAGCAATCATGCTAGTATTTTAAAAAGGGGGTATTTAATTCAGCGATTTGGCTGTACTGTTGGTAGAATGCTGAAAGAGCAAAAAACAGCACACCAAAATAACCCAAAGATTAGAAAATGCAGGAAGCAGCTACAACCCCATGTGAGGGAATGATAAGAAAACAAATGGTGTCACCAGAGTCTCAGAGAAGAGCTCCTCATGAGGCAGGAGCGCCAGCAGCCATGGCTCCAGCTTTCAGCTGGCAGCTCATGGCTGGTGCCTACATCTATAAAGAAATTGCCACTTGGTTGTTGCTGGACAAATCATTCCAATAGGAGGTATATACTACTGTTAAAGAAAATAGATTGTGAAAAGAAACCATTTTATAGCATGTATGGAGGAAAAGATAACTGTTTTCTCCTTCTATACTCTCAACATTCAACACAGACCATTTCTGGTCATCAAAATATGTGGGTTTTTCCCAAAGCAAGCAATTCTCCAACACCTGCTGAGTGTCCTACAATTCAATCCAATTCTGACACTAACCAGAATTAGTGCAGACCCTACAGCTTAAAGGCTTAGTTACATAAGACTGCATCCCAAGGTCAGATGCAAATTGCAACTAGTAGGTTCTCAGGTTACCCACAATTTCTGTCCAACTTGCCTAAAAATCAAAGGTTCCCACGGTCCCCTTCTCAGGTTCAGTCATTTCTGGAGCAGCTCACAGAGCTCAGGAAAGCACTTTACTTAAATCACCCCCATTATAAGAAGACACAACTCAGGAACAACCACATGGAAGAGACATGTACTACCAAGTATGAGGGAAGGGGTGCGGAGCTTCCAAGCCATCCCCAGCTTACCACCCTCCACGTGTTCAGCAACCCAGAAGCTCTCTGAACCCATCCTTTTGGGTTTTTACAGAAGCTTCATTACGTAGGTATGATTGATTAAATCATCGGTCATTGGTGATCAACTCAACCTTCAGCCCTTTCCCCTTCCCCAGATGTTGGGATAGGGGTAGAGGCTGCTGAAAGTGCCAACTATCTCACCACATGGTTGATTCCCCTGGCAACCAGCCCTCCATCCTGAGGCTATCTAGAAGCCTCCAGGCAACGGTCATCTCAATAACATACAAAAAGAGACTTATCAATTAAGAGATCCCAAGGGCTTTAGGAGTTATGTGCTAGGAAAAGAGACAAAGACCAAATATATATTTCTTATTATAAATCACAATATTGTGTAGCAACTGAAAGTCTTGTTATGCTAATAAAAGATCATTTTATGTGTTCATTAAAGCCAGACTCTTAAGGATATATATTAAACAAAATTTTGTAGCCTGGTTCGAATTATCACATGTGATTAAAAGTAATTTTCTGGCTCAGCACAGTGGCTCATGCCTGTAAATCCAGCACTTTGGGAGGCCTCAGTGGGTGGATCACATGAGGCCAGGAGTTCGAGACCAGCCTGGCCAACATGGCAAAACCTCATCTCTACTAAAAATACAAAAATTAGCAGGGTGTGGTGGTGCACGCCTGCAATCCTAGATACTTAGGAGGCTGAGGCACGAGAGTCGCTTGAACCCCGAAAGTGGAGGTTGCAGTGAGCTGAGATTGTGCCACTGCACTGAAGCCTGGGCAACAGAGAAAGACTCTGTCTCAAAAAATAAATAAATAAAATAAATAAAATAAAAGTAATTTTCTTTAAAAAAAATAGTTCTTTAAAAATATTTTGTAATTAAGACTGCTCACTGAGTGAGATTGGACTTTTTTCAATCCCAACTTGTTTGAATTATTCAGGTTCTAGCCAAGAGCAATAAATCAAAACCACTATATTTATATTTACTGTGTTTGGCATCATCCACCATAAATATATAGTAATTTGACTTATAATTGCTTTTGTCATTGCCTCAAGTTTTACTAACAGTAATCATTGCTACTATTTATTGAGTCAATTATGAACCAACTAAGTTATAAAAATCTCATTTAATCATGACAACTTTTCCATGAAGTATCATTATTCCCATTTTGAGATGAAGAAGCAGTTCCAAACATTTCCGTGACTTAAATTCACAGATTTTTTTTTCAGGGGTTACTGTATAATTTGTAATATTTATCTCTGTCCTTTGTGCTATTAGAGAGACAAAAATGAATTATATAAACAAATAATCCAAAAAACCCATAGCAATAAAAACTATCCAAAATGGAGCATAGGAAACATTTTTATTATAGGTGTAGCATCTGCATCTGCTAATTCCATCATCTCAGTAGTTTCTGCATCTGTTTCTATTGATTGAATTTTCTCCTGGTTATAGCTTTTATTTTTCTGCTTGTTTGCATGCCTGCTGTTACAGGTTGAATTTTGTCCCCCAGAAAAATATGTGTTGAAGTCCTAACCCCTGATACCTCAGAATGTGAACTTATTTTGAAATAGGTTTGTTGCAATCCTATTTAGCTGCAAGCTAAGGAACTCCAAGGATTGATGGCCACCAGCAGAGGCTAGGAAGTGGCAAGGAAGGATTTTACACAGAGTATCAGGGAGCATGGCCCTGCGGACACCTTGATTTCACACTTCTGGCCTCCAGAACTGTAAGATAAATTTCTGTGGTTTTTAAGCAACCCATTTTGTGGTACTTTGTTACAACAGCCCCAGGAAATAAATATACCTGTCCATTTGGGTTGGATGTTGCACATTGTAAATTTTGTGTTTTGGGGTGCTGGATTTTGTCATATTCCATTAAGGAGTATTGGACTTTGTTCTAGCATGCAGAACATGTTACTTAGAATTGTTACTTAGAAACAGTTTTCTCCTTTTGAAACTTGCTTTTAAATTTCATCAGGATGGGTCATAACAACTGTCTAGGGTGAGTTTAGCCCTGCTACTAAGGTAAACACCTTTCTTTGAGTTCTGCTCTAGGCCCAGATCTTACAGGTTTCCCCCACTCTGGCTAACAGGAATATGAACTATTTCCAGCCCAAAGTGAGCTCCAGAAATCTTTTGCTTTCTGAGGGTCTTTTTCTGGCCTTGAGTAGTTTCTTCTCACCCCTCCATAGACCAGTACTCAGCCAAAGACTAGAGAAGACCTGTGTGCACTTCTTGGGAACTCTCCATATAGCTCCTTCTTCTCTGGAATTCTGTCCAGCAAATTCTAAGAACCTATTCTCCCAGAATTCCAATTTCCATCTCTTCAACTCCACAAGACTTCTGGAATCTGTTTTGGTCTCCCTCTTAGCACTGTAGCCTGAAGTAGCCTTTATATGATAAGCTAGGTCAGTTGCGGGACTCATCTTACTGATTGTTTTAGTCTTACAAATCACGGTCCTTCACTGCCTCTTATCCAATGCCTGGAAAGCTTCGTTGCATGTATTCTGCAGGGCTTTTCTTTTTTTTAATGTTGGAAAATAAATGAATCCAGTTCCTGTTATATCATCAAAGGTGGAAGGAAAGTATGTTGTTTATTTTTTCAGTAAACAAGAATATGATGTTTTGAAAAGTTACATTTTTTTTCCTTCTTTGTATCTGGAGGGCACACCTTTCTACTCTACGGTAATGTGTAATATATAATGTGTCCTTTTGGTACCAATAGATTTGCTGTCAAGCCTCCAAGAAAGAGAAATCTAAAAACTGAAACAGAGCCTGGCAGATCAGACCCAAGGAACCCCAATCTCAATAAACATCTTGTGTCATTGATGACTATTAGATGCAAACTGGTTACAGAAACCACATTCTGCTTTTTAAGTGATTTCATCAGCCAAGCAGAATGACAGGCTTCCAAACTAGTCAAGAAGTACAAACCTTGTGATTCCCATCTTTGAAACAACCTTGGCTTTCTCAGTGCCATGGTGGGCCCTGGGGCAGGATTTGGGAGAGTGAAAACAGAGAGTATTCAGATGACAATTCAAAGCAGATTTCTTGTGTGATGTGGTGTGTGGTGTGATAATTAGAAACCAGGAAATTCACTTAAGAGTAAATTGGGGAAAAGCACCACTCTCTACTAAACACATGCTAAATTTTATAACTTTATAAACTTTATAAACATGCCAAACTTTATAAACATGCATGCCAAACTCTAAAAGCTGAGATTTTAATAGCAATTTATAAATTACAAAACATTACCACATGTATTTATTTTCTTCAAACCATCCACAGTCTTCTATTTCTCAGCTGATGATAATTCTATTTTCCATATGCTCAAGCCAAAAGCCTTGGGTTCATCATTGGCTCCTCTTTCTCTCTTACACACCCTTCCTATCCAATCCATCAGCAAATCAAGTAAGGTCTAACTATAAAATAGAAGTAGATGCAACCAGTCCTCAACACCCCCACTGATCTGAGTGACTGTCATCTCTCCCTTGAATTCCTTCAATAGCCTCCTAACTACTGATCCTCCTTCTAATCCAGCTCTCCATGATTAGTCTCAATATAACAATGAGAATGGTCCTAATATAAGTCAGATCATATCACTCCTCCACTCTGAACACTGCAGTGGCTCCCAATTTCTCTCAGAGGAAAAGACAAAGTTCTTATAATAGCCTATAAGACACTACAAGGGCCAACTACCCTTTCCTCAAACTTGATTTTCCTTGCTATGATCTACCTTTTTTAAATTCTATAAATACTCTCACTCTCTACCATTACACCATGTAATTTGGTTATTTCAAACTGCAATCTAGTCTAGCAAGCCAGCAGCATTGCTTGGTAAGATGTTGATACACATTCTCTCAATTAATGCATGTGGCAAGAACAAGTATACCCACTGGTGCTAACTAACCTTAGCCTATATGGTCATGTACAACTCTTGTTTTTGGTGGATAGCAATAATCTATGGAGCAATTTGAGGTTAGTTAGGGTGAGCTACAGCCCCACACTCTTATAACAAAAGCAAAGCTGACATGCATACAGATATGTGTCGACCAAACATTAGTAAGCAGCCAAAAACAGCTCTCATAAAATGTGTGAAGCTTCAAAGAGTTCCAACTGCCTGGATCTCTTTTAGGTTTCCTGAGAAGTTCACTTGAGGTGGACAAAACAACATTCCAGAGGCAAGATTCTATTAGTTTTGCAAACAGCATCAAGCAACCAGGATCCTCTTAAACCAATGGGACAAGGGATCATTTACAGATTGAGCGTAGGGTGTCTTCCCTAAGGACATAGGCTACAGGCTTCCTCAGGTTTTGTACCTTGTTCATGCAAGGGAAAGGGTGCAGCCAATCTCTATATCTGTACTATTTACATTTCACAAAAGAGAAGCCATTTCTGACATTCATTATATAGTCAACAGGTCCCCATTTTAATCAATAATAACACAGTTCTGACATTCAGTTTCCTAATTACCATAGTCTTGGTTTGATCAAGAAACAATAACAAAGCTTATGGTAACATCTGGCATGGGACTACTATATTCTAGTAACTGATTACCCCTGTGGTGTGAATTCTTCACTAGCGCAAATCTCTGCCCCTAGATTTAAAGTTTGAAGTAACTAGTACACACCAATTTAACAATATCTGCAGGGAATATATTAGATTAGAGATCTTGCAGCACATAGCAGTGAGTTAACAGACACCTTGACAAAAAGTATAGTGCCTCCTGTGTTCACTAGGACAAGCATCAAGGCAGAGTAATTTTTTAAAAGAATTTTCTTTTTCTCTTTTTTTTCTTTTTACAGCCACACTATTGATCAATTCCTGGCATCACATAACATGCATGTGGTAGACATCGGAAATCCAATCATGAAGAATTGGAAGGACAGGAATGTCATATCAAAATTTCATAAGTGTGAGTAGTGCCCATCTCCCCACCAAAAACTTTATCTCTGTGGGCAAAAGTGAAGAAAAAGAAAATGGCCTCTTTACAAAATCAGAAAATTTCTGAGCTAGAACATGTAGAGTAGGGGCAATCAGAATCTCATATGTCAATTACTGTTATACTTTTTAAATGCCTTTTTCCCTTGGTGTTTTATAACTTGAATGATTCTGTTGTAAATGTAGAATAATTAACTTTTCTGTTTAAAAAAGTAGGCCGGGCACAGTGGCTCACGCCTGTAATCCCAGCACTTTGGGAGTCCAAGGCGGGCAGATCACCTAAAGTCAGGAGTTCGAGAACAGCCTGGCTAACATGGCAAAATCCCATCTCTAGTAAAAATACAGAAATTAGCCGGGCATGGTGGTGTGTGCCTGTAGTCCCAGAGACTCAGGAGGCTGGGGCAGGAGAATCACATGAGCCTAGGAGGTGGAGGTTGCAGTGAGCCAAGATCGTGCCCTTGCATTCCAGCCTGGGTGACAGAGCAAGACTCCATCTCAAAAAATAAAATAAAGTAAAATAAAAATAAAAAGCAATAATATGTACCTCATAAATATATACAACTATGTACCACAAAAGTTAAAAATAAAAAATTTAAAAGAAAAAAGCAATGTTTGTAGTAAAAATACTAGATTAAAAATATTCTTTTCATGTTTTTTCATTTTTCATTTTTATGTTTTCATTGTTTCATTTTTATGTTTGCTAAAATGTCTGAGCAAATAGAAACATCAGATAAGTTAGATGTGTATTTCACTGCAAAAATTATTCATTGTATTGAGTCAACAATATTCCCCACAGAAAATTCTGCCAAGCACTATCAATTTTAAAAATATTGTTCTATCAAGCCATGCATTATCCAGGAAGAGTTGTAAAAAGATAAAATCTTTCTCGATTTTTTATTGGGTTTTGCCAAGCCATATTTCTAATGTCTATGTCCTTCAGATCACAAGCTCTCTAAAGTAAGCTATTTTTCTAAAGATGTTGAATTGTGTTATAGAAAAGCTATCGGGTTTTTCCAAATTTTTAGTTACTGATGAACAAAAACAAAAGATATATTGATTCTGGCATGGCAAAAGTGGGGTTTTTGTTGTTTTTTTTTTTTTTTTTTAAATGCTGCTGTTCTTGGAGAAGGTAAGATTTTGGCTGGGCCTGAGAGGGTTACTAGTATCTGGCTCACGGGAGAGAGGCAGTAGCCATTTCTAGTGAGAGCCAAGCAAAAGTTTGTCATGGAGACCAGAAGGAACTTTGTTAGAAGTGAGAGAGAGGGTAGAGGAGGAGGGTGAGGAGGAGGAGGGGCTACCAATGAGGCCGCTGAGGAAAATCAACTTGGCTAAACAAAGGTGGACAAGCTAAGAAGCAAAGTTATTTAGGGCATGAACAAAGCAGGCGTACTAAAAAAGGAGAAATCTTAAAACTGCTAAATTTAGCTGGGTTTTTGCCAACCAAAATTCTATAAAGGGGCTATTTTCATGTCAACGCAGATATAACTTACATCTTTTATGTATGAGTGATGTTTTTATTTTGAATTATATAAGGTGAGGAGTGAGGGGTTTGTTACAATGTCATCTCCTTAGTCCCCAGAGCCACCAAAGGTATTATGTGGGCTCTATATGGGACTCCAGAGAATAAACCTTATAAAGGTAATATGAAAAAATGCACTGACATGGCAGGAGAAAGAAAACAGAGTCTTGCAAAGATTTAATTGGGCAATGCTGTACAAGGTGAAGGGAGCACAGTGAGAATCAGCATCCAGGTGTGAAGCGGGGGGGAACTGCCAAAAACAACACCTCAGGGATATGTTGAAAAGTATTTTATTTTTCATTACAAAAACACAGTGTGGAAAGTAACATAATTCACTTTCCATTCTATTTTTGTATGGTAAAATTATCATATTTATGGAAGTTAATTGTGACTAAATCTGTTAATATTGTTTGTTAGATATTATACCTATAATAACATCAAATCTTATAAAACATGCCAATCTATCTATCTGTTGAAAGAGATGCTGATTAAATTACTGAAATTACCAATATCAATGTGTCTTTTTTAATAGCTTTGAGATATAGTTCACATACCATCCAATTCATTCATTTTTAAAATTAAAAAATAATAATTTTAATTTTATTTTTCACAGCTTTATTGAAGTATAATTACCAAATAAAAATTGTAATGTTTAAGACCTAAAACCATAAAAACCCTAGAAGAAAACCTAGGCAATACCATTCAGGACATAGGCATAGGAAAAGACTTCATGACTAAAACACCAAAAGCAATGACAACAAAAGCCAGAATTGACAAATGAGATCTAATTAAACTAAAGAGCTTCTGCACAACAAAAGAAACTATCATTAGAGTGAACAGGCAATCTACAGAATAGGAGAAAATTTTTGCAATCTACCCATCTGACAAAGGGCTAATATTCAGAATCTACAAAGAACTTAAACAAATTTACAAGAAAAAAACAAGCAACCCCATCAAAAAGTGGGTGAAGAATATAAGCAGACACTTCTGCAAGAAGACATTTATGCAGCCAACAAACATATGAAAAAAAGCTCATCATCACCGGTCATTAGAGAAATGCAAATCAAAACCACAATGAGATACTATCTCATGCCAGTTAGAATGGCGATCTTTAAAAAGTCAGGAAACAATAGATGCTGGAAAGGATGTGGAGAAATAGGAACGCTTTTACACTATTGATGGGAGTGTAAATTAGTTCAACCACTGTGGAAGACAGTGTGGAAATTCCTAAAGGATCTAGAACCAGAAATACCATTTGACGCAGCAATCCCATTACTGGGTATATACCCAAAGGATTACAAATCATTCTACTATAAAGACAGATGCACACATATGTTTATTGCAGCACTGTTCACAATAGCAAAGACTTGGAACCATCCCAAATGCCCATCAGTGATAGACTAGATATGGAGAAATAGGAACACTTTTACACTGTTGGTGGGAGTGTAAATTAGTTCAACCATTGTGGAAGACAGTGTGGTGATTCCTCAAGGATCTAGAACTAGAAATACCATTTGGCCCAGCAATCCTATTACTGGGTATATACCCAAAAAATTATAAATCATTCTACTACAAAGACACATGCACACATATGTTTATTGCAGCACTGTTCACAATAGCAAAGTTTTGGAACCAACCCAAATGCCCATCAATGATAGACTGGATAAGGAAAATGTGGCACATATACACCATGGAATACTATGCAGCCATAAAAAATGATGAGTTCATGTCCTTTGCAGGGACATGGATGAAGCTGGAAACCATCATTCTCAGAAAACTAACACAGGAACAGAAAACCAAACACTGCATGTTCTCACTCATAAGTGGGAGTTGAACAATGAGAACATGTGGACAAAGGGAGGGGAACATCACACACCAGGGCCTGTCAGAGGATGGGGGGCTAGGGGAGGGATAGCATTAGGAGAAATACCTAATGTAGATGACAGGTTGATTGGTGCAGCAAACCACCATGGCACGTGTATACATATGTAACAAAGCTGCACGTTCTGCACATGTATCCCAGAACTTAAAGTATAATAAAAAAAAATTTTTAACATAAACATTTAAAGTGTCCAGCATGATGACTTGATATATGTATATATTATGAAATGATTACCACAGCCAAGCTAATTAATATACTTATCACCTCGCATGGTGACATTTCTTTGTGTGTGTGGTGAGAACACTTAAGAGCTACTATCTTAGCAAATTTCAATTATACAATGCAGCATTATTAACTGTGGCCGCTGTGCTGTATGTTAGACCCTGAACTTATTCATCATATAACTGAAAGTTTGCACTCTTTCACCAACATCTTCCCACTTCCTTGCCACCCCCACATTCCTCAGCCCCTGGTAACCTCCATCCTACTCTCTGCTTCTGTGAGTTCAACTTTTTAGATTCCACATATAAATGAGATAATGCAGGATTTTATTTTCGGTGTCATGTCTGGCTTATTTCACTTAGCAAAATGTTCTCCAGGTTTATCCATGCTGTTGCAAATGGCCAATTTCCTTCTTTTTATGGTTAATACCCCATTGTATATGCATATGCCACATATTCTTTACTCATTCATCTGTTGGTGGACACAAGTTGTTTCCATATCTTGGCTATTGCGAATAAAACTGCAATGAACATGGGAGTGTGATTATCTAGTCAAAATACTGATTTCATTTCCTTTGGATATATACCCAGAAGTAGATGGCTGGATTATACGGTAGTTTTATTTTTAATTTTTTGAGCAACCTCCATACTGTTTACCATAATAGCTGTACTAATTTACATTCCCACCAATAGCATATAAGGGTCTTTTCTCCACATTCCCCCCAACACTTGCTATTCTTTTTCTTTTTGACAATAGCATCCTAATAGGTATGAAGCGACTGCTCATTGTGGATAGGTTTGCATTCTCCTGATCATCAGTGATGTTGAGCACCTTTCATATACCTGTTGGCCATTCATATGTTTTCTTTTGAGAAATGTCTATACAGGTCTTCAGTCCATTTTCAAATCAGTTTATTTTGTTTTTTGCTATTGAGTTGTTTTAGTTCCTTATATATTTGGAGTATTAATTCCTTATCATATATACAGTTTGCAGATATTTTCTCCCGTTCTGTAAGTTACTTTTTGGTTGATTTTTTTATGACACTATTTTTGGATAGAAGTGTAGGTAAAATATAAATCATGCATTTTTCCTTATACAGAAATCTACTCTTTTTTCAAAACTAATACATACAGATGGTTTCAGAATCATCCATACCTAAAATATATTGAACAATTTATTATACATGAAGCATACAGTTTCACAGCAAGAAAGCATTTTAGATCATGCATTTCAACCTACCCACTTTACACATAAGAAAAGAAAGGCCAGAAATGGGAAGTCACTCAACACGGAACCCATCTCTCCAAACAGTGTTCTTTGTGCAAAAATAAATTCCATTCACATTTTAGGACATTTCAGTGTGTTCTTGTTTTCTGCCATCACTGCAATTAATTAATGTGATAGGAGATTGTGGTTTCTAATGTCCTGTTCAACATTAATGTTAAATGTTTAAGCTGCTTTAGCTTTTGGGGTACAATACAGAAAACTGTTTCCAGATATTCTATCTTGGATAAACCTGGTTATATATTTTACATAACCCATAAAGTTGGAAAATATGGTTACCTGATTATAAAACTTCAATGCACGAATATAAGTTCTTCACCTAGGCCCCAGACCCATGGAAAAGAGCTAACTCCACAAGATGCATCTGCGGAGGGAATTGGCAGCTCTAATAGTCTCCAGCAATGTTCTGCCTGGCAAGAGGTTTCCATTCATCCTAAGAGGATGAATGGCCTAAAGCCAGCACTGATCATACAGCATGAAAAAAAAATAACCAGAATATAGTTTCAAATTCTGTAAGGCATTTTAAATTATTGGCTAACGCTGCATTATAATTATCCTTGTCACTTTCCTACTTTATTCAGAATAGGATTTTGTGTTAGAATTTTGGAAGAAAATACAGGGGAAAAAAATCTGTAATTACACATTTTCCTGACTCCTAAAAGTTCTCATTACTTTTTAAATTCAGATCCTCTGCCCATTTTTAAAAGAGTTATTTGAGGTATTTTTAATTGGGTTGTTTGAGTTATCTTTATATTTTGGATATTAACACATGTCTAGTTAATTTTGTGCTGCTCCAACAGAATACTACAAACTAAACAATTTATAATGAAGAGAAATTTATTTACTAATGGTTCTGGAGCCTGGGAAGTCCAAGATTGAGGAGCCAGCATATAATGAGGCCCTTCTTGCTACATCATCCAATGGCAGAAAAAAAAAGAGAGGTGGGGAGAGAGAGAGAGAGAGAGAGAGAGAGAGAGAGAGAGAGAGGGAATGGGGGTCGAAGTCATTCTTTTATAAAGAACTCACTCCCACAGTAACAAACCCACTCCTACAACAATGGCATTAATCCATTAATGAGGGCAGAGCCCTCATAGCCTAATCATTTCTCATTTCGCCTTACCTCTGAACACTGTTGCATTGGGGATTAAGTTTTCAATACGTTGGGGACACATTCAAATCATAGCATTCTTTCCCACTCCCCCAACATTCATATCTTTCTCACATGCATTCATATCTTTCTCACATGCAAAATATATTTAGCTTATCCCAATAGCTCCAAAGTCTTAGTTCCATTACCAACTCAAAAGTTCAAACTCTAGAGTCTCATCTAAATCAGATATGGGTGAGACTCAGGGCATGATTCATCCTGAGATAAATTCCTCTCCAGCAGTGAGCCTGTGAAATTAAAGTTATCTACTTCTAAACACAATGGTGAGAAGGTATAGGATATGCATTCCCATCCCAAAAAGGAGAAATAGGCAAGAAAAAAAGATAATTGGTCCCTAGTATGTCCAAAACTCAACAAGGTGAACAATATTAAATCTTAAGGCTCCAGAATGATCTCCTTTGATCCATGTCCCACCTTCTGGGCACCTTGTGGCAGGTGTTGGGCCCCAAAGGCCTTGCAGAGCCCTGCTCTCATGGCTTTTTTGGTGTCCATTCTCATGGGTTGGAGTCCCATGCCTACTGCTCCCCCAGGCTGGCATTTCACTCTTGTAGCTCTACAGTTCTGGGGCCTCAGGGGTGGTCCCAGCTGTACCACTCCACTAGGCATTGCCATAGTGGGAACTTGCTGTGGTGGTTCCACCCCTATGTCCCCGAGGCTCTCTGAGACATTCTTAGAAATCTAGGTGGAGGCTACCCTGGCTCCACAACTTGTGTATTCTGCAGACTCTGCAGAGTCAACACCACATGGACATTGCCACAGCATGTGGCTTGTGCCCTCTGGAGTGGTGGTGTGAGCCACACCTGGGCCTCCTTGAGCCATGGCTAGGGTCACCAAGGGGTGCTTCACTAGAATACAGAGAGCAAAGCCTCAATGTAGCCCTGGGTAGCAAGCCCCTTCTGTCTTCAAGGCCCTAACCTTCTGAGCCTGTGATTAGAAGGGCAGCCTCAAAGATCTCTGAAATTCCCCAGAGTCATTCTCCCACTGTCCTGATGAAAACATTCGAACCACAGCAACCCTTTATCAAATATATGATTGACAAATATTCTCTCCCATTCAGTAGGTGCCTATTCATTTTGCTGATTGTTTCCTTGGCTGTGCAGAAGCTTGTTAGTTTGATGTAGTCCCAATTGCTTATTTTTGCTTTACTTACATGTGCTTTTGGTGTCATATTCAAAAAGATTATCAATATCAATGTCAAAGAGCTTTTTCCCTATGTTTTCTTCTCAAAGTTTTATAGTTTCAGGTTTTACATTTAAGTTTTTAATCTATTTTGGGTTAATTTTTTATATGGTATAAGATAAGGATCCAATATCATGCTTTTACATGTGTGTGATATTTGCTTTATATAGTTAGATGCTTTCCAATGTTAAGTGCATATATTTTTACAATTTTTATATTCTCTTGATGAATCTGTCCCTTGTATCATTACATAATGACCTTCTTTATCTCCTGTGACAGATTTTGAATAAAAGTCTATTTTGTCTGATATAAGTTTAGCCACCTTAACTCTCTTTTTGTTGCCATTTGCATGAAATATCTTTTGCTGTCTCTTCACTTTTATCTTATTTGTGTCCTTAAAGTTAAAGTGAGTCTCTTACAGTTGACATATATTGGTAGATCTTATTTTTTTTAAAATCCATTCAGCTACTCTGTCTTTTTTGATTTGAGAACTTAATGCATTTACATTTAAAATAATTATTAATAGGTAAGTAATTCCTATTACCATCTTTTTCTGACTTTTTTTTGTACTACCTTTGTTTCCTTCTTCCTTTCTTGCTGTTTTCCTGTCTGATTTGTGGATATTTTTTGTAGTAGTATGCTTTAATTTCTTTCTCTTTCTCTTTTCTGTATCTACTACATGTTTTTTTCTTTGTCATTACCAAGAGGCTTACATAAAATATCTTATAGTCATAACAGTTTATTTTAAGCTAATAATTACTCCAGTTCAGTTGCCTATAAAAATTCTACACACTTACTTCTTCTATGCACACATTTTGTGCATAGACACATTTTGATGTCACACTTTAAATCTTTTTATATTAAGTATTCATTAACAAACTATTGTAGCAATAGTTATTTTTAAAACGTTTTAAATTTTTATACTAGAGTTAAAAGTGACTCATGTATCAACATTACAGTATTAGAGTATGTAACAACAATACATTTAAGTTTAACAGAGAGTTTTTAACTTTCATATATTTTCATTGCTGTTATTTAACATTCTTTTGTTTTGACTTAAAGATGTTCCTTTGTCATTTTGTATAAGGCAGGCCTAGTGGTGATGAACCCCCTACAAACAACAAATGTTTATTTGTCACAGTTTTGGAGTCTCAGAAGTCCAAGAGCAAAGCCCTGGCAGACTCAGTGTCTAGTGAGCTCCTTATTCTTGGTTCATAGACGGCACCTTCTTGCCATCTATGAATGGAGAAAGGGATGAATGGAGAGGGATGGAGAAAGGGATGAATGATCTCTCTTGGGCCTCTTTTATAAAGACACTAACCCCATTCATGAGAGCTCTGCCCTGATGACCTAATCAGTTCCTAAATACCCCACCTCCTAATGCAATTATCTGGGGGTTAGGATTTCAACATATTAATCGGTGGGGGGGGGGGACACATTCAGATTATACAGACTATTAAAAATAATGCTGTAATAAACATTCATGCACAAGTTTTTCTGTGGACATATGTTTCCATTTCTCTTGGGTATATACCTAGGAGTAGAATTTCTGGGTCATATTGTAACTCTGTATTTAATCATTTGAGAAAGTACCAGACTGTTTTCCAAAATGGCTGCACCATTCTACAGTCCCACCAACAGTATATGCAAGTTCTGATCTCTCCACATCCTCACCAATGCTTGTTATTATTTGACTTTTTAATTTTAGTTATCCATAGCTATGAAGTACTGTCTCTTGGTTTTTTATTTGCATTTTCCTAATGGCTAATTATGTCAAGCATCTTTTCATGTGCTTATTCACCATTTATATATCTTCCTTGGAGAAATGTCTATTCAGATTCTTTGTCCATTTTTAATTGGATTATTCAATTTTTCATTATTGAG
Source organism: Homo sapiens (assembly GCF_000001405.40). Classification (NCBI taxonomy): domain Eukaryota; kingdom Metazoa; phylum Chordata; class Mammalia; order Primates; family Hominidae; genus Homo; species Homo sapiens. Next base: position 155,350,441 of record NC_000003.12, read on the forward strand.
TTTTACAAGTTCTTTATATATTGTGGATACCTAACCCTTATGAGATATATGACTTGCAATCTTGGAAGTATTTTCTCTCATTCTGTGGGTTTCCATTTCACTTTCTTGATGGTGACCTTTGAAACACAAAAGTTTTAAATTTTGATGAAGTCCTATTTATCTATTTTTTCCTTGATTGCCTGTGTTTTTGGTGTCAGATTTAAGAATCCTTTGCCAAATCCAAGGTCATGAAGGTCTTCTTCTAAGAGTTTTATAGTGTTAGCATTTATATTTTGGTGTTTGATTCATTGTGAGTCAATTTTGTGTATGGTATGAGGTAAGAGTTCAACTTCTGTATTTTGCACGTGGCTCTCTGGTTGTCCCAACTCCTTTCATTGAAATGAATTTTTTTTCCCCACTGAATGGTCTTGGCATCTTTCTCAAAAATTAGTTAGATGTATGGGCTTATTTCTGGATTCTCAATTTTATTTTAGTAATCTGTATATCTGTCCTTGTGTCATTACCACATTGTCTTGATTACCATTGTTTTGTAGTAATTTTGAATTCAGGAAATACGAGTCTTCCAACTTTGTTTTTTTACAAGATTGTTTTGTATATTCTGGTTTCTTTACAATTCCATATGAATTTTAAAATTATCTTGCCCATTTCTACAAAGAATTTGACTTTTTTTTTTTTTTTTTTTGACGGAGTCTCACTTTGTTGCACAGGCTGGAGTGCAGTGGTGCAATCTTGGCTCAATGCAAGTTCTGCCTTGGTTTCAAGAGATTCTTGTACTTCAGCCTCTGGAGTAGCTGAGACTACAAGTGTGCACCACAATGCTCGGCTAATTTTTGTATTTTTTTAGTAGAGATGGATGTTGCCATGTTGGCCAGGATGGTCTCGAACTCCTGACCTCAAGTGATCCTCCTGCCTAGGCCTCCCAAAGTGCTGGGATTATAGGCGTTAGCCACCATGCCCAGCCAGAATTTGACTTCTTTCCTGAAATAAATAAGTAGCTAATAAAATGCATTCCACCTTAACACTTGAAAGATATTTTAGGCCAGGTATGGTGGCTCACACCTATAGTCTCAACACTCTGAGAGGCCGAGGTGGGAGGATTGCTTGAGCTATGGAGTTTGAGACCAGCCTGGACAGCATAGTGAGACCCCCATCTACAAAACAAAACAAAACAAGATAGCTGGGCATGGTAGTTTGCACCTGTGATCATAGCTACTCAGGAGGCTGAGGTGGGAGGATAGCTTGAGCCCAGGAGTTCAAGGCTACAAGTGAGCTATGATCATGCCACTGCACTCCAGCCTGTGCAACAGAGCAAGACCCTGTTTCCAAAAAAAAAAAAAAGGCAAAAAAGACACACACCATATTTTAAAGTCAGGCAATTAGGCAGAGCAGATACTTAATATATTTAGCAAGAGCACATAAGAAAATGGAAAACATTTTTAAAATCTGTCAGCCAGGCAGTATTATCAGAAAATTCAACCTTGTTTGTGTTCCTGAAAAAGGAATTAACTCTTAGACAATAAAGGAAGCATATCCAGGTCCTAGGTTAAATAATGGGAATGATTTCTACTATGTTAATGAGGAGATACTCATCACTTACTCCGATGCCCTAAATCCAGTCTTCCTACATAGGTCTAATACATGTAGAGTGGATAGCTCATTTAGAAATGCTTACTCTCCTTGCTGGTTGGTGAAAAGGGTCTTAGAGTAATGATTGGGCTTATTTTGTTTGGGTTTTTTAAATTTAGTGTAGTAAATTTGCATTCCAAAAAGAGAACACTAAGTTTTGAAGAGGCTGATAGCTTTAGAAAATTAATGTTTTCTTGGCTTCTGACTGAGCTGGTTTATATCAATTTTGTATAAATATGTATTATAGTTGGGTAAAATATTAATATGTCCTGAAAGGAAGGTCTCTAAATACTAAACGAGTTTTTCCTAGCTCATTTTACTCAGAAATTTCCAGAAACACTAAATTCTAAAATATCTCAATGATATACCTTGCTTTTTTTTTAGTATCAGTGAAAGCATTCAACTATAGTCTAACCCCTCTCTTCATTCCACAACATGTACCCAAACAGTAATTCCTCAAAGGATGAAAGTAATCCATGTACATAAAAACCAATGAGAATAGAAGAGGTTTATGTCATCTATTCAATAAAAAATCACAAATGTAAATGGTTGTTTTGATTATTTCTATTCTTTTCCTCTAAATTCTTATTCCAAGAATACATTTACTTCGATACAGAAAGTGGACATTTATTCTTGCAGCCTTAGAATCACTTTTACTTTTTCTCCAGGAAAGTAAAACTGCAAGTGATTTCTGCTTTTTGCAAGAGTAGTTTTCTGACAATAAGTGTAAAACACGTTTGACTTTTTATTTTATGCTCCTCACCAGGGCTGGACATTTATGACCAAGACATGCTACAAGGCTACAATGACAGCTCACCCTGTAGCCACTTAAATCAGCAGCAACATAACGTTGACAAATGATTCTAATCATTCCAAGTCACTAACACAGATATTAGCACAAATAGATGCTTAAGGAAGATTCTACTGCAGATTTTTCTGTCGATACTCTTCAAGGAGCAGGTAGAGACTACTCAAATCATACATTTAGCCATTTCCAAAAATAACTAGCATTTCTCTCATTTTATGCCACTAGATGGCACAGCTATACCTAAATAAACCAAGGAATTTGTATAAAGGAGGAAATTGAATCTCAGGTTAAAATAAGCCTTGTCGAGTTGACACATCCATGACATCTGAAACACAAAAAAATGGGGAGTGCTGGAAAACCATGATCCCTTTGACTATTAGAAAATGATTTGGGAAATTATAATTTGGAGCCATAGTACAGTTTATTCATTTCCTAGGGCTTGTTACATTACTACGAGTGGCTTAAAACGCAAAAATTCATTATCTCACAGTTTGGAGGCTAGAAGCCAGAAACCAAGGTGGTTTTGTTTTGTTTTGTTTTATTTTGTTTTGTTTTTACTTCCTGAGGCTTTACAAAAGAATCTGTTCCATACCCCTAATTGGGTGCAGGACACGCTGCTTCCAAATATGGCACCTTGGCATTTGAGAAAACAGCAGAAACAGGAAAGTCACTCTTACATTCCCACTTTCTCCCTGAGGCAGATCATAAGAGCCCAGTTTGAGAGATGCCCTCCTTATACCCAGAAGAAAGAAAAGTCCTTATCTCTGAAGACACAGGAACACAGAGAAGAATCTGAACAAATGGGTTTTGCTAAGTTTTCCCCCAATTTATCATCCTTAGATGGCACGTTTTTATCCAACCGTACTTCTCTACTACTGTCTACTTCTCCAACAACTTAGCATTAAAAATAACCTGTTTATTTGGGCCTTTATTTCTTAATGCTCCTGTGCCATGTAAAGCTCATATCAAATTAGTGTGTATCCTTTTCTCTTGTTCATCTGTCTTTTGTTATAGGGTCTTCAGCCATGAAGCAAGCAATTGGCAAAGAAAAGCAATCTTTTTTCCCCTTCTTCTAGCTTCCGGTCATTTCCAGTAATCCTTGGCATTCCTTGGCTTGTAGACCCATCACTCCAATCTGCCTCTGTCTTCATGTGCTATTCTCCTTCATGTGTCTTTATGTCACCACATAGCCTTCTTACAAGGACACCAGCCATTGTGTTTAAAGCCTACTCTAATCTAGTATGACTTCATGTTAACTAATTATATTTGCAATGACCTTATTTCCAAATAAGGTCACATTCTGACGTTCCAGCTGGACATGAGTTTGGGGTAACACCATCCTGTTCAGTACTCAGTGCAACACCCAAGCTGTGTAGACAGGTTTGGAGCCTGGCTGCATCAGTGCTGAGCAGTGAGACTCATGGACAAGTTACGTAACCTGCCTAAGCACTATGTTTTCATCTTAAAAAATAAATAATAATAGAAAAATAATAATAATAGTAACAATATTTGCCTTGTAGCACTGTTGTGAGAATTAAATGAGGTAATGCTTGCAATGAGCTTAGTGTCAGACACATAGTAAGTGCTCAATAAGTATTAGTTATTATTATTGTTATTGTTACTGCAATTCAAAAACAAGGATTCTTGCCCTATGTTTCACACCAGAGCCTGAAATAGAAAGCTCCCTAGTAGTATATCCAAATTTTGATTAAATGATGAAGAGGGAAAAATGCATCTCCTGAAAAACAGTCTTCTGTTTCTGTACCTTTTCTCCTCCAGGAAAGGACACTAGAGCCCCTGTGTCTTCATTTTTTTTCTATCATGTATACCTTAATTTTACTGGGTCTATTTTCCAAAAAGGATTTCCAATGGTAATGTCCTTGTGTTCTCTCCCTGCCTCCTCTGGTTCTGAACATGCCATAGGAAAGGTCTTTACCCAGAAGATCTGAGGAACAAAGTTCAGCAGTGTTTCAGTAAGTGGGTGACAAGGGAAGGACAAAGTGCAGCTGGCTGTCCAACCTGATGCAGAACCAGCTCAGGACAGACAAGCCAAGTCTTGCCCAAGGACATGGAAGGGGAGGAATGGGCTGGGGCTTGAGCAGGACAGGAGAGGTTGTGACAAAACAATCACCCTTAGGGGCTGAAACCAGAAGTGGATCTGGTGGACAAAAGTAATGCTTCAGAGGAAGGAGCCCTCCAAGGCCCTCCGGAAGAATGGAGGTTAGGGACAACCTGAGAATCAGCCAGTTGGAAGGAGCATGGCTTTCAGAAAGAAATGGGTACTAAAGAAGCAATAAGTGATAAGTAAAGTCTCTTTCCAGAGCCCCCAGGATCAGTGGAGACCCAGGCTCTGAGACTCTCCATGCAGACGCCCCGTGGACACCTCTACTTTCATACCTTTAAAGCAGACCCATCTGCCCTACCCTCAGAGATCTGCTCGGGTTCTGCTTCCCTTTCTCAGAGAAGTTCTCACCAAGTCCCCAGGCTCACCAGCCAGAAGCCAGGGGTCATCTAGGACCCATCCCTTGTCCTCATGTCCCATGTCCTGTGGGTTTGACAACTTCTGAGTTGGTTGAATCCATCACCTCTGCCTCTGCCTCTTCCCCGTTGCCTGCAGAATACAGTCTTGGGCATAGAACACAAGGCTTCCATACTCTGAGCCCTGTCTACCTTTCCAATTCCACGTTCCTGTTTCTCCACAGCCCCATCAAACTCCCTCTGTGGTGAACATAAGTGATTGCTGAGTGAATACATGAAAGAATAAATGCATCATTACAAACAGGAAGAGTTTTGACATTTCCTAAGGGGTAAGATATATGTTTACGAATATTTTGCTGTCAAATTCTACCTTTTAATAAAAGACTGTGGGGTTTTCTTATTAGATGGACAGTTCATTGTGAATTGAAAGTGGTCCTATCCACTGTGAGAGTACAGATTGCATCTTTTTCAGCCCTCACATAATAATATTTTCAATATTATTTATTGAATGGCGAGATCTAAACTCTCAGGAGGTAGGGACTTCAAGTTTTCCTCCAAGGCTGCGTCTTTGGCTTGGGTCCTGATAATCATCTTATATGTGGTAGAAGCAGAAATGACTAATATGGATTAATACTCCCTGCTCCTACAGGAAGGTGCCCAAGGCAGGCAACTCTAACCTAGTGGCAGGAGCTAGGAGAAGGAACTGAGGGCCAGAACAGAAACAACACGTGAAGGAAGGAGACAGGCAGGGAGCAGGTGGGGAGCTAAGAGAGCTAAAGTTGATGCATGGATAGATAGAGTCTGTGGCAAAAGCCCAAGAAGCAAATATCAGATGGGATAAGTCAGGTAAGATATTAAGACATCAGAGGCTAGGTGTGGTGGCTCATGTCTGTAATACCAGAACTTTGGGAGGCTGAGGTAGTCAGATTGCTTAAGCCCAGGAGTTTGAGACCAGCCTGGGCAACACAGCAAAACACCATCTCTACAAAAAATACAAAAAAATTAGCCAGGTTTGGTGACACATGCCTGTAGTCCCAGCTACTCAAGAGGCTGCGGTTGGAAGATTGCTTGAGCCCAAGAGGTCGAGGCTGCAGTGAGCCATGATTGCACCACTGCATTCCAGCCTGGGTGACAGGGCGAGACCCTGTCTTCTGGGGAGTGGGGAAGGGCAGAAGACCTCAGAAAGAAGTTAAGGTGCTGGACTCCACAAGGCAGAGGTAGACAGTTCCCACGAGTGCTCTGTATGGGTCTTGTTAGGGACTGGATTGTGCCTTCCCACCCCAAATTCATATGTTGAAACCCTAGCCCCAGTGTGATGATGATGCAGGATGTCTCCTTAACCCTTTTGTGGAACTTCTGACAGGGGTGTCCCGTTTACTCAGCCCACGGTGCTCAACCCTTCACCAGAGGGAGCATGTGAGCAAATGAGTACAGGAACTGGCTAGCTGCTTTAGTGCTGGCAGGAGCGAACTTTGTGCAGGCCCTACTGCAGCATCCAGATGGGGATGCCTGTGATCCCAAAGCATCAGAGCGCATGTTACAATGCTCTCTTTGCCCCGCCATTCACAGACAGCAATGTGTTATTAGCTCAGTGGGCCCTTTGCCTTGTCATGTGGGGCAGCTGCTCTCCACCAGCAAGAGCAAATGGCCAGTGTGACAGCCTTTTTGGGTACCCACACGTGGTGGGTAGTGAACTCTTGTCTGATGCCCAAAAAGAATAAGGTCATGTGGATGAATTGAAGGATGGTGGATGAGAAGAATTTTAATGAGTGATGAAAGCAGGTCTCAGTGGAGAGGGGAGCTGGAAAGAAGCAGGAAGAGCAGGTCGCTCTTCCCTGAAGTTGAGTTGCCTCCCTGCCTTTCTCCTCCAAAGTCAAGTTGCCTCTCCCCAACATCCAGCCACTTCTCCTCTCTACCAGCCAAGTCTGGGGTATTTACAGGCACAGGATGGAGGGTGGGGCAGGTCACAGGTAGTTTTGGAAAAGGCAGCATTTGTTTGGTAAAAAGACATTATTCAGAAAGAAACAACCAGGGGAGAGTGGGTGCACAGGAATAGAAGTTCTCACTTTGGGTCACGGGTTTCAGGCTACTTTTGGTTTGAAGGTGGGGTTTCCACTTAGGACAGGGTCTTTAGGCAGGTAATTTTGGTGACCAGGTCATAAAGATGGAGGACTAATCTGACAGGACTGGTATTTTATAAGAAGAGGAGGAAATGCCAGAGATCACTCGCTCTCTCTCTATCCCAGGTGCGCAAAGTAAAGGCTAAGTGAGGATACAGTGAGAAGGTGGCTGTAATGTTGTGATATAATAAGAAATATATATTTGGCTTTTGTCCCCGGTTTTTAGAACAGAGTTTTTAAAATCCTTGGAACTTCCTAAGTGATTAGGGTAAGAGGAATATCTTTTGTTATTCATAATAAGCCTCTTTTAACCATACCTGAGTTTATGCTAAGGAGGTGACCCTGGGAGAATGAGAGCTGGTTGTCAGGGGAACCAACCACACAATTATGGGGTTAGAACATTCAGCTGTACCCCCTAATCTCCAGGAAAGAAAGAGGGGCTAGGTAGGGATCAAGTTAATCACCAGTGGCCAATACAGTCATGTGTCACAAAACAACATTTTGGTCAATATCAGTCCACAAGATTATAATACCATATATTTACTGTACCTTTTCTACGTTTAGATCTACAAATAGTCATTCTGTTATAGCTGCCTACAGTACAAACATCCTATATAGGTTTGTAGCCTATAAGCAATAGGCAATACCGTATAGCCTAGGTGTGCAGTAGGCTATACCACCTAGATTTGCCTAAGTACACTCTATAATGTTTGCTCAAAGACAGAATTGTCTGGTATTTCTCAAAATGTATCCACAATGCCTGACTGTAATTTAATCAATTATGCCTACTTAACGAAGCCTCCACAAAAACCCTAAACAATGGAGATTGCAGAGCTTCTGGGTCAATGAATATATCCATGTGCTGAGAGGGTGATGCACCCCAACTCAAAGGGACAGAAATGCCTATGCTCAGGACCCTTGCAGATCTCAGAGAACTCTTCACTTGGTTGGTAAGCTGTATGTTTTGTAATATCGTTTATAGTAAACCAGTGAACATAAGTGTTTTTCTGAATTTTGTGAGCTCTTCTAGCAAATTATCAAGCCCAAGAGGAGGGCCAAGGGAGGGCCTGATTTGTAGCCAAATTGGACAGAAGTGTGGGTTACCTGGAGACCCACTACTTGTGATTGGAATCTGAAGTGAGGAGCAGGCTGGTGGGACTGAGCCCTTAACCTATGGGATCTGCTCCTGGCAGAGCAGAATCAACTCCTGGTATTAATGTCAGAATTGAGTTAAATTTTAGGAAACCTAGTTGGACTAGAGAATTGCTGGAGTGGAAAGCCGTACATTTTGTGTCAAAAGAAGTGTTGTGTGAGTAGAGAAAGCTTTTTTTTTTCCTTTTATAAGCTTTCTGAAATTTAATTGAGTTAAATTGTAGGACAACCAGAAAATTGAAGAATTGCTTAGTGTGAAAAACCCACACATTTGGTGTCAAAAGAAATATTGTCTATGTAGATAAACAAATTTTTCCTTTTAGCAGCCATTTGCAAGTCAACAGACAGCCCTCACCAGAAACCAAATTTGCTGGCACCTTGATCTTGGACCTGTAGTCTCCAGAACTGTGAGAAAATAGATTTCTCTCAGTAGATCTATAGATTTAAGCCACCCAGTCCCTGCCATTTGTAATGGCAGCCCAAGCAGAGTAATGTAGGTCTCTTTTGAAGGACCATGTTCTGCCCCCTCTGGTAAGTAGCACTCTCATCCTCCTGCAGAAGATGCACAGTGTGGTGCCTGCAGAAGACAGCCCTTGATACACACACACACACACACACACACACACACACGTGATAAACCAAGCAAACTGAGAGGATGTATCCTGGAATTGTGCTTATGTGAGCCAACAATAAGGCCGATCTCTCTGTGGAAGAATTATTTAGGGACCTCAAAAAGCAGAGCATTAATGCAGTGACTTGTGTAGTTCAAGAACTGAGAAACATCAAGATGGTTATATTGTCCCAAACGACTGATTTCTGAGTGTCAGTCTAGGTTCTTACTTGTTGTTCACCAACTTTCTGTCTGATCTATACTGTGCTGCTTCTACTTCAAGACAGTCTGAGCTCCATGAACATAGGGCTTCTTGGTTCCATTGATGCTTCACTTTAAGGATTTGGAAAATTAGGACCACAGTGAAACCAGACATCTCTGGATCTCTGGCATGTCTGATAAATGCATAAACTCCTTCCATCTTCTTTCTTTTTACAACAAATGGTCTTTAACAGAATTATTGATTATACTCCATAAAGATCCAACTAGGAAAATCATTTCCTCCAATCAATCTTTTTTGTTTTCTCCCCATTACCTGAAAAGCATTTATTTATATTTCTGCTAAAAGTTAATGAAGGCTGTCTTAGTCCCTTCAGGCTGCCATAACAAAATGCCATAAACTGGGTGGCTCATAAACAACAGAAATTTATTTCTCACAGTTCCAGAGGCTGAGAAGTCCAAGATCAAGGCCCTGGCAGACTGAGTGTCTGATGAAGGTCTTCCTCCTCATAGATGGCATCTTGCTGTGTCCTCACATGGTGAAAGAGTGAAGAGATCCCTCTGGCCTCTTTTATAATGGCACTGTCCCATTCTTTAGAGCTCTGCCCTCATGACCCAATCACTTTCTAGTACCATCACCTTGGGGTTAAAATTTTAACACATGAATCTGAGGAGCACATAAACACTCAGTTTATTGTAAAGCCAGATACCAAAACATTTTTGAAAACTGTTTTATCAGTAAACTTACAAGCTAATGTCTGCCCAACAAACATCCCAACGATGTGCACACATGAAGTGATCCTGCAGTTAAACTCCATGAATGGAGAAGACTGGATACAATTTTCCCTCTCCCTGAGAGTAGTGACAGTGCTTTGATTTTTTGCCACTACTAAAAGCAATTATGTTTTCTGTTTAAATCCATTGAGATCCATCCTTCAATGATCCTGTATTGTTGCAGAAATTTTGCATCACTAATACAGAGTGTTTTCGACAATTGGCTTTTGTGTTCCAGGTAGACACTTGTAAAGAAAATCAAAAATATTTTACCTAAAAATACACTTCTTTGAAATATTTTGAGAAGGCTATTCAGAGGGCCTGCAGACAGGAATAGCTCTGAAAAGCTGCCTTTTGTGGAGAAGATTTGCATCCGTAGAGAAAAATCTACATTAATTATATAGAAAACTTAGCTTTCTCTGAATCCCTCCCCCTTATCTGGATCTAGGAAAAATTAACTCAATCACAGACCACTGTCTATTCTTTCTGAGAGGTGGGTTTTCATCCACTTAATAATACCACCTTTGCCCCATGCCTTTCTTCCTCTCTACCTCCCATAACCTGTCTTGCCATTCTCCAAATGCCTGTTCTTACTATAACCTCAAAATGGTATAAAAATGTCAGCCATCTGGCTCTTTCTTTGAGTTTTCACATTTTGTACAACTCTTGCACATATTAATAAATTTCGCATGCCTTTTCTCCTATTCATTTCCCTTTTGTCAGCTGATTTTCAGCAAACCTTCAGAGGGTGAAGGAGAAATTTTCCCTTGGATCCTACAGTTTTGGTGACCATGGCAGGACAACCAGATTAGGAGAAAATCATTTATACAGACTAGTCTCAGGTGTAGTGACTCTGGTGTATGTTTTGGTATGAATATTCATATTGTTTGATCCTTTCCTCCCAGAAATAGTCTTTATTTTTTTCCTTTGTCTCTGTCTTTCTGTGTCATTTGTCATAAAGTACCTCTTGTCCAATATTATGTCCTTGAGACCTTAACTTGTGACTGAATGGGACCGCTCTCTTTTGGTGTCCACCATCTAGGAGTGTAACTTTTGATTCACAGCCAGTGGCCAATGTGAAAGTAAAACAGGAAAAGTTCCTTTATCCCCCTAGCATGGTGTGCGATGGGTGTGTGGCTCAGTTCTTTGGTGCCCCACTGCTCAAACCTCTAGCAGGAGTATGCAGACTTGCCAATCATGGGGATCTGACCCCATGGCAGCAGCTGGGGGTGAATGTTTACCGCTGAAGTCCCAGTGGGCATGTGTTACAGGGTGCTCTTTCAGTTTAGCCATCCATAGGTGGCTTGTGTTGATCAGCTCAATTAAACCCCTGCCTTATCGCAAGGACAGAATGCTTTCCATATCCTGGGGTTTCTTGCCTTGGCATACTGGAAGAATTGGATCGCACGTGGGCTTGGAGAATCAATGCAAGACTTTATTGAGTGGAAATAGCAGTCAGTAAATGGGGGAGCTAGAAGGGAGACGGAGTAGGAAGATGGTTTTGCCCTGGAGTCAAGCTGCTCAGTGGCTGGGCTCTCCTTCTGCCCTGTCCAAACTCTGCGGCACTGGTGGATGGCCTGTCAGCTGGATGGCATCTGTTGGTGTGTTCTTTCACCAGTGCGTTCCTCTCAATATCCAGCCACTTGTGTCTTCTTCCACTGGTGTGTTCCTCTTGACGTCCACCTGCTTGTGTGCATGTCTGTTAGGGTCTTGGGGGTTTTATAGGCACAGGATGGGGACATGGTGGGCCAGGATGGTCTTGGGAAATGCAACTTTTGGGCACGAAAACAGAAATGCCTGTCCTCATCTAGGCCCATGGTCATAGGCTGGAGGTGAAGCCCTGGCCAGGGACCCAGACTTCTCTACCCAGTACTTCCCTGCCCGCACCCCCCCATATCAAAAGGACTGGGAATCTCTAGACACATAAGATATTAAGCAGCACACTCTTTGTTCAGAATGTGCCAAGCTCTCAGGGGAGTTTGTATTAATAAGAATTCCCATCCATAGGCTGGGTGCAGTGGCTCATGCCTGTAATCCGAGCACTTTGGGAGGCTTAGGTGGGTGGATCACCTGAGATCAGGAGTTCAAGACCAGCCTGGCCAACATGGCAAAACCCTGTCTCTATGAAAAATGCAAAAATTAGACAGGTGTGGTGGCATGCACCTGTAATCCCAGCTACTTGGGAGGCAGAGGCAGGAGAATCGCTTGAACCCAGGAGGCAGAGGTTGCAGTGAGCTGAGATTGCACCACTGCACTCCAGCCTGGGTGACAGAGGGAGACTCTGTCTCAGAAAAGAAAGAATTCCCACCCATGAGGGGCTTTTGTTGTCTCAATCCTTGTTGCCTGATTAGGCCTGGGAAAGTCCAATCCCAGGGGGGTATACCCAGTGTCACAAATTAACAAGCCTGTGACTGGCAAGCCCCCACAAATTTGTGGGATACTAGAGGCACCATACATATGCACAGACATCATCCTTAACCATCTGTGGAAGGAGAGTCTTTTGTTATTTAACTTATTTCTGGGAGTAAATTTTTGAGGGTTTCATATGATGCTGCATCTTCTGCACCCATTTTTAAAACGCCACTTATGTCCATGGTGTTCCTTCCATTAAAAATGTCTGTTGGCTTGAGTCGCTTATGAAATAAACAAAAGGACTATATTTAAAAGAAAACTTTTTAGAGAGCTCTTATCTTAAATAGCCATCTTATTGGTATCTATGAAAAAATACAAAAGAAATATAGCCTTTAAAATTCTATTGGCAAGATTCCAAAATGGCAGAAATCAGATTTAAAACAAAGTTAAAACCCTGTGTATACACACACTGCCTGCTTTGGATTCCCTGTGGGATATGCAAAAAGGGCAATCCAGCCTGTATTCTAGTGGCGAGGATTCCATGCTTTCACATCCACTGCCCAGGTTTGATTCCCAGACGGAGAACCAGTCCCTTAGAGATGTAAGTCCTTTAACCCAGGAGGTAAAAAGAAACATTTATAAGTAAGGAGAGCAAAGATCACCTAGTGACCATCAAGCAGGCCATTAAGAGACAAAAAGAAAAATTCCTTATTTGAGGAATTTAGAAGTAATTAGACTTCCCTATTATCTAAAGTCAGCACCTGGTTCCAGGCCTCTTTTCAACTTAAAATTTACAGGAAACTAGAATGTCTATACACCTCCAGAATGCATGCATGCCGAACTGCCAAACTCATTGTGCAATCCTTACCGACATTAAGGCACCAAGATGTCTACAAATGTAATCGTTTATCATGCAAATTACCCTTCAGCTTCCGCTTTAAGGTCTCTAAACACCTCTAAAGAAAAAGCCACCATGCTGTGCTCAGTCCTCTCTTGCTGAGGCCCCCCGCTGCACTCTTCTGCAGCGTTCCTTCTTTCTAAAAAATATTTCTGTTTTCAAACCCATACCGTTGTCAGTAAATTCTTACCAACCCACAAGTCAACCACTTTCCAATGCCAGGGCTCTGACACCTCGCCCAGCAATAAGAATTAGTTTGGATTACTTATTTTGAATTTATATTTGTGTGACTCTTGACTTTCTGATGTACTCATTTCTTATTGATTCTTTTCCCTTTCCCTTCCATGGATGGCTATTGTTTTCCTGTTTGTCTCTAAGTCTCTTTTTTTTTCATCTAGTAGCTGCTAGACCCAGGGGGTAATTCTGGGTCTTGTGAGGACTGCTTTTTTACACGTTTTTGGAGATGCCTCATGCATCCTTGGTTAAGGTTTTCGTTCTCAGTCACTGGGAAATTACCTTTGGTTTAAAAGAAAAGACAAAAAGTTCAAAAGCCAGGAATATTGGCTTTGTTCTGGCTAAAACTGATAATGAGAGATTCAAAAGATTCTTTGAATTCTATGAGCAAAAGTCAGCTTAAGCAAAGCTGATACTCAGATTATACATATTTTTAGACATTTCTGTTCTCCTTTGGATCCCATTTCTCCCATGGGGATTTTTTTGATCCAACTGAAACCTCTTTTTAATTGTACGTGCGTTCCTTCTGCTTGTTTCCTTTTTTGGCAAGATTTTTGCTTAAAAAGATGTAAAATTTAATTGGCCTTTTTTTGAAAGTTTGAGATCTCCCCACACTGGCTCCTCTAGGACTCATTCTTCCACTTGCTCCTACCCCTGTTTTTGCTATGATCTTCCATTCATTTCCCCTTAATCATTGATATGTGCCCCTTCAAGCCCCTACTTTCTTCATCTGGTGGTCAATGGATGAAAAATTACTAAGAGGAAATATGAGAGTCTTGGTTGTCACATAAAAGAATCTGAAAGAAACTTCTAGTAACTCTCATACCTCTTTGAGAAAGAGAGCTAAGGTATCACTGGCCCCTTTTTAGGTCCTCTGTCTTCCTCACAGAACCCAAAGAGTCATGAGTGGGTCTGGCCCTGTTTGTTAATGGGCTCTGGCGTGAGCAATAATCCAGTTAAGAAACGGAAACTAAGTTTAAAGGCCACCTATCAAACTAAATATCCAAAGTACAACCTTCTGGCCTTCAGCTGGCTATTTTAAAACTCTTGGTAAAAGAAATGTTTATTTATAAAGAGAATCTCAATTTGTAAGGGTCTCTCTCTCTCCCTCTCTCTGCAACTAAACCACTAGAAACTTTTACAATGGGAAAGGCATTGACTTAAAAGTTTACATAACAAATCTTACCTTTGTCTAAAGTAGTTTTTCTGGCTGTCTTGCCTTAACTTAACTGAGCCTTACCTATGTCATTCTCTGTCTTGGCAAATAATGTTTAGATCTAAGTTCTGTATCTTTGAGATATAAATGTTCCACCTTATTTCACCTAAGAGTCAGTACAGATTTAGGACTGCCTAGCTAACAATTGCTTAGGGCAATGAAACAGGTAATCAGAAGGTTGATGGTATGAATGGGGGAAAGAAACTATTTGGAAACTGGCTAATGAAAGATATAAGATCTGCTTCTGTCTATGTGTCCATATGTCTGTCTATGTATCTTATGTGTATGTAATATTTCTATGTGATCTGAGATATTATCTGGTAAATAAAGCTAGTTTTAAAATTTTTGGTAAAATAAAATAGTGTATTCAGAATTGTCAGTATTAAATATAATTCAGACATTTTTGCCTGAGTCTATTGGTCAGATAGGTTTATGCTGTTTGTGTCACATGTTTTAAGGTCATAAAACTGCTACTTCTATAATGTTTTTGGTACTTGCTTGATTTGTCTGTAAGCTAAAGCTGTGAGGGCTGGCTGGTGGGCCCCTCTGAAGTGTCGCACACATCTTGCTGTAAGCATATATCTTTGGGTTTGAGCCTTTGGATTCTAGAGTCTGGATAGGTGACTATGGTGAAGCTTGAGGATATATGTGTGTTCAGAGAACCTAGGCCACCAGCTGTCACCTTCACAGCTCTGTCCACTGTCCTGGGTTCTACACTTGGAGTTTGAATCCAGGATTCAGATGAGCCCTGCCCTTCATAGCCATCCTGGGTGCATGTGGGTACTCAGGACCCAGAACAGCTAGGGAGGACATTAGGAATGGTACCTGTGTCATCATTTCAAAATTCTTTTTAGTAATTTAAAATCTTAAAACCATGTTTTGTTAAATTAAGTAATAGAATCATAAAATGTCTGAGTCATTTCTAAGTCAAAATACTTAACCATGAAATATTGAACATAACTTTAAGTTATATACTTTGAGATCTTATTTTTATATTGTATAGAAAAGCTAAATATTTTTCCTGGGTGATGTTGGTAGAAAATAGGAAAAAAAAGAAAAGCTAAATGCATTTTGTATCAGTTAATAAACAAAATATTGAGGAAACATATCTATCTAAAAATTATGAAATGGCATTTATCTACAAACATATAAAATGGTTCAAAATTACTTATGTGTTAGGTTTTCACTAGAAATTAGACTTACTAAAAGTTAAAAATCAAATTAGTATATGTAATTAAAACTATTAATATAAGAGAAATAATTTATATACAACATGTATAGAAAAGCAAGATATGCTTTTGGTAGAAAAAGTTACAAAGGCATGAGGATGTATGTTTGATGAGAAAAAAATAATTTTGTCTAGTTTAGAGGTTATTTAAAGGCTATTTCTATGGTATCATACTCTTATAGGAAATGAAGGGAGAAGTCACATAGATAAAACTAGATACATATACAAAGTTGGAGGAAAAATAATTTCAAAATCTTATGTGGTTAAACTGACTAAAATTAAACACATTTATTGTAAGGATGTTTTGAGTCTTAAGATAAAAATTACCCTAATGCAAAACTAGAATTTGGCTTTCTCTTTTGAACAAGATTTTTACATAGTATTAATAAGAATAGAAGAATTTGGCTCACCTTTTGAATAAACTGCAAAAAAGAAAAAAATAGACAAAGTAGAGAGAGAAACAGATTCTGTGTGTTTCATGCTATTTTTATCAGGTCTTTTGATTATTTAGAAAACTGAGCATCCTCTTTATCAATCTGTAAAAGCTATTGCTTTGTTAAATTTTTAAATTATTACTCTGGTTAAATAAACTACTATTATTTCCACAGTGACATGTGATCCTATTTTTATGAGATATTTTAAACCTTTTATATATTTGACAGGCTTCAAAAATCAAAATTTAAATTCTAAATTAAGTTTTTTTTAAGCTCAAACTAACTTTGGGATGTTGTAGAGGGCCCTGGAGGCATTCAAAAGAGAGATAATAGACAGGCTTATTTGATATGTTAAATTATACCGGAAGCATTATCAAATAAGAAATGTTTCACCTTCTTTGAGTTATATTTGTATAAATGTGTTGTTAATATGTGTTCCAAAATTGTATGAGATTCCTAGAAATCTGGTACGTTAAATTATTGTAGGTCACAGAAAACAACCAAATTTATTTCTTAATTGAATATTTAACTATGGCCATTTTAACTTTTGAGATCCACAGTAAATTGCTGTATTCTGATACATTTATTCTAAAAAGCTTTTTGCAAATCCTAAAATTTTGTGTTTTCAAGGAGGTTCAGGAAAAAGACTACAATGAGTACTCTTAAATACAGGTTTCTGACAACTTTGAGATCATACCATTGCACAGAGTAAAAATTTCAAAAACTCTAATTAAAAAAACCTAGATTCATAAAATTACTAACCTAACATCAAGCAGAAAAGAATTAATTACATGTGACTAAACTAATGAAGAACTGAAATAATTGTTTTTAATTTTTTTTGTTGAAACGTTGCTGATTCTTTTTTGTTTTCCAGAGTCAAGAAAACTTATTTTTTTCTTTTAAGCTATTTATAGCTTGCATAAATTAGGTAAAGTATACTTTTGTGAGCAAAATTGAAACATTTAGCTTTCTCTATCTGATCCCCCCAGAATTCAAAAACTATTTGTGAATATTCTCATTTTACACAATATGTTTATCTTCATAAGTTCAGTAAGAATCTGTTTCTTTTGTAACAGGAAACACAGTTGGACACACTGATTATTTTAACCAATGCTTTGACCTAAATGTTCTATTTTCAGTTGTGACCAGATGGCTTAGAGGAATAGATTTCACTTTTTAAAGCCAATAGACTTTTAAAAAGACTGGCCTAGTACCTTTTCTTTAAAGTTCCCTTATAAGATTCCTGATTTTGCAGTAAGTAAAGAATAACACTTTTTGACAGGCTCAGGAAATTCAAGATATTTGGGGCCCTCAAGAAGAAAGGAATTCTCTCAATTCATGCAGGAATTGCAGACACAGTATTTAGCTTGGCTCCTAAGCCTCAAGAAAAATTTTGAAGTCTAATCTGAAGTTCCTTATGAGAAAGTTTCAGCAAAGCCATCTTAAAAAGAGCCCACATGGCCAATCGCTATTGTTCCTGCACTTTATGCAAATAATCAGGCCAAGTATAAGACTAAAACTTATTTTGTAAATAAATTGGTCTTCTTTTCATTTATCCTTGATAGAATGGGGGACTGGAGAGAGAAAAATTATGTTTCAAAAAAACTGATAGTATACTTGTTATTAAATTCCAGCTCATTGAGTTTTTTTGTTTGTTTGTTTTCTTTTTGAGATAGGGTCTTGCTCTGTCATCCAGGCTGGGCTCAAGGGATCTTCCCACTTCAGCCTCTCAAGTAGCTGGGACAACAGGCACATGCTGCAATGCCTGGCTGACTTTGATTATTTTCTGTACAAATGCAGTCTCACTATATTGTCCAGACTGGGCTTGAACACCTGGGCTCAAGCGATTCTCCTGCCTCAGCTTCCCAAAGTGTTGGGATTTACAGGTGTGAGCCACCATGCCCAGCCTCACTGGGTTTTTGAGGTTTCATTACTGACCTCCAATCTGTACTTAGTCCTAAATTTTTAGTCCTCTCCAATATCTGACGGTGACTCTCCAGACTAACATTTTTAATTTTTCTCCTGCCCTCTGACTTAAAGTTATTAGAAATCACAATTATGCTCTTCTTAAGCCCTACAAACTGAAGCTAGACAACTTGGTATAAATTTTGAGAGAAATCATCACAGTAACTTATATACAAACAGTCTTTATGCCTGTTGATGTATAGACTACTAAAAAAAGTTCATGGGAATACCTGATTTAAACTACAATACAGGAAAATCTGTCAGATGGCCACTGCCTGCCCACTCCAAATGAAGATGCTTCAAAGACTCTAGGAAATCTAGTTTATAGACTATGCCAGACATTTTTTGTTTTCCTTTTGTTTCCATAGAAATGCCTCTTATTAAAGATCTGTTTGCCTGCATTATATACAGAGGCCTAGCTTTGACAGCACATCTGGAAAACCACCTCCTGAAACAGGACACAGCTGTAAAGGAGCTAATCTATTCTCAGGACTAAGAGACTGATTCAAGAAGATACAGGCTGCTTGTTCCAATCCATGTTTTTTTCCTTCTCCTTTACCAATTTTTATCTCACAACCTTTAACCCAAATCTCTCCATAATTACCAATCCTACTTTTGATATGTGAATATTTCACCCCAAAATATACTTCTTTGACATATTTCAAGAAGGCTATTCAGAAGGCTTGCAGACAGGAATAGCCCTGAAAAGTTGCCTTTTGTGGAGGAGATTTGCATTTGTAGAGAAAAATCTATATTACTGAAATAAATAGCCAGGCTTTCTCTGAGGTGCTCCCTCTTCTCCAGGTCTAGGAAAAATTAACTCGACCACACGCTACTATCTATTCTTTCTGAGAGCTGCTCCCTGTGAGGTTTCATCTACATAATAAGACCAACTTTGTTAGCATGACTTTGCTCTCTCTCCCTCCCATAGCCTGTCTTGTCATACTTCAAGCCTCTATTCTTTCTGTAACCTCAAGATGATATAAAAGCATCAACCACCTGGCCCTTTCCTTGAGTTCGCATATTTCGTATGGCTAATGTGCACACATGTTCACGTTAATACATTTTGTACATCTTCTCTTCTATTAATCTGCCTTTGGTCAGTTAATTTTCAGCAAACCTTCAGAGAGTGAAGGGAATGTTTTCCATTGGCCCCTACACTTGCACCAAAATGATTAGCCTACCATTTCATAAACTTTAAAAGATGCCACTTGGTGCCCGTACTTAACATGGAAGTCTGTCACTCTAAAACACAGTTTGGGATACATTTACCATAGAATTAAACCACTAAATTTGGGTGGTGGGGGGAGTGTCAAGATAATTTCTATAGGCTAAGGGATTAGAATACGGGATCTGTGGGCCCCAGTGTATAGATGCCAGTGTGAGGATCGGAAGCCTTAGAATTTGGCAGTAGCCCAGGCACTGACTGACCTTGCTACATGACCTTGGACAAGCCTCCATTTCTTTAACTACAGAGTTTTTGAATAATTATTTAACATAATCAAATAATTGTTGAATCTCAGTTTACTATTTATAGCAAATTAGTTAAAATTATGCTAAAAAATAAAAACAATATTTTCTGGACATTTATCTTTGGGATTAAAAAAACACGTACTAAAAAATTTTATCTTTTTATCCAGTCATAGAAAGTTGAGAAAATTGGACATATCTGTTCATTTGAACTAAACTGTATTACATAAGCCTGTGTGCTAGCAATATGTGGGATTCTGGAGTGCACACTCTCCTCAAACCACCAGGGATCATTATTTGAGCTGTTTGGCAAAGACTAGAACAAGCTGGCTCTAATGCAGAATGTCAAGTGGCAATGTTTCTTGGTGTCCCAAAATTGTGCCAAAGGCCCAAAGCCAAGGACAAAGGCACTAAGGAGTCTTTCTTAGTACAGAGAGCTAACAACATCTGTCTGCAGCTGGAGCCAAGGGGGGACCTTAAGACTGACTGAATCAATCTGGCATCTGATGACATGCCACTCTGGACTCAAGATAATACAGGAGGAGGGAAGGGAGTCTGTAAATTGCAGGGAGTGCAGCCTCCATGGTGAGACACTAGGCCTTCCCTGTGAGAGACAGCAAGTGCTTACTGTCCCCAAAGTCAAATGAAGTGGGACAGGGCACACACTGATCAGTAGTTTGTGGAACTAGTACAACAAACTTTCAATATATGAGAAAACTCATAGTCCTTTTGATAAGCAGAGTAGATAGAAATGCAACTTTATGGACAAAAGACATGCTAATTGTAGACTATACAGGCATTCCTGGTGGGTGTGGAGAAAAGGTGAAGGACATACCAACCCTTGCAGGGGTGGGCCAAACAGGACATAGTCATTTCTAGCCCACTTTCTTACTTATAAAATGCAGAACTTTTATTGAGTAGTTTCTAGAATCCCTTTCAGCTTTCTGAGTTTATAATTAGATATAAAAAGTGGACTGCTCAGTGGTGAAGTTTGTGGTGTCTAGAGAGGAAGGCAGCCTCCTACTCTACAGATGGGTTGCCTCTTACCGCCCACCTCCAACTTCCCGATGGCCCAAGCATCAGAAGGTGTTTACCAGCAAGTTGCTTAGAACATGGAGCCCAGAAAAGTGTGGAGATTTACCAGTGTTGCATCGCTAGTTAATGAGCTTTTTCAATAAACTGGTTCTCCTAAGTGCCTGTCCAGAGCTGAACCTTAATCAGATGCAGAGTCATGATGACACTCCCAAGAGACATGCCCCCTGCCATAATCTCATCCAGCTGCTATGGGATCAAGGGCTGCAATTTCAGTGGCCACTGCCCCTCCTGGGCTATTTGATTTGCTATTTGTTGACATTGTGGTCCTGGTCTTGTTCTCCTTCCTCTACCACTATTCTTTCCTCCCATCCTTCTACAATTCGCCAGCCCCTCTCAAATATTTGATAATAATATTCTCTGTAACATTTTACAGTTGACCACATGCTAGTGCCTAAGATCATGTTATCTAAATTCCACCATAGATTCATGTTGTGGTTATGGACAGCTGTACTGACTCCTTTTACAAAGGAGTGTATTGAGAAGGAGAAAGGCACCCTACAAGGGGCAAGGCTAGTAAATGGCAGAAGTGGGCACACATTCCCAGTGTTTGCCCTCCCATCTATGTTCTTATCCACTCTTTAAGACTAGATTTTTTGAAATAAGAAACTGTACTTTGTTACAGAAAATAGAGTTTTTGTGCTTAAAATCCAAACTATGTTGGTGTTGGATCTTTGACCTTCCAAATCCACCTAATAATGATTTGCACTCTGACTGCAACCTCACTGCTGTTGTCCTCATTCACTTACATCTGCTGGAGTGGCGGGTGTTTTTGTTGTGTGTGTGTGTTTGGTTTGTTCCCATTGCTTCAGGCAGTTCCTAACACTTAGGAGAGGTTCAAGAAATATCAGTTGAATGAGTGAACAAATCAACCAGCATTAAAAAAACCACTATGCACTCTTTTAGAGTTGAAAACATAGCTGAAGGCATGCCTCCTTGTGAAAAGTTATTTTTAAATAAAATAGAATCATTCTAACAGATTAACTTAAACCTAATGGAGAATTGTGATTTTTGTCGAGAAGATGTTTGGCTTCTTTTTTGTTTTCCCTCTTTCCCAAAACACTGCTAGAATTGACTGACAGAACCCCTTCTCAGTACTAGCCTGAAGGTGAACTGAGAATGTAGGAATTTGTTAATACTTGAGTGTGTCTGTGTGTGTGTGCATACATGCACACACAGGCACACTTCATAAAGGAAAGAGAGGAGGGGAGGTGATAGACAAGCAAGAATAGGAAGGAAAAACCCCAGGAAGCAGCCTCCCAGCATTTTGCCACTTAAAGAAGTTGATATGAAGCAAGTAAATTCAGGGAAGCTTTGGTTCTATTGCCAATGGGACAGATTCCAGGATGACAAGGAAGAGTCTCAGAAGGCTGAACTACTAGATGCCATTTGGCCAATGGTCTGGATGCTCACATTTCTCACAAAGCTCTCATCTGGAACTGCCTCAAGTGTCTTCCTCTGTATATCATATAAGCAATTATTCTAACTTTGTTGCATAAATTGATTCAGGGGCAAAACTTCTCAGAGCATTGCACTGCTGATTCCTCATGAAGCGTGAACAAAAGTCTCTTGGCCTAAGAGATATTTACAAAAGACATTTCAATAGCATGGGGTTCAGTCAACTGAAAATGAATACATCCGACTGAATTTTAAAATCATTTGATAAAAATAGTTGGATTTGAATATAAACACACCTGTCTCATCTCATTCATTCATTCATTTGGTAAGCTCCTATTTTGTTCTGGGTCATTTATTTTTCATCCTCTTCCCACCCCCCGCCCACCCAATTTGAGGGACAGTGATATGCAAATGAAGAGAGCTGCCTAGCTCCTGGCACTCTCTGATGAAGGACATACTGGGCCTGTCATTGGGAGCATAGCAGACTCTAAGAGTTAAATACCTCCACCTAATCACTGCAGAGTCTGCCTTCCAGCCAAGATCACCTTGGAGAGGTTAGCCGAGCTTCGAAAGAATGAGATAAGACTGCCATTTTTAGATTATTGAACAGCACAGTTATTATTTTAGAGCTTTGTTTAGGATATGTTGAAGCAACATATCATAACATCTAATATTTACACAGCACTTTCCCAGAGATGTAAACTATTGGTCAAAATACCAACTTTGGCTTACTCTCAGGCTTTTGTTGAGCCCACTCAGTATTTTTTTAATTAAATTAGTTGCCATCATTTAAGATTTGGGCAACTTTACATAAAAATCTGGATTTCCAGTTTCTCTTAAGAAACCATAAGACTTTCTCATTATTAGGCCCTTGTTTCTTCATTAAACAAAATCTCTGGAATTGAATGGCAGCCGCCCTTTTTAGATGGGGCATGGCAAATCTAGTTCACCACAGCCCCTGCCACTCTCTATTGTCTTACACACAACCCATTACAAGTCATTTATATTATCTGCCTGCACCATTTGAATCTGTAACTTCTGCTTTTCACTCAACATACTATTTCTGAAAATGTTATTTTTATTTCTGATTGGGTATCCGTGTATATTTGTTATTAATTTTGAAACATTATGCATCTGTGAACAATGTATCAGTTAAAAAATTCACAATTAGTGTCTTTAACTTTTACCTTCAGTCTCTAGGTATATAATTAGGGTTTTGAATGGTATTTCTTATCTCAGATTTTTTTATTTAAGTGCCAGTGCTGAAGACAATCAGTGGTAATATTCTCCTTCTGAAAGAGGAGATGTTTGACTCATTCTGTGGGAATTACTAAAAGATACATAAGGTATCCCGTAAGCCTTCACTTACTTCCTTGTCTTATGTAAGGAAAAGAGCAGAATCCAGAGGAATATCATCAAAATAAAAAGGGCTGGAGAGGGAGATTTTGCACCCTCCCACCCCAAACGAAGGAAGGGGGAACTTAAAGAGCATCTCTTAGAAAGCTTAGGGATGCCAGCAGAGAGGAGAGCCTGGCATCAATCTCCCTATCTGGAGAGTCTTTGCCTTCTGAAGGATCAGCTTCCTGCCAAGGCCAGATCCCCTCCTGACTACAAGATGCCAGCATTTTTTACTATTATATATATTCAGCTACATCCTGAAGGAAAGAGGGTCTCAGTTCCAGCATTTCAAGAAAAAGGCCTGATATTTACTCCTATTGAACTAACTAAGGCACACTCCAGCCCTGAGCCAATGACTGCGGAGAGGGGAGGAGTGGAGAGGTGGAGGCAGCAATGGCCTCAGTCAGTCAGAGTCCATCACTCTCAAGCATTGAGCCTTGGGAGTAGGGAGGTACAAATGAATACAAATAAATTGGAAGGCGGATGTGAATTGAGTAGGTAATCAATATTTGTTCTATATAGAAGCAAGTAAAGATGGTTAAGTAAGAGTGGCATGATTGGATTTGTGTTTTTGAAAAGTCCTTTTGGCTGCAGTGTGAAGTTTTAAATGGAGGAATGGGTATCTTTTCTATAAATGAAGCCTTTGCTATATTTGAGAGTAAAATATTGGCCTTTAGTATATACCTGGTCCTTATACACATGTAAAAACTGGAAACAGTCAAAAAATGAAGGCAAACATTTTCTGACATTGTCAAACATCTCTAAATATTGTTGATGTGCCTTCAGCCTATTAAAACCACTGTTCTGAAAATTACACTGTCAACACGAATGTAATTTCCCATCTGAAGAACACTGAGAATAGGTTTGGGTCATAACTGTATCTACAAAATTTGACTTGTTTTCCAAAGAAATAAATTTCTTAGCTTCTATTTGCACCTAAGTACATACACATTCACACACCCTCACATACACACTCATGCACTCACATGTACTGACACAGACACACACAATCACATACTCACACTCTCATGCACACACATACACTCCCTTTTTTCCTTTCTTTTTAAATTTTTATTTTAGATTCAGGGGGTACATGTGCACATTTGTTACATGAGTATGTTTCATAATGGTACTGACTGGGCTTCTAGCGTAACTGTCACCCAAATATCGAACACTGTGTCCAATAGGTAAATTTTTCAACCCTCATTTCCCTCCCACTCTTCCACCTTTTGGAGTCCTCAGTGTCTATGATTTCCACCTTTGTGTACATGTGTACCCATTGTTTAGCTCCCACTTATAAATGAGAACATGCAATATTTGATTTTCTGTTTCTGAGTTAGTTCACTTGGAATTATGGCTTCATTCATGTTGCTGCAAAGGACATGATTTCACTCTTTTTTATGGCTGCACAGTATTCCATGGCATATTTATACACATTTTCTTTATCCAATCAACCATTGATGGACCCTTGGGTTGGTTCCATAACTTTGCTATTGTGAATAGTGCTGCAATAAACTTATAAGTGCTGGTGTCTTTTTATATAAAGATTTCTCTTCCTTTTGGTAGATAGTAGGATACACACTCTTTTATATACACACATCACGGCATTTTAATATGCCAAACTCAGGGTGAAGAGCACCATTCATTACTCTGTAGGACTCAGAATGGAAGAAAAAAATGATGAATATTTATTTGGGTTCAGTTTTTTAAATCTTGCCAGCTTACTTTTATATTCAAGAAGAGAAGAGAGATCAGTCTGGGTTTGGGGATTCAGGTCTCGGAAATTTCCATCTTCATTACACATTCTAACTGTCTGGGGAAAGGCACTTTGCACATTTCTGCTTTAGCCTGCTCAGTCGGCCTGCAAAAGCTAGAGTCTGTAAAAGAGAAGACATCATCAACTTTCTTGGACTCCAAACTGGAAAAAAAATTTAAACCTATATTTATGCTATTATATTAAAACAAGAAAGGTAGGGATAATACCATGTTAGTAATAAAAATAATGGAACAACAAGTGAAGTAGGATGTGGCAGCATCTGAAGTTTAGCCTGGGGCAACTCGGACAACTTAAGTTTTAGCCCCAGCTCTGCCACTATCAGAGGAGATTGGGCGCGTTCAGGGTAGTATGGCCATAGACACTGCCAGTAACTATCTAAGACACTTTGGTTGAGTCCCTTGAACTTTTTGAGTCCAATTTTTAAATTCCATGATTACAGAAGTCCTTTTCAGATTCAAAGTCTTACTAATGTAATTGGGTAATAATGGGGTAGGTCGATTTTCTTTGAAGAGTTTGACCATATCCAGTTCCTAGCAATTGCATGCTCTAGGTAGCCACACACCAGTACTGGAAGACTAGTTGCGGAAATATCTGAAGCACAAATTCAGACCCCTCTCTCTCTGCTATGCTTTTCTTTCTGGGAAGCCTGTGCCCACACACTGAGGGGAGGTTAGAAACAAGGAAATGTGGTAGGGCATCTGTACGACTGGTCCCTTCCCAGGGATGAAAGTGAAAAACAGCCACAGCAGCATCTGTCCTTCAAGACTGACTGCATCCTGCTCAGTGCCAGGTAAAAAGATGTTTTGTGTGAACAAATAAGACACACTTCTTTTTTTTTTTTTTGAGACGGAGTTTTGTTCTTGTTGCCCGGGCTGGAGTGCAATGGTGCGATCTCGGCTCACTGCAAGCTCCGCCTCCCAGGTTCAAGCAATTCTCCTGCCTCAACCTCCCAAGTAGCTGGGATTATAGGCACCTGCCACCATGTTCGGCTAATTTTTGTATTTTTAGTAGAGATGGGATTTCACCATGTTGGCCAGACTAGTCTCAAACTCCTGACCTCAAGTGATCCACCTGCCTTGACCTCCCAAAGTGCTGGGATTACAGGCGTGAGCCACTGCACCCGGCCTAAGGCACATTCTTATTACTGTTGGAATTTTGATTTTGATTTGACTTTGTCACTCTTGATTTTTTTTTTTTGCACTGACTTGAATAAAATTTAGCAGGTTAAACATGATGATGTCAAATAGCAATATAGCTCAGTTTTCAGTTCCAAACCTAGAAAAACCTGAGAAGTAGGAAACACATGTGTGTGAGTGTGGGGTCCCTCCACCTTTACTCCAACACCAAGTCTCCTCAGTGACCCCAGATTCTCAGGGTTTTCCACAATAGCACTCCATAATGGCAAAAACCTCAGAAGCCTTTGCCCTTTTGTCCCTTTCAAAACCCAGGTGTCCCATGTTTCTATTTGCCAGAAAAGCCATTATAAGATGGATGTCCCCATATTTAACTTGTGCAAATTGAATTATACACAGTTAAAAATAGAAAATACATATTTCCATAACCACAAGCTAAGTACCTCTTCTAATGTTCAATAGAAGTGGAGTCGTCTTTTGCAACTCTGGAGGAAAAACTGTTGTGTGAGGTTTAGAAATAGGCAACGGTATCCACAGAAAAACCAGCCCAATGTATTTATGGACCCAGCACCATGCAACTCATGTGTAACTCAAGGTAAAAATTTAACATGTAATAAAAGCTTTATATCCTGCCCATTAGAAGTTATTTTTCTATTTTAACAGGGCTCCTCAGTACAAAACTGGAGTTAATATAATTTTCATTACCTACAGGATAAGTGACCACAATTTTTATTATATTAACCACAGGATTAGTGACTATAGCAATATGGCCCCACCTGCCTCATCTCCCTCCCTACAGGCCTGGACTCCAGCCCCTCTGGTCTTTTTCATTCTGAAACCTACCCTATGCTCTCTAATTTTCTGACTTTCTCCATTAAAACAATATAAACTCATGAAACTCTGAGTTCAAAAAATATGAAGCAGCAACATGCAATTATATAAATATTCATTTTCTAGACTTTTATGTACATAAGACATAAAATCATTCCATATAAACAATTATATTTATTCCCTTATTTTTCCCTTAATGCTATAGCATAAGCACTTCCCCATAACATTACATTCTCTTTGTAAAAATCATTTAAACAGGCTGTGTGACAGCCCATCCTATGACTATTTGGCATGGTACTTAGGTGTTCCCTTATGGTGTCAAGCATTTCAGTTGTTTCCATTTTCCACTGTGGTAATGTGTACTGAGCATATGCACTTTATGCCTCTCTGCTGTCTAGTTGCTGCCTGCCTGTCACATCTTTCCCTCTGCTCTCTGCCTGGCAAACTCCCACTTACACATCAAATCCCAACTCAAGTGTCACCTGTTCTCCGTACTAACCTATTCTGTAACTAAGGTCCCCAGGGTTAGTTACTTTCTATTTTGGGTTTTCACATCACTTTGAGTAAATCTCCACTACAGTACCTTTGACAATGTGTAATATTAACATGTTGGAACAATTCTTCCACCAAAACGTGAGCTTCCTGACTGTAGAATCATGTCTTTTTCATCTTTCTAACCATGTCATCTAGCACAGTGCCTGACATGTAGTGAGTGGGCAATAAACATATGCTGAATTAAAGCATTTCAGGCATTTCACCAGGATCTTCGGGTCCCAGTGCTAACTTTTCCAGAACTCTCCAATTGTAGCATTCATAAATTATTTCCATTCATTTTTTCTTCCATCCATGCTAGAGGCCTGGTTGGTAGGAATAATTTGATAGATAATAGAAAAGCAAATTATGTATTCCAGAGAAAGAAATCTAGTTCGTAATGAAAGCACCAAACCAGTAATCAAAATTTGCACTAACTACTTCTTGGGTGAAATCAAATGAAGTTTTGTCATTAAAAATGTCAAATCTGTAAAACTTTTCTTAGACCCTGGAAACTACTAGAAACACAGAAATGGCATTTTAGTGTGAGTTCAAAAAAGGTCTCCTGACCCTGTCTTCATCCATCAGGCTGCTGTAACATATTACCTTAGATTGGGTAATTTATCAATATAAATTTATTGCTCACAGTTCTGGAAGCTGAGAAGTCCAAGATCAAGGTGCCAGCGGATTTGGTGTCTGGTGAAGACTCTGTGCCTCACATGGCAGAAGGGGCGTGGCATCTCCCTTCAACCTCTTTTATAAGAGCACTAATCCCATCCCCACCCTCTTGATTGAATCATCCCCTAAAAGCCACATGTCCTAATACTATTGCATCGGGGTTAAGTTTCAACCTTCGAATTTTGGGAGATGCCAGCATTCAGGCTGTAGCACACCCAGCTCCACTATCTGCTTCGCTCTTGCTCCCTGATGGCTCTCGATCATGTTCTTGTTCATTTTTTGTGCGCTCTCATCCAAAGCCTGGGGCTATTTTACAGCCAGTATTAGTGGCCGACATTTAGGAAGTAATTATTTCTGACTTACATATAAATGGCCTTTATCATTGCTTTCTAAATTTGCCTGTGAGGTGTTCATTCTGGGGGTTCTCACAAAGGGAAAAATTATAAGTTTCACTTAAATCAGAAACACTGCTTATCTCTATAAATTTTACGTATGCAGATAACTTTGAGTTCCACTAAGAAAGATAAATGTATATAACACTAGGTAAAAGAGTGTTCTGGTAGTGGTACTATGGTCTTTCTTTTATGTATTAATTTACTTTTTTCCAGCTTTATTGAGATATTATTGACAAATAAAAATTATATACACTCAAGGAGTACAATGTAATGATTCCTTACAAAATGTGTAAGGAAGATTGTGTAAGGATTACCACAGTCAAATAAATTATGGGTTTGTTTGTTTGTTTGTTTGTTTGTTTGTTTGTTTGTTTTGAGACAAAGTCTTTCTCTGTCACCCAGGCTGGAGTGCAGTGGCGTGACCTTGGCTCACTGCAACCTCCGCCTCCCAGGTTCAAATGATTCTCCTGCCTCAGCCTCCCAAGTAGTTGGGATTACAGGTGCACGCCACCATGCCCAGCTGATTTTTGTACTTTTGGTGGAGACGGGGTTTCGCCATGTTGGCCAGGCTGGTGTCTTGGCCTCAAGTGATCTGCCCATCTCGACCTCCCAGAGTGCTGGGATTACAGGCGTGAGCCACCACGCCAGTCCCTATTTTTTTTTTTTAGAAAGAAAAATATATAAAGACAATTTAAGTAAGAAAAGGAAAAAGAAGAAGGGAAGGGAGACCCAAACACCAGATCCCCCAGTGTTTTTGTTTTAAATAAGCCATGAAAATATGTAGACACAGGGATGGAAATGATGGCACTTAAAAAGAAGGGGATAGACAGGTGTATTATCTATGCTCCATCTCAAAGTCCACCTCTTGCACATAACCTGCCTTGAAACTCCAACCCGAAGGAGTCTCTCCTCTTGATGATAGCCATTTATTTTAGCAAATTGTTTATAAATGGCCCTTTCCATTTCACATTTTAAAAGTTATTACTGTCTTTCAACTCATTTTAACTTTCTCTGAAAAGGACTCCACCCTCTGTTTGAGTCCCTTGTTGAACCTGGCAAGTTCTGAGCACATACATAGTAGAAACTTCAAAAATTTTAATACACTCTTTAATCCCAGAAAAGCTTCATATTGTTAAAATGCTTCCCAAAAATCTCACAAAGAAAGGTGGTGGGCTGAATTGTGTCCCTCCAAATTTCATATGTTGAAGCCCTAACCCCCAGTTCCTTAGAACTTAAACTGTATTTGGAGATAGGGCCTTTAAAGAGGTAATTAAGCTAAAATGAGGCCATTAGTGTGGGGCCTAACCCAATATGGCTGGTGTCCTTGTAAGAAGGGAAGATTAGGACACAGACATACCCAGAGAGAAGACCATGTGAAAACAGAGGAAGAAGACAGTCATCTACAGCCAAGGAGACAGATCTCAGAAAAACCAATTCTGCCAGCACCTTGATCTTGGACTTGTAGCCTCCAGAACTGTGAGAAAATGAATTTCTGTTGCTTGAGCTACCCAGTCTGTGGTACTTGGTGATGTCAACCCTAGAAAACTAATACAGAGGGCTTTACCTTCCATTAATTTGATTAATAAATAGTGAGAAATTTGTAATTAACAAAATAAACTGATTCATGAAATCTCATTTGTTTGCCTTATAAATTTTTTCTTCCTTCATAAAGAGAATGTTCCAAAATTCAAACTTCTTAACCTCAAACCTCAAGACATTTGCAATTTCAAATCTATTTACTAGTCTATGTCTATTTGAAAACTTATTATGAAAATAAACTATTAACTGGTTCTAGTATGGCTTTAGTTCTGTGCTTATTTATTTCTAAAAGTCAGAAGGTAAGGAAGGTAGAGGGAAAGAGGTGGAAGGTGAATCTTTTGCATGTAGAGTGCCTTCAAATTGAGACTGCCCTTTGCTTTTCCCATGACCTGTATAACCAACCCCTATCCCCACCCCTCACCTACCACTCCCTCATGTGGAGCAAAAGCCAGTGTCTAAATCTGTGGCCATTTTGGCCCCAGGTTGAGGTGTGGCTCTATTACAGAGTTGTCTAGCTTTCCAGACAATGACTTTCCAGATCTACCAAACTTCTCTCAGGCTTTCCCAGAAGCTATGGCTTTACACTACTGTTCTCAGTTAAGGAGTGCCTGCTTCCACCAGTACCTTCCAGGGCCACACGGAACCCACTTACCACCATTCAAGGTGAGCTCACACTATGACAGCCTAGGACAAGGATCTTTCTCTACACAGACATTGACTGGTTAATTTAACATGATCTTCAAGCAAGTAACACAGTAGGAACTTCATGCACTAGTATACTATCTGGAGGGAAAAAAGAAAATTTTTCCTCAAATTCCAAAAAAAAAAAAAAAAAAAAAAAAGGCATAGGCAGAAAGGCAGTCCAGCCAATCCATAGAGACTATAGTAAATATCACTCATAAAACTCAAATGTGCTGCAATAAATCACAGAGTGCTTTACTTTTTCAGTCACATGATATTCTTCATACTCACTTCTGTTTTCACAGAACCCTAATGGAAAGCAGCACAAAGAGGGCCTGTGACAGGGGTGGTCACCTCTCTGTTCCAATACACATGCCAGTAAACATGGGAAACAGCACCCTCTTCCCTACAAAACTAAACTATTTCAAGAGAACCATAATGATGGTCCGTCGTCCTCCAGTAAGGTACGAATGTGTCCAAGTTACCATCTTATCTTGGTAAAAACCAAAATAAACTTAATGTTTTCATTCATAATCCCACTTATGGGATTTAACCTTAGGAATTAAGGTCAATTAATTAAGAAAAAAATTCAAGAGAAAAGACAGATTACGAAACGATTCAGCATTATTGACTATCTGGAAGTAGGAAAAATTGTTATGCAAAGCAAGATATTTATACTTTAGGATGTTATAGACTGATTTTTGGAGCCATACAGAGCAAATACAGTGGATATTGCCTTGGAATAAATCAAAGTGTAGAAAGATTTGACAGAATTTCCCATGCATATGCTAGGAAGAAGGAGCTGCTATGCCCTACACCACACTTAAGTGGAAAACACTAACTTTTACAGGTAGATGATAAACATTTTTATCGGCAAATTTGTTAAAAGTTTTTATACATTTTTATGAACTTATGTAACATATATAAGTTTTATATAAGCTTTTACATATGAATGATAACAGTCTTGTCAGAAAAAAGCAGGGCCCAGAAAAGGCTGGAGATAGCAGGTTGCCAGGATCCCATAAGGAAAGTGGGGACCAAACGGCAGCCACAAACATGTTGACATCTGGGCAGGACACTGGGAATGTAGGCCCAATAAAGAGCAAAGGAAGCCACGTGGTGGCGCTGCAGCGCCAGCTGGGCCACATAGGATCCCAATGACCAGCCCAGCCCATCAGGAAGCTGACATGGGACTGTGAAAAAGGACTGGAAAGAAATGGAGAAAATAAAGACAATTGGTTTGGCAGTGTAATAAGATTATCAATCCATTTTTCCCTTTAGAAATTTGTATTGATATCATTGTACAATAAATATTCCAAACATATATTTTAATAGACTTTTAAACAGTGTCATACACTGGTTGATGGGACAGCACAAAACACCATGCATATATTTATGGTATGAATAGAAAGGGGCCCCCAGCAGCAGGGATGTTCCAGGTATTCAGTGACCAGGAAACAGTCGTGTTTTCATTTATCAGCAGTTTTAATATCTCCTGGCTCCCTCCTTTTCCACGGCACAGTGTCAGGGAAAATCACTACTTCACAAACCCTGCATCTCCTTTTGCCATTCACCCAACTGTGCCACAATCTCTGATTTTAATGTAGTCCTTTGTCAAATTCACATAGCTTCCTCTCCTTCCAATTCTTAGGCCAAACTGTGTGGTAGCAAGTTCCTTTCATGTCCTTCCTTTTGTAGAATTCCTTTGGCAAAGTCCAAAGCATATCTCATGGCCATGAGTGTCAAGTGTTGGTTCTTGCTGACTTAAATAGTCCCCTGTCCTTCTCTGAAAATACCTTGACATGAAAATGAAGAAGAATTCAATGAAGTTCGTCCTAGGTTTTATGGTAATAGCATGAACTCTGGGAGAATGGCCATACAGCCAGGACCATCATTGCCTTAGAGCATCTGCTAATATTAAAATTAATAAAATGCATACAAATTATTCATTCAATAAATATTCATTGAGACCTGCCATGGGAACTGAGTAGTGACAGAGCTGGGACCAGGATCCTAGTCTCCTTGCTCAACAGATCCTGCCCTTACCCCAAGGTGCCCTGTGTGAGTACTGACTGTGGGCAAATCTCTCTTCTAAGCCTGGAAGAATAGGAAGGTTTGCACTCTGCAAATTTATAGTCAATTTCACAGCATAAAGTTCCCTGTTATTCTTCAAAAAGGCAGCTTCACAACTCTCCCTGGAGTCTGTACTTCCCAATATGATCACCCCTCAACCCCGTACATGTACCCATACCTCTATTTGCTTTTTATTTCCATATATTTAGCTACAACTAAAAAGCTCTCCTTTTGAGGGAATGTTTTCAGCAATTGTGCTGCCTTCTTTGAACTTGTTTCTCCTAATCCAGCAGCCTGTTTCTCTTCCCCACTGTGAAATTGACTAAAAACAGCAAGAAGCTGACGGGTTTTTATAGAGAGACTGGACATAGCATTAATGTCTGAGATTTTTCCCCCTTTTAATACAAGACATTTTCCAGTGCATCTTTATTATTATTATCATTATTCATCAAAAGCTTTTTTATCCAAAAAGATAATTCAGACCTAGAAACTTTGTTCAACCAATTGTTCTCAAGTGGTGCTCTCCTGGGGAGTGAATTATATCCTAAATATAACAGTAAAACATTTTATTGAAGAATAGAGTAAGTAAAACATATTCTGGTTTTCTTTGCTCATTTGAGTTTATTCAACTCACAGCACTTTTTTTTTTCTTTTGGTGAGAATTTGCAGGCTATTTACCCTGTTTTGCTCAGTGAGAAAGAAAAATACAGGAAGGGCCGCAGAGCTTTAAAAATAGCATCAATGGCAGAAGTAAACACAAACCCAGGGAGTTGTCTTATTCAACTTCATATTCACCATTAAAGAAAAATTATTCATGACACCAGTGAAAGATGATAAGGCAGACTTTTTTCAGGACCATCATGATAGGCGTAGGGACCACTGCAATGGGATATTGCAATAGGGAAGAGAGATTGGGCTCAACTCTGAAGATAGCAAAGAAAAAGTGGGAATGTATACCCAAAGTGGGGGGAAGGTGGTCAGTGGGTGAAAAATTACTAAGAAGAAACAATAGGAGTAAAGAGGTTAACCTAACTGGGTTCTTGCTGAAGGCAGGCCAGGGCGGTCAGACATCACCCAGGAGGATGATGGAGGATAAGGAACCTGGTCAGGTAGTGAGGGTGATCAGATATCGAGGATTAACATTAAACTGACTCGACAGGATTCTTGGTAAAATTAGACAATACAGAGATAAAAAAGGAAGCCCAAAGGTCAGGACCTAATTGAGAAGAGAGTTCAGAGGAGCCTGATTAGAGTTTGGTTAAGGAGAGAATCTTTCACCATCAAGCCAAGCACAATACCCAGCACACAGCAGGCACTCAATAAGTGTTTGCCAAATAAAGAAATGAGTGACTGGATCCTGTGCCCCAGAACCAGCCCTTTCCTTGAAGCATGTCTGGGCAGAGGGTCTTAGTCAACAGCCTTGCTGCATTGTGGCCTTGGCCCACTGAGGAGAGCAGAGGGTGTATTTTAAAACAGAGGTATTTTAAAAAACATCTCACTCCACAACTTGCGCCCACTTCAGAGTCAACCTCAAGAGGACTCTGTCTGCACATGAGATGAGAGTCCTCTAAAAGCTAGGTCCAAAGAAGCTTCCCAGGTCCCCTCTGGAGTTTCAGAGGCCAGGAGTTCACAGCGCTACCACTGGGGTCTGAGATGAAGAATCTTATGAAAACCCCAAAGTCAAGCCATTGACTTTCCCCTGAAACAGGCTCTACCTTTTGTGTTTCCCAATATCAGACACTTGCTTGTGCATCCTAGGGGTACCCCTTCCATCAACACTGAACTTCCCACTGTTCCATGAACACCTCCATGCTTTTGTGAGTGCTGTTTCCTGGGGCTAGAATCTTCTTGCACCAATATATTACTTGGAAAACTACTCATCCTTCAAGAACCTGCTTACAAGTCATCTGCACTGGTAAACACTCCCCACTTACCAGAGTTGGGTGAGCATCCAGAGAACTTTGTTCAGGAGTTCAAATAGCACTTGCAATTTATCTACTAGCTTTTCTGTCACCTTTTGACTGTGACTGCTTCCCTTCAAGTGGTTCTCAAACCTACAGAAACATCAAAATCACCTGGGAGATTGGGTGCGGTGGCTCACACCTATAATCTCAGCACTTTGTGAGGCCAAGGCAAGGGGATCACTTGAGCCCAGGAGTTTGAGACCAGCCTGGACAAATGGTGAGAGCCCCATCTCTACAGAAAATTTAAAAATTATCTAGGTGTGGTGGCATGTACCTGTAGTCCCAGCTACTCTGGAGGCGGAGGCAAGAGGAGTGCTTGAGCCCAGGAGGATGAGGCTGCAGTAAGCCATGATCACACCTGCACTCCAGCCTGAGTGGCAGAGTAGACTCTATCTCTCCAAAACAAAAACAAAAACAAAAACAAACAATCAAACAAAAAAACCCTGGATACTCTTGAAATATAGATGCCTAGGCTTCACATCTGGAGTTTCTGATGCAATAAGTCTAGAGTGGAACCAGGGATACTGAATTTCTAATAGCTCCCAAGATGATTCTGGAAATCAGCCCTGTGTGGGAGTCTCGTCTAGAAAATAGAGACTGTGCTTTGTTCAGGTTGCTCATCCAGCCTGTGGCACAGCATGGGCATGGAGTAGGAGATCTATCTTTGCTTGTTAGGTAGGAGTATAAGTAAGTGGATGGACAGATGTCCGGCAGACGTTGAGGGAAAGAGCTGCATTCTGAATCACTATAAGACTGAGAGGACATGAAAGAGAGATTCTAAATTTAGTTCAGATCCTCTGGGAGTGGGCAGCAGAACTGAACCCCATCCTCTGCTCCAAAGAACCTTGGCTAGTCTAAGGAGCAAACCGTCTGCATTTAATTTCTGGCAGATTCTCTCC
The DNA here is from genome assembly GCF_000001405.40 of Homo sapiens. Lineage (NCBI taxonomy): Eukaryota > Metazoa > Chordata > Mammalia > Primates > Hominidae > Homo > Homo sapiens. The sequence continues at coordinate 155,386,414 of NC_000003.12, forward strand.
TTTCCCTCTGCATTTTTTCCCCATCTCTTCCTGCCTCCTCAAAGGCACTTATAAGTAGCTACCCAGTCTCAGCCAAGTCCCAGATCAGACATCATCAAGTTCTGAGGTACTGCAGGACACAAGCCACAGACTTGAATAATGTGGCCAAACACCCAGGCAAGGGCCTGGAATGTGTCTCATTAATGGAGGTCCAGCTCTCCAAAAGTCCTAATGAGATCTCTGAGCAAATCCTGGGCAGGGAATCCAACCAAACATAAAAGTCAGTTTCAGAAAGGTGAGAAAAACCTTGAGTTGGGATGCATGTGGCTGGCTTCCCACTGCACAGAAAAGAGAATCGACCCTCAACCCTGGAGGCGTTATCTTGGTTGGTGGCAGCAGTGCTTTGCTGGTTCCCCTCCTTGCTCCCCTGCTGTCTGACAGCATTTGGAGCCCCTCTGGTGCTCTCCTTGAGAGCCATTAGAATCCATAATTTAAACACAAGAGCGTTTTTGATAGAAAAAGGAGTAATGCTTGATTTAATTTTATTGCCATCGGTTTCACTGGGAAAAGGGAAGTGGGGAGGGGAGGGGAGGCCGCACTTCTTCCCCACAAGCAATGACATCTGCTGCTGGCGGGGAAAATGCCCAGAGCGGTGCCTTTCCATGCAATTACTCCTGGGCATAAAAAGAAAAACAACCTTCTTTTCCTTCCCAATCTGCCAGTCTCTTCCGAATCTCTGGAAACAAGCTCTCTTCGATTGGGCAATTTGACAGGCTGTCCTGCTACAAACATCAGCTGTCACAGGCATAATGCAACAAGAAGGGAAGGCTCTAGGGCCAAGCAGAAGTAGTCAGGACAGCTCAAATGTAGCCAGCAAAGGGAATCTCCGGGTAAGCATGATGGAGTGCCTCAGATGGGTCTCGAGAGTCTGCCTATATTTCAATGTCTGTTTTCACATGGAGAATTCATGGGTTACACACAAATCTCATCTCCTTGAAAAAACAAGAACAAGAAGGGAGCAAAAAATAGATGGATGCATCTAAACCAATGTCATTGAAATTCTTAATCAAATAAAGTCATAAAAATCACTGTACCGTCCAAAGGTCCCCAGCTCGTACCCTCCCTGACACTCTTTCAATTTAGCCATGAGGAGGGTGTAGGTCTCCTGTAGGGAGAGAGCCAGGTAACTTCTCCCACTGCCTTGCCAAACTGCAGACCCTACAGTGGTCTGGTCAGGGCCACACATCCCGCTGGAAAGTCAATTTGGACTTCACTAAGTACATCATATTCCAAAGTGAAAGGATGAATTGTGGTGTGGCATGAGACAGTGAGCAAGTCCTTCAGTGGTTTGTGCAGACGTATGTACTGAAGGCCACACAAGCTGTCTGCCAGACCCACTTCCTGCTCTGGGATTCCAGCCACACTCACCTGGTTAACTATTTGGTACCACACCACCCTGCTACAGCTGCTTGGACCAGGGAGGCATGCCTGCCTGAAAAATAGCCTAGGAAGAGGCTTGCCTCAAGTAGAGCCGCCAAACAGGCACAATTGTGACCTAATTGAGCTGATCAGATCTCATTGCTTAGATGATTTGAGAGTCCAGCATTAAAAAAAAAAAAATAGCAATTGTTAGAGGAAATAAAAACATCCTCTTTACCAACAGGCAGAAAAAGTTCATATCAAATCACCAGAGTACCAAAAAATTATTTTGTAAAGAATTAATACTTGTTTTATTTTGAAAAGCATTAAAATAATCATCACAGGGAAAAAATTAAAACTTTTTCTAGACATATATTTTTTCTTAATATCTGTTTAATCTCTGCTGCATATTTTTAAATGTTATTTTATTATGGTAAGAAAATGACATGAGATCTACTTTCTTAATTAATGTTTAAGTGTACGATACATTGTCATTTACTTTAGGTACAATGTGGTACACCAGATCTCTAGAGCTTACTCATCTTGCTTAACTGAAACTTTATCGGCATTTATTTTGAAATTCGAGAGAGGGAGGAGAGAGTAGCCTATAGATACTCTGGTCTAAATGTCTTGATCTAAGCCTGAAAAAGTACACAGAGAGGGAGCAAGAATAGAAGCCAGGAGTAGGAGAGAAGGAGAATATTGAGCTACCAGAAGACCAGAGCAGCAGCAGTCAGAAACTCTCTGAGCCTCCATGGTGAGCAGGGAGCAGAGAAAGGGGACTCAGACGCCTGCTTCTGAGACACCTGCCTGAATTCCCGTGGTGCCCCAGAGCTGCTGCTGTGGCTTGGTGGTCTAAGCTTCCCTTACCCCCATGTTGCCTTGCTGCAAACTCCTACTTCCTAAACTTCAGTTTGTCTTTGCTTCTTGAAACCTAAAAAAGCCTAACTAAGGCCTCAATCATACTAGCAAATAAAAGAAATTCATTCAGATATTATTACCAAAGCCAAAGGTCAGGTACTTTAAAGGGAATGGACAGGATATCATGATTTGTGTGGTTCAACTGAGAAGCTTAATCCAACAAGAGCTTCAAGATGGAAGATAGACTTTGCAGAAGAACATGGAGTAAATTCAGAAGACAGACACGAGGATGAACATATGCAAACCATGTCCTAAGCAGGCAACCTCCGGGGAGTTAGGGATGTACAGCCTGCAGAATAGAAAACTCATGAGGCTCATGATAGATGATGTCAAGTGGAAGAAGGGCTGGAATTGTTTCATGTGCCAAAGATAGAAGAATATGGGAGTAAAGGTTTTAGTTCAATGTTAGGAAAAGCTTTCCAAAAATCTGAACTTCATGAGAAGATGGGGTGAGTTGTTTGTCAATGAAAGTGTTCAAGGAGAAACTCAGTTTTTAGACTCTCAATTTAGGTAAGATTCAATTAGAAATATCGCGTTCATTGTGATAAGAAAAGATAATACAAGGTAAAGAACCCTAAAGTTGAAAATTAAGTGAATGCAGCAACAAGTCAAATATATTGAACAAACTTGTAGCTAATCTGAGATTGATAAATGGTAATCTTCAGACTGCTGGGGTGAAAATATTCTTGCCTAGAAATTCTGCATTTATTGGACTTGGGGATATTGTCATTATTCTTTTATTGCCATCGAGGTGGACAATCACTATCTGTCTTTATTTAGCCTTAACAAATCAAATAAGAGAATGTTTTATGCATCAAATTTTTTTTAGTTATCAGTTGATAAAATCAAGGGATAGAATATTAGAAGAAACCCTTGGAAATCTAGGACAATCTGACATGATCGCATGATTATTTTTCTCTTCTTCAGGGAACAAATGAAATTTAATAGACTATAACCATTATTCATAAGTTACAAGAATGTCTATGTGCCTTTTTTTTCCAGAAGATAAATATATTGAGGGAGGAGAAAATGTAATACCTGCCAAATATCTTTCTCAAAGCTCTTTCTTAGAAGACTCTGCTGACTTCCTCTCTATAGTTCTTCTAGAGAAGAGAAATAATCTCATCTCCTATTGACCTGAATGAGCTGAGAGGGTTACTATTAATGGATACAATAGACTTGAAACTTCTGCTCTGAAGGGAGATGTAAAAAATAATCAGCCTACCTCTCTGCAACTACTGTTCCCTGCAGGAACAGCCACTTCATTTCTGCCAAAGATTTGAGGACTACAAGCAAAACCTTTCTACTACATCCCATCACTAAGCAAGTTCTGCCACCTTGGGTTGCAAGACTATTCAGATCTTCTTAAAACCTTACTTTTGGCAGAAAGCTGGAAGGAAAGTAGATAATATAAGAATATTTCTTAGGATTGTTTTTGATAGTGAAGAAAAGGACAACACAATTTTTGGACTTAGAGTCCTAAAATGTCCATCTCATTGCAAGGAAAAAATATCAATAACTTCTAACACTGGTGTCAGGGACATCCCTAATTTTGGAAAAGTCCCATGATACTTTATTTGGTAGGAGACTGGACTAATAATTGCTGTTTCCTTGCATCTCCAAAGCATCACACATGTGCTTATGCAGCTAACTTTATATATAACAGCTGAAATAATATTTCATGCAAATGTTCTAAGTATAGGAAAGGAAATGCAATGAGAACAGCTTCAGCATTTCCAAAGGGAAAATTGATCTTTAGCACTTGATGTGCAATCAAACACTGAAATGATTTTTTTCACTTGATAACTTTCCAGCAGGAATCCTGACATAATGTTTAAGAGCCTCCACTGTTGCTGAATTTTAACCTTCCTTTAAAAATATGAATAGAACTTTGTTTGCTAATTCAAATCTGAAAACAATTTGAAAGGTATTTCATTTGTTTATATGCTCTAGAATTTTAAGCATGTTCAAATTAAGTAAATAGGAAAAAAAATGTATCTAGCTTGTTTGCTTTATTCAGCCATACCCATTATGGTAAAAAAAAACTCTTCAGGAAATTGGCCAGGCGCAGTGGCCCACTCCTGTAATCCCAGCACTTTGGGAGGCTGAGGCGACAGATCACTTGAGGTCAGGAGTTCAAGATCAGCCTGGCCAACATGGTGAAATTCTGTTTCTACTAAAAATACAAAAATTAGCCGGGCATGGTGGTGCATGCCTGTAGTCCCAGCTACTCGGGAGGCTGAGGCAGGAGAATTGAGTGAACCTGGGAGGTGGAGGCTGCAGTGGGCCAAGACTGTACCATTGCACTCCAGCCTAGGCAACAGAGCGAGGCTGTTCCAAAAAAAAAAAAAAAAAAATTCTTAAGGAAAATAATACAAAAAGAAAAACACAGTTTGAAACTAACGTCACAGGGAAGAATGATCTTTAATCCTAAATAAGTTCAGTTTTAAAAGGAAAATAATGAAAACACTAGCTTAAAAGCAAAACAAGATTTAAGAGATAGAAATGCAGTGGGGACTACTCTGCATTAAAAATGACTAGACTATTTCATTTAATGCAAGACAGATGTGATGCTTACGCAAACCATTAGAAGTTGCCTGGAATATATTCAATTCTAAGAAATGCAATAATACATGCTGTGTGATGCATCATGCAAAACTTCTGAAAATAAAATAGGAGAGACAAAACAAATTTGAGTTTTGAAATAAAAGAAAAATGAGATGTAACATCTTTGATAGAAGTGCTTTTAATAATGGCACTTTGAAGTCTGTATTGAAAAGAATGTAAGCAAATCCATGTTCTTTTGGAATGTGTATGCCCATCTAAGAGATCCTAGCAAGCTCACTGTATCCAATGGCACAGAAAGGGTGTCTGTCCCAAAGCCAGGCTGGAGAGGAACAGTGTTTATGACTTCCTATCTTCCAGCCCCATGGAGTTGCCTTGGTGACATTCCTCTCATACTGACCTGCTCTCCCAAAATACAACAAGCCAGATGCCTGTGGGTTTGGGTGTGTCTAATTGAGCCACACTGAGCACCAAATGACCTGGAAATGTCTAATCCTGCTTTTGTCAGAACAAATTACTGGGTTACTCTCGTGTTCCTCTGCAGACTAATTTATGATTCAATACGAAGTCCTGTGCAAAGCTTTGGGCCAAGGCTGCTGCCTACTTCACTCCCTGCATGCAGAGATCTGGACATGCTACTCTGATGTGAAGGGCATCCAGTCTGAAATGGTGGGATTAATAAGAGAACCATCAAATGAAACACTGCAAGAGTCCTGCAATGAGGTGTGCATTTTGTGCCTTTTGTGCCTCAAAAGATTCTTTTCTGGAAAGAGAGCCCTGGTAATTTGCTCTCTACAAATTACCCTCTGCAATATTGCTACTGAGTCCATGTTCCATGCCATGGTGGTGAGCACTAACCTCACAACTCTAATATTTTTTGTATCAAATTATGTTTATTGCATAAACAATTCACTAGGGTACAGGGCTCACAGAAAGAAACTTGAAAATCACATTTGAGCTAAAGATATATTGGTGTCTGCTAGAACAGGCTCAGCCCCTCTAAGCTCCCTCTCAACTCACCACTCTACCACGGGGCCCTGAAAGAGCACAGGATGCTGGTTCTAAGTACTTAGGGAATTTCTCTAGACTGCACTATCAACTGCACTCAAACAGTCTGGAGACTATTGTACTCAACACCCTCCATCTGAAGTCCAAAAGGAAAATAATTACCTAGCAATCAGAGGCAACTGACTCCAAATGTGAAAAGTATGGTAGATTTAATTACATCCAATTTAAGGATTTCTGGCCAGGCACGGTGGCTCACGCCTTTAATTCTAGCATTTTGGGAGGCTGAGGAGGGTGGATCACTTGAGGCGAGGAGTTCCAGACCACCCTGGCCATCATGGTGAAACCCTGTCTCTACTAAAAATACAAAAATTAGCCAGGCATGGTGGCGCACGCCTGTAATCCCAGCTACTCAGAAGGCTGAGGCAGGGGAATGGCTTGAACTCGGGAGGCGGAGGTTGCAGTTAGCCGAGATTGCACCACTGCACTCCAGCCTGGGAGACAGAGCGAGAAAAAAAAAAAAGAAAGAAAGAAAAAGAAAAAAAAATTAAGGATTTATATTTAATAAAGAACACCATGGCAAATTTAATGAATGGAAATGGACTTAGGAAGATATATGCTACATATTAACAAGTGATATTAATCTTAGATATTACTTAATATATACAATGAATAAATCAATAAACAAAAAAATGCTCACATTTTAGCATTATGTTTTGTTGTTTTCCTTTTGGACTTCACATGGAGAGTGTAGAGTATAATATTCTCCAGATTCAGGCTGTCTGTCATCATTAATCTATGCAAAGCCCTTCTCTTGTTTTATTTCTGTATTTTCCTCATCATAACCCACCAACACTCCTACTTCCCATCCGTGGCCCCAAAGGCATTAATTCTAATATAATTAATATATATTTTTATATATTAATATATATTCTTGGATTATATATATATGTCCTGAAAAAGATATGTGAAAGTGATTTCAATTTATATAAATAGCATTGAGCTATATATGTCCTTTAGTTTCCTCCCATTTTATTCAAAACTATATGTAACTATATATCTGTATATATAGATATATATATCTCACTGCATCTACATAGATAAAATATCGTTGCTTCTGACTGCTAGATAGTGTTCCATGACTTGCATCCAGCACTTACTACTAAGTACAGCCATATTGCTCTTCAGGATTGTTCCTTTACAGTCCAGGAGTGATGCAAGAGAATTCCTGTTTGCTCATAATTGGTATTATCCAACTTTCTAACTTTTCCCAATCTCATTGTTGTAAACTGGTGTCTTGTTATTCCTTTCATTTGCATTTCTCCAATTACTGCTGAAATTGGACATCTCTTCACATGTGTGATACCCATTTATATTTCTCCTTCTGTAGATAGCTTATTCATTTCTTGTGACCATTGTCTTTCATTTATTGATTTGTTCATTGTATGTATTCAGTAATATCTAAGATTAATATCACATGTTAATATATAGTATATATCTTCCGAAGTCCATTTCCATTCTGTTAAATTTACCCAAGGTGTTCTTTATTAAATAGAAATCCTTAATTTTGATGTAGTTAAATGTACCATAGTTTTCACATTATTTTTGCACTTTTTGCATTATGCTTAAGATAATCTCCACTACAACATCCCAAGAAATTTTTATTAGAATTATATTAAATTTCTAGATTAACTCAGGTATAATTTTTATCTTTACAACATTCATCCTGTCATGAATATGTTACAGCTCTCCAATTATTCAGGTCTTCTTTTATGTCTTTCATAGGGTTTAAACAATTTTCGTATCATAACAATTTTCCCTATTCTTTGTAGGTTATTCCTATTTTATAATTCTTATTGTAATTATGAATAATGTCTGTTTTCCTATGGCATTTTCTATTAAATTATTGCTATGGCAGACTTTTCAAAGTTTATTTTAACTAGAAAACTTCCAACTCTCTTATTGTATTAAGAGTTTGTTTGTTTATTGTGTTTTCTATGCAGATGATTATTTTATCTGCAAATAATGGCAAGTTTGTTCCTCCTTTGAATCCTTCTATTTCTCATTTCTATTCCTTGTCTTTCTGCACTAGCCAGGACCTTTAGTTCTTTATAGAACAGTAACCAGTGCTGACATGACAAATTCTTGTTTGGTTCCTGATCTAAAGAGAGTGAATTTAGTTTCTCCATCAAATATGATGTTATCTGTAGGGTTTTTGTACATAATATTTATGAAGTTAAGGGAGTTTCCTTCATGTCTTAGTTTACCGAGAAGTGCTTTTCCTAATTAATAGGTATTAAAATTTGTCAAATTCTATCTATTAATGTGAGTTTCAACAGTAGATTTTTCTGATTTTAGAAGTTTTTAAAAATTTTTAATTAAAATTTACTCTTAAGTTTTTTCTGATTTTAAGTTTCTGACTGATTTTAAGTCATGTAATTTCTGGGACAAATGCTACTAGATCATAGTATATATTTACATATATTTTAATTTTACTTTAAGTTCCAGGATACATGTGCAGAACATGAAGGTTTGTTACATAGGTATACATGTGCCATGGTGGTTTGCTGCTCCTATTTACCCATCCTCTAATTTTCCTTCCCTCGACCCCCACTCCCCACAGGCCTGGGTATGTGTTGTTCCCCTCCTTGTGTCCATGTGTTCTCATTGTTCAACTCCCACTTATGAGTGAGAACATGTGGTGTTTGATTTTCTGTTCCTGTGTTAGTTTGCTGAGAATGATGGTCTCCTGCTTCATCCATGTCCCTGCAAAGGGCATGAACTCATCCTTTTTCATGACTGCATAGTATTCCATTGTGTATATGTGCCACATTTTCTTTATCCAGTCTATCATTGATAGGCATTTGGATTCGTTCCAGCCCTATTGTAAATAGTTCTGCAATGAACATATGTGTGCTTGTGTCTTTATAGTAGAATGATTTATATTCCTTTGGATATATACCCAGTAATGGGACTGCTGGGTCAAATGGAATTTCTGGTTCTACATCCTTGAGGAATCACCGTACTGTCTTCCACAATGGTTGAACTAATTTACATTCCCATGAATAGTGTAAAAGTGTTCCTTTTTCTCCACATCCTCTCCAGCATCTATTGTTTCTTGACTTTTTAATAATCACCATTCTGATCAGCATAAGATGGTATCTCATTGTGGTTTTGATTTGCATTTCTCTAATGATCAGTGATGTTGAGCTTTTTTTCATATGTTTGTTGGCTGCATAAATGTCTTCTTTTGAGAAGTGTCTGTTCATATCCTTTGCCCACTTCTTGATGGGGTTGTTTGTTTTTTTCTTGTAAATTTGTTTAAGTTCCTTATAAATTCTGGATATTAGACTTCTGTCAGATGGGTAGATTGCAAAAATTTTCTCCCATTCTGTAGGTTGCCTGTTCACTCTGATGATAGCTTCTTTTGCTGTGCAGAAGTTCTTTGGTTTAATTAGATCCCATTTGTCAATGTTAGCTTTTGTTGCAATTGCTCTGGCATTTTCATCATGAAGTATTTGCCCGTGCCTGATCGTAGTATATTTCTATAATACAGTTGACCCTTGAACAACCTGGGAGTTAGGGGTGCTAACCCTCGTGCAGTTGAAAATCTGCCTACAGGCTGGGTGCGGTGGCTCACGACTGTAATCCCAGCACTTTGGGAGGCCGAGGCAGGCAGATCACGAGATCAGGAGATTGAGACAATCCTGGGTAATGCAGTGAAACCCTGTCTCTACTAAAAAATAGAAAAAATTAGCCAGGCGTGGTGGCACGTACCTGTAGTCCCAGCTACTCGGGAGGCTGAGGCAGGCAGATCACGAGATCAGGAGATTGAGACAATCCTGGCTAATGCAGTGAAACCCTGTCTCTACTAAAAAATAGAAAAAATTAGCCAGGTGTGGTGGCACGTACCTGTAGTCCCAGCTACTCGGGAGGCTGAGGCAGGAGAATTGCTTGAATCTGGGAGGCGGAGGTTGCAGTGAGCCAAGATCGCACCACTGCACTCTAGCCTGGGTGACAGAGCAAGAATCCATCTCAAAAAAAAAAAAAAAAGAAAATCTGCATATAACTTTTGACTCCCCAAAATCTTAACTACTAATAGCCTACTATTGACCAAAAGCCTTGCAAATAACATAAAAAGTTGATTAACACATGTTTGATATGTTATATGTATTATATATTGCATTGTTACAATAAAGTAAGCCAGGGAAAATAAAATGTTATTAAGAAAATCATAAGGAAGAAAAAAGATTTATTATTCATTAAGCGAAAGTGGATCATCATAAAGGTCATCGCCTTTGTTGTCTTCGTGCTGAGTAGACTGAGAAGGAGGAAGAGGAGGGATTGGTCTTGCTGTCTCAATGGTGGCAGAGGCAGAAGAAAATCTGCATATAAATGGACCCACTTGATTCAAATGTGTTGTTCAAGGGTCAGCTGTATATTGGTTGGCTCTCATTATCTAATATTTTACGTAAGAATCTTCTCTGTCATAAATAAAATGAACTTAAAATTTTCTTTTGTTGTACTGACTTGGTTTTACAAATCAAGGTTATACTAGCCTCAGAAATGACTAGAATTGCTTTTATTCTTTTCTATTTTCCGAAGCAATTTACTTGGATAAAAATTTCTAATTAATAAATTAAATAATTTGCTTCCTGAAATTCTATGAGAACCCATCCTCCAAAACCATCTAGATTGAAACTTTTCCTATGAAATTAGGATAATTTCTATTTCAATCTTTTTCATATTAGTGGCTATTAATCCATTTGGAGTTTCTATTTTTAAATCTGAGATTAATGGTTGCTTATAATTTTACTATTTTATGCCAGACATGGTGGCTCATGCCTGTAATCCCAACAGTTTGGGAGACCCAGGAGGGTGGATCACCTGAGGTCAGGAGTTCGAGACCAGCCTGGCCAACATGGTGAAACCCCATCTCTACTAAAGATACAAAAAAATTAGCTGGGCGTGGGGGCGCATGCCTGTAATCCCTGCTACTCAGGAGGCTGAGGCAGGAGAATCACTTGAACCTGGGAGACAGAGGTTGCAGTGAGCTGAGCTCGCGCCACTGCAATCCAGCCTGGGTGACAGAATGAGATTCTGCTTCCAAAAAAAAAAAAAAAGTTGCTATTTTAAAATTTCTTTTACTTCTGATCATTTCCCCTTTCACTGAATGTTTTATTTGCATATTCTCTTTTATCTTTGATTAATCTTGTCAAAGATTTGTCTAATATTAATAATTATTTTAAAAACCATTTTTTGGAAGTTTTCAATTTGATCTCTATTTTAGTATTTATTATTTATTTTCTTCATTTTTCTTTCTTATTTGTTTTTTTTCTATCTTGTAAAATAGAATATTTATTTTCTATTCTATAGATCAAAGCTGTACATTTTCATCTGCATATTGATTTAGTTCTGTCCAATAAATCTTGACCTTTACGACCTTCATCTATTTTTAGTTTTCTTTCTGCATAGTTTTGTTTTAAATATTTCTGTCATAGAAACATATTTCTCTAATCTGAGAGTTTCTTTTGACTGGTGCAGCCTGGTTACATTTATTGTAATTACAACAGAATTTACTTAATCCTATTTTAAGATTTATTTAATCTTATTTTATGTTTTCAATGTATCATATATTTTTGGAGGTTTTATACTCCATTGCTAATTTTCATTGAATAAATCAATATATTTTTCTGATGGTTTGAAAGTTACACATTGCGGGTCAAGCGTGGGGGCTCACGCCTGTAATCCCACCACTTTCAGATACTGAGGCAGGTGGATTGCTTGATTGCCCCACTGCACTCCAGCCTGAGTGACAGAGTGAGACTTTGTCTCAAAAAGAAAAAAAAAAAAGAAAAAGAAAAGAAAAGAAAGTTACACATTCTGGAGTTAACAGCTGTACTGGTGTCTCTTTGATTTCATCATTTTCTGACTGTAGTAGAAGCCAGTTCCTAGCTAACTCAGCTCTGTCATATGGTTCTAGGAAGTTTTTCCTGAAAGTTCAACTTTGAAGCTGTTTCAGCAACCTTCCCAATAACTGAGCAACCTATAGCCCTTAAAAATCCCTTTTTATTTAAACTAGCTTGAGTGGACTCTGTTATGCAACCAAAGTCTTTACTTGGTCAGAAAGATAGTTTTCATCTCAATTCCTTTAATGAATATTCATCCATTTGGGATTTCTGTGTTTAAATACAAGTGATATTTGCTTATAATTTTATTCTTTTAAAATCTCTTCTATTTATAATTATTCTTTTCATAGTATATTTTGTTTATTTACATGTTCTCTTTTATTTTTGGTAAGTCTTGTCGAAGACTTGTCTAATCAGCATCCTAACAAGTATCTTAGCATGTTCTCATATCCTTCTGATATCTTTATTACTATCTTGTAAATATATTACTATCATCAATAGCTTTAGTTCTATTTTTTTTTTTTTTTTTTTTCTGAGATGGAGTTTCACTTTGTTGTCCAGGCTGGAGTGCAGTGGCACAATCTCAGCTCCCTGCAACCTCTGCCTCCTGGATTCAAGTGATTCTCCCACCTCAGCCTCCCAAGTAGCTGGGATTACAGGCACCTATTCCCAGCTAATTTCTATATTTTTAGTAGAGATGGGGTTTTACCATGTTGGCCAGGCTGGTATCCAACTCCTGATCACAGGTGATCGATCCATCCACCTTGGCCTCCCAAAGTGCTGGGATTACAGACATGAGCCACAGCACCCGGCCTAGTTCTAAATTTGTAATGGTTTTTTTTTCCTTATATGTTATTTATCTGCTACCACAACAATCTAAGTAATAAACACACAAAAAATCTCAGTGCCATACAAAAATAAACATTCAGTTTTGCTCACAAGTCTATGAAGTTAGCTGAGCAGATCTACTGATCTGACCTGGGATGGGTAAGGCACACTCATTCATCTGAGATTAGCTACAGGTCAGCTAGAAGTCTTCCAATATCTTGACTGCCTCCTTTACATGTTTGGAGCCTACCTGGGACAACTGGGCTGACTCAGCTCTGCCTGACATGATCTATAGTCTTCCAATACACTACAGTGGACTTGTTTTTGTGGTGGTAGAGAGGGTGCAGAGGTATTCAGGCCCCCTGAAGCTTTGGCTTAGAACTGGCATACCATCACTTTTTGCCACATTCTAATGGTCAAAGCAAGTCACAAAGCCAACCCAGATTCAAAGGGTGAGAAAGTAGACCCTACTTCTTGATTAGAGGAACTGCAAAGTCACATTGCAAAAGCCACAGACACAGAGAGGGGTGGGAAGTCAGGGTTACCCTTACAATCACTCCATTGTTTCAGTTATCTACTGCTTTGTAACAAAGCACCCCAAAATATAGCAGCCTAGGATAAAACCTTATTATTATCTCTTATGATTCTACATTATGGCCAGATTTAGATAAGCAGTTCTCACTTGGGTCTTTAATTCAGTTGCAGCCAGATGATGGCTGGGGCTGAAGTCATCAGAAGGCTCAATGCAACAGAGCATCCACGACAGTTCCCTTAGCCACATGTCTGGTGGCCTCAGCTGAGATGACTGAAATATCTGGGGACTGGCTTCCACGTGGCCTGTCCACGTTGCTAGTTTGGACAGTTTCAGCATAACAGTCTCAGGATATTCAAAATTCTTACATGGCTGCTTGTTTTCACCACAGTAAGCATTCCAAGATCCCAGCCCCAAAAGTCACACAGTGTCTCTTCTGCCACACTCTACTGCTTACACAGGGCCAGCACTGATTCAATAGAAAAGACTGCATGAAGCTTTGGACACTGGAAGGTATTCGTGGGCATCATACATAGGTATGTGTGTAATATCATGTGTGTGTGATACCATCTTCAGCTTAGGTTCTGAATTTGTAGTTAATTTTTATTCTTTCCGATATAAATAAATATATGTGTACATGATGCTGTTTTGTAGACAATATATTTTACTTATTTCCTATATCTACTGAAGTATTGAGTTTACTTTCCTTCTTGTCAGACTATGTATTTCTTTAAACAGTTCTCAAAGTGGATGTTTTTGAGGCTTTGCATGACTAAGAATATCGTTATTTCTTACTCACATTTAATTTTTTGAAGTTCCCTTTCTTCAATACTTTGCATCCAGTGTTGCTATTGAAACACTTCTCTAAGTGATTATACTAAGTTTTCCTTATTATATACTTTATCCACTCCCTTCTAATGCACACCCTCAAGTGATGTCACCCCTCAAGGAACCTATATTTCCTGCGCAGGCTCTCTTCTTTTCCAACAGCTGCCTCAGTGATAACCCAGTTCTTGAAGTGGACAATGGAGAAAGGAGGCAGCATCCAGGCTCCAGCTCAAGGCTGCACCTGCTTTTATCCACCCCTACTCATGCCCAGACCACAAGCTTCATAGTATCCTGCAGTCTCCAGTTAAGAGCTGGCCCTGCCACTGTCCTCGTCACAGTGGCTGTGGGAAAGGCAATGTCTCACTCAGGGAAAGATGGGGCACAACAAGAACACCTCCCAGGCTGCTTCCATTCCAAGCTACCTTCAGTATCAACCTCCATCATTTACCCTCTCCCCACATCTATCATTTACCTTCTCCCCACAACCATCACCTCCACCTCCTCAGGCTGTTCTCACAATGTCGGTTCTGATATATGACATCACTCCTCTTGGCTCCAGGTCATCCTCAGAGCAGAGATCATGTTATTTTGCCATCTGATCAGAAACTACATGTCCCATGACCCAGAGTCTTCAATTCATTTTAAGATAACACAATATCGTATTAAAATGTAGGGTTGAAATTAGAACATGCCAAACTTAAGAACATATTTGAAATGAGTTTTGTTTTCAGTAAACTCTAAAAATTTTCATTAGATGTTTTACTTTATATAATTACCTAGTTTTAAAAACTGAAGTAAAATGAATAAAGCAGCATTTGTTATACATGATAATTTTCTAAGATTGTTTAATCAATAAAGAATAAAAAAGTACCATTACAAATGTATTGATCTTGGTAAAACAGAAGAACACAAATGTCTTGTTATAAACTGTTGGATGCATTCCCTTGTTTCCCTTGTTCCAGAACATTTGGCATTCTTTGTCAACTAGTACATAAAAGAATAGAAAAGCAAATGTCTCTCATATTTCCTTTACACTACTATATTAATAAATCAGAAAGATAGTCCACTAGAAAGAATAAATGGCTTCAATTATAAGCCATATATAAGTAATGGATCTGGCCATGCATGAGAAAACAGTTTTTCCTTTTATACTCACGCCATTCTCAATATCTCACTTCTGACACCAGATCTATGGTGTTTTTCCCACTTGATCTATTATCCAACACCAGCTGGGTGTTTAACAATTCAATTCCCATTCTGACACTATCTCAAGTTAGTGCAGAACTCACAGGTTAAGGACCTCCCACAAGACTCTACCCCTACTGCAGATGCCAATGATAAGTAGTAGGTTTCCTGATTACCCACAACTCCTGTACAACTTGGCTACAAACTGGAAGTTCTGAGACCTCCTTGGGCTCGATAGTTTGCTAGAGCAACTCACAGAACACAGAGAAACACTTGTGTTTCCTGGCTTATTATATAATAATGGATATGATAAAGAATACAGATAAACAGCCAGATGAAGGTTCTTGGGGCAAGGTCTGCAGGGTCCCAAGCACAGCAGCTTCTATTGCCATGGAGTAGGGGTATGCCACCTTCTGGCATATGGATGTGTTCACCACCCTAAGAATTCCTCAAACCCTGTCATTTGGGGATTTTGAAGGGGCTTCATCATGTAGACATGATCAATTATTAACTAAATCTTCAACTCCTCTTACCTCTTCAGAGTAGGGGGTTGGGGTTGAAAGTTCCAGGCTTCTAATTATGGCTTGGTCTTTCTGGTGACTAGTCCCCATGCAGGAGCCCACCAAAAGTGGCTCTCATCACCCTGAAAATTCCAAGGTATTTAGGAGCTCCGTATCACGAATTGGGTAAAAGGCAAAAAAATGAGAACAAAAGATGCACCTAGCATCCCTATCACTCAGGAAATAACCAATGTTTAGGAGCTCTGGCCAGGAGCGGAGAACAAGACCAATATACACATATGTCTTATTACATCAAAAAATCACAGGCTAAAAGCAAAGTTTTCTTGTTTTGTTCAACCTATGTCAATCTTTGAAGTCACTCACAGTTGAACATTTTAATTTTCTTGTTTCAAGTGCTATCTATAAATTTTATTATTTTCAATATTGAATATTTCTATTTGTTAAATTCACTCAAATCACAGCCCTCTTGCTGTTCAGGGTTTTTTTGTTTTGTTATTGTTCTTTCTTTTCATGTAATAAATGATTTGTTAAGGTCATCATTTTTGCTTGTGACTTTATTTTGAAACCTTTTTTGCAGTTGAAAGTACATATTTTTGGCTGATATTGAATTGGGAGCACACAAACCAAGCACAACATTATGGTCTTTCTCTCCATATTCTTAAATATAAGAATGTATATAAATATTTATATCTTTGTGTTCTAAGAGTTTGGCATGTATAGCAGTACTTTTGCCATCTGTTTATTTTGGATGTTATTGACATGAATCTACAGTAAAAAATTCACCAATGGAATCTCTTCTATTAGTACATTTTTCAACTGAAATACCATACATATACTTGAAGAACATTCTTGAACTGCTACATTTGAAATACTTTCTTTCCACCTTACCTGAACTTTTAGAAAAATTTCTTTCTTTTTTTCTTTTTCTTTTCTTTTTTTTTTTTTTTTTTTTTTTTTTTTTGAGAGAGAGTCTCATTCTGTCGCCCAGTCTGGAGTGCAGTGGCGTGATCTCAGCTCACTGCAACCTCTGCCTCAGCCTCCCAAGCAGTTGGGATTACAGGCGCCCGCTACCAAGCCCGGCTAATTTTTTTGTATTTTTAGTAGAGACGGGGTTTCACCATGTGGGCCAGGCTGGCCTTGAACTCCTGACCTTAGGTAATCCACCCACCTCAGCCTCCCAAGATTACAGGTGTGAGCCACTGTGCCCAGCCTAAGAATTTCTTAAGCATGGGTTTTGAAGGAGACCTTCAAAAGCAATAGCGTAGTTCATGACTATTGCATTCCTTCAATTTTTTTTTTTTTTTTTTTTTTGAGACAGGGTCTCTCTCTGTTGCCCAGGCTGGAGTGCAGTGGTGCGATCTTGGTTCACTGCAACCTCTGCCTCCTGGGTTCAAGCAATTCTCCTACCTCAGTCTCCTGACTAGCTGGGACTACAGGCGCCCCACCATGCCCAGCTAATTTTTTGTGTTTTAAGCAGAGATGGCATTTTGTCATGTTGGCCAAGCTGGTCTTGAACTCCCAGCATCAAGTGATCCACCCACCTCAGCCTCCTAAAGTGCTAGGGTTAGAGGTGTAAGCCACCATGCCTGGCCTGTATTCCTTCGATTTTTGAATTATTTTCTTGTTTGATTTGAAAACTTTGGGTGGATTGAGAGATTCTTTTTTTGTTCAAACCAAAATACAACACTTATTTCTAAAACAAAGCAGCATTGGCACATTGAGGTTCGGAGGCTGATCCTTAGATGCAGTTACTGTAAGTCAAATAGCAATTTCATTATCAAATTCTGCAGAATTGATACTTTTTCTGGGGTAGGTCTGCCTTGGCACTGAAAATGCTAAAAACAATTGTAGACGTTGTTTTTGAAATTTTGTTTGTTTGTCTTATTTTGTTTTTAAGAAAAATCTGAAAGTCATTTTTCTCAAAGGGCCCCAAATGCCTCCTAAAAACACAATTCCTCTAGCAGAGGCCTGACTCTGCTGAATGATAACAGCCCTCTGCCCATTCATCATACAGACCTGAAATAAGGGGAGTCCACTTCTCACTTGGGCAAATGAGGGGAGTCCACTCCTCACCAGGGCAACAGCCAGGCCCTCTGGTGCTAAGAAAGGCAGGATGCAGAGAGCAAGAAGGAAGAAAGTGGGCCCAGCCCCTGCACTCTGAGCCTGCCCAGCCCTTGTGGTAGGTGTTGCTTTATTTGAATGGTTTTTGGTTCCAGAGCCCACTTTTACTCTTAGCTTCCTGCTTGCTACCTTCCTGGCTTCAGCTATGCCCACTCCATTTTCATACTCCATCTTAGTACCTCGAAGAATCAGCCATGTTCAATACCCCAGGCCTGTGCCCTGCCCTAGAGGGAAGGAGACACTTAACGAACTGTGAAGTATAGCCATCATGTTCTCATGAACCTTTTTTGGTAGCTGAGCATGAAAATGCCTCACCATTTGGTGGGAAGACTGAAGAGAGGCAAATTCATTCCTACAAAGAATATGACCTGGCTAAGGTCCAAGATGCTATGGCCATTAAGTTAAATGAGAGGTGGGGAGTAACCATCTGTTAGCTGTGCAAAGTAAATAAAAAGCAGACATCTGGGGAGACAGGTGATAGGGTGGAAATGAAGGTGAACTGAAATGCAGGAGGGTTATGTGTAGCCTTAGCTTTGCTGACCATAGTATCAGTGTGACTTTGGGGAAGGTCACTAAACCTCACAGGACCTTAGTTTCCTCAGCAGCACATCAAGAGCATGGAACTGGACGACTATCAAGGTAGTTACAAACCCAAAAGATTTTTCTTGACCCCAGTCGACCTGTCCAGCTAATGTGGACACACATTAAGTACAGCCTTTGCTCATAATAGGGATTCAATATGCTAAACTGAAGGTCCAAGGGCAATCTAATTAAGCAGACAGTGGGCTGTGGCTATTTCTGATGCCTACAACGCCCTTCAAAACTGTCCTTTGGTCTACTCAGCCTTGCCCTTAGCTATCAGTGTGTTAGCATCCTTTGCTGACTTACAGAGAACAACAGCTACACAAGTGTTAAAATTCCTTGTCACCCTTGCCGGATAATATTCTTACTGAGGAGTCAACATATTCTGTGCTACGTCCAGAAAGTTTTTTGTTTCATTTGGTGTATTTGTAAGCTCAAATGAAGTCCTTTGTCCTCAAAAGTATTTCTTATAAATTTTGGTAATGAATTCAGATGGTGGCCAAGGGGCAAAGAAGAGTCATATCTTAAAACTGAATGGTGATAAGCACCTCAATCCTCACTTCAGATGAAAAGGTCAAAAGTTTTCTCTCAACAATTCCTGCAGTACTTTCATTAGTGTGAACACTTACACAAACAAAAATTATTTTCTCTCAAATAAAAAGGTATTAAGTATCATAAATTCATGTCTCTTCTTAATAAGTTATTCACTGAGGATTCACTCACCGAAAAAGAAAACTGCTATTAATTTATAAGGCAAAGAATATTACTTTGACCCAAGTTATGGGCTCCGAAACTGAATACACATCACAAATGTGAAAATAAGTAATTGAAAATCTAAGCTGTTGGAATCCTAAATTATTCTGAGCCTTAAAGAGTGTGATTATGGGACCTAGGTCATGTGACAAGCAGCTGTAACCTAGGCAGCTATAATCAAGGTGCTATAACTTTTGTTTCTCTGATTACATATTAGCTTTCCTCCTTACCTACATTATTTTGTAAAATGTTGCAAATGACTAAAGGGTACCAGGAAAAACCCCTACCCTCTTCACCGTTAATCTTCATCATAGATTAACTTCCCTCTTTCCTTTCTTACACGAAGGCTTCATGGCTACCATATTGTCTTAAGATGAAATGTTAAATACACTTTTTCTAATTAAAAAGGAAATGAAAACAAGCTATACAGAAAAGAAAGGCCATATGGAAAAGAGAACAAAATGTAACTAATTAAATTGTTGTAACTTGTAAAACCAGCCTCACATAGAAAATGTTATAATCTCACTAAACTTCTTTGTTTTCTGCTTGTATAAGTAAGAAGTTAACTTTGGAGCACTGACCCCATTTTTCTGGAGTCTTTGCCTCCCAGATGACCATTCCCAGCTTTTCACTTGAATAAACTCTTTAAACTAGATTCTGATCCTTTCAGTTATTTCAGGTGGACAGAAAAAAATAAAATATTGAATTGGATTACAATAACAGCTCCTCTCATTTTCTATTGACCTAAATGGCTGATGCTGTGGAAACAGTGTGATTTCTATTCTATATTAATAAGTCAATAGCTTGAAGTGACATTAAAAGTAAAAGCATTTGTTTTGTTAATTTATTTTACTACAAAAAACACTGAACAAAATCAAAATAAAAGAAGAACATCCTATGAAGTGAAATTGCCTCTGTTTGCTGATGACATGATCTTATATATAGAAAATCCTAAAGACTCTTAAAAAAAAAACCTATTACAACTGATCATGAATTCAGTGAAGTTGCAGGATACAAAATCAACTTAGAAAAATCAGTACCATTTCTATATACTATCTGAAAAAGAAATTGAGAAAGCAATCCCATTTACAACAGCAACAAAAAATAAAATACTTAGAAGTAAATTTAACCAAGGGAGTGAAAGACCTGTATAATGAAAACTATAAAACATTGTTGAAAGAAAGTAAAGATGGAATAAATACATAGAAAGATATCCCATGTTCATAAATTGGAAGAATTAATATTTTTAAAATGTCCATATTGCCTCAAGTGATCTACAAATCCAATGCAATCCCTATCAAAACTCCAATGTCATTCTTCACAGAAATAAAAAACATAATTCTAAAACTTGTATGAAATCACACAAAAAAACTTAGCCAAAACAATCTTGACCAAAAAGAACAAAACTAGAGGCTTTACAGTACTGGATTTCAAAATACATTACAAAACTATAGTAATCAAAACATAGTGGTACTGACATAAAAACAGACACATTAACCAATGGAATAGGATAGAGATTCCAAAATAAACCCACAAACCTATATTCAGTTAGTATTCAACAAAGGTGCCAAGAACACACAATGAGGAAATGATCAACACCTCCAATCATCAGAAAAATGTATATTAAAATTACAATGAGATGTCACCTCACATGTGTTAGATAGGCTATTATAAAAAAGATGAAAGATAACACATGTTGGTGAGTATGTGGAGAAAAGATAAACCTTATACACAGTTCATATTGTTCATTAGTACAGCCATTTTGGAAAATAATATGAAGGTTTCTCAAAAATTAATAATAGAAGTACTGTATGATCCAGCCATCCTGTTAGTAGCATTGCTTTTTCCTTTTTTCTTTGTCTTCTCTCTGGTTATTGAATGTTCGGTTTAATTGAGACTTTTCCAATATGTATGAATCAGCACCAGTTCATGTGCTATTTTAAATACACTGGAATAATGGCATGCAGTGCTAGGTGCACTATAGTTAGCACACAATACATGGTTAAGTAAGAGTGAATCAGCTTTTGACAGTTATAGAGGAATTTTTACAGTCATGCCAGTAATATATAAATAATGAAAAAAATACTAAAAGTGAAAAAATAAGAAATAAAGAAGGAAATCAATATTGATTTAGGCTTTGTGGCTGGTGTTGTACTAGGCCTTTTCATCTGTAATGACTTCAATTTAGACTTACAACAGCCCTGTGAGGTAGGCAGGCTACTGTAAAGCTTTTAGAGATGAAGAAATGCACACTCAGAAAGGCCAAATCACTTGCCTAAAGTTGCACATTTTATAAGTAACAGAATCAGAATCTCAACCCAAGCCCCATTAACTCCAGAGGCCAAACTGTAAACAATAAGTAACTGAATAGACAAATTGGAAAATTATTTTGAAGGCACAGGCATTTAAAGAATTTCAATAAGGTCAAAACCACACAATTGATTACAATATATTTTATATTATTCTGACATATCTGTGCAATAAATATTTAAATGGAGACAATAAACAGAACTTTGGATTTTGGTTTAAATTAGAAGAATGTACCCATATTTCCTCCAGGCCCAGCTGAAACCTCCTCCCTTAGTCAAGCAATGAGTGCAGACCTGGTAGTCTATTCAGAGAGGTTACTCAATCCTGTCTGGATTGAATAATGAGAATTGAGGCCGATAGATTACAAAAGCACACAGCCAAGTCATCACTATAACAGGCGTACTTTATGATTTTGAGAAATATACTAAACATTTGGGCTGTTCAAGGCCTACTCCTCTTTCATCGTGCTTCTAAGTAAGTCAGAAATACTGGTCCTAGAGTATCTCCTTCCCAGAGGATTCCTTGGGTTGAAGACCAGGTGTATTCATCTGCTTGAGCTGCTATAACACAATACCTTAGACTGGGGTGACTTAAACCACAGACATTTATTTCTCATAGTTTAGAGGCTGGGAAGCCCAAGATGAAGGTGATTGTCAATTCAGTTCTTGGTGAGAGCTCCCTTCCTCACTTGCAGATGGCCACCTTCTCACTGTGTCCACACAGGGCACACAGAGAACGATATCTCTCTATTTCTCTTCCTATAAAGTGACTAATCTCATCATGACGGCCCCACTCTCATGACTTTGGGAGGTAATCTAACCCTCATTACCTCCCAAAGGCCCCGTTTCTAAATACCAACACATTGGGGTTGAGGGCTTCAAGATATGAATTTGGGAGAGGACACAATTTAGTCCATAATACCAGGTGATGCTAAAATCTTGGGGGACTTACAAATTTTTCCTTTCTCAAATTATCCTATCTCATGATTCTTGCTTATTTTCACCTTTTCTTTCAATGTAAGTGAGGTACTGCTTTTAATTAGGCTTCACTAAGAGGCAGGATCTCATAACTTCTCAAATCATGTACTTCAATCAATTCAGAGATCAGGGAAAATATCAGTGGCCCAGAGCAGGTAATTTATCATATTCTATATAGTTGAGATTTAAGTTGACTGTCTGTCAAGGGGTGTGTGCAATCCCTGTGAGAAATTCAGGTTTATGAGAAACCTTGCTTTTAAATAATGAAGTGGATGTGAGAACTGAGCTTTTATATCTCATTGCTGGAGCTGATGATGAGTGTGGTGGAGCAGCTCAGGAGCTGTTGCTGCTGTACAATGCGGTGCAGTGGACAGCACCTAGGTTCCAGCCGCACTTCTGCAACATATTAGCTGTGTGACCTCAGGCAAGTCACTTCACTCTCCTGAGTCTGTTTCCTTTGCAAATAGCAATGATGATAAAAGAGACAAATACAAATACTGCAGGTGTGGAACAGATAACACCTAATCATTTTAAGGTGCTGTTACTGCAATGATCACACCTGACACTCACTATCTGGAAATAGTTTAAGGCCTTGGTTTCCCAGGTACCCTAAAATTGGCATTCCAGAGCTGTTTGGTAGGAGCATCAATATTTTCCCCTTGCTTTGTGCCTGTGGCCCTAGGCTCCCTTAAGATCCTAAATATGATGACCTAAGATAAGAATGTCCCTATAACAGAGCACTTCTCTAAACTCAGTCATGTCTGACATGTCACTTTGCAGACTCTGTTATCAGGGGACTTGTTTAGCCTTTTTATCTTCAAAGCAAAATGTTCTTAAAGGGTTTACTCTTTAATGGTAGCAAAACAAACCACTCTTCAGCCTCTTCTAAATGGTGAGGGTATCTGGTCAGATGTAAAGAGAGGGAAAGATTAATTTAAAGAGAACCCTTCCCTTCTGACTCTAGCTGCCTTGTGTCTTAATCAGGGTCACTCGAGCAATCAGTCCACAAAAAATGGAATAACCTGTCTTAGAAAATTTGTTTCTAACAGAAAGCCAGCTACTACCAGTTTAGAGAAATTAGCTGAAGTGAGAGGTAAACTCTATGAATATGCAGGATAGAAAATGATTGAAATGAAACCTATGATGTTGGCCAAATCTGCAGACAACTTGCCTGTGCTCAGGAGACACTGCACTACCTATAGGGCAGGCCTAGAGGAAAGGCCGGTAGGAAGTGGAGAGGCACTGCTGGGGGGCAGGGAGACATGACATCTCAGGATGTGGAAATGGAAAGGGAAGGCAAACTCTCACTATGGATAAGCGGAGCATCTGGTTCAGAAACAAAATATACAAACAAATCTTAAGAATGGTCTGAGAAAGTGATCAAGCAGTTAGAGCTCCAGAAAGAGATTCCACTAAACAGCTAAGATTATTCCAGGACTGCAGAGTCGGCCTCCAGCCCTGCTCAGTGGCCTTCTACACAGAAAATGGCATATTGTCATGGATTGAATTGTGTCTCTCCCAAATTCCTATGCTGAAGTTTTAACCCCTAGTACCTTAGGATGTGATTATTTTTGGAGATAGCGTCTTTAAAGAGGTAATTAAGGTGAAGTGAGGTCATAAGTGTGGGAACCTAATCCAATATGACTGGTGTTTTTTAGAAGCCAAGGAAAAGACACCAGAGATCTGCACAGGCAGGAAAAAGACCATGTGAGAATATAGTGAGAAGGCAGCCATCTGCAAACCAGGGAGAGGCCTCAGGAGAATCCAGACCTGCTGACACCCTGATCTTGGACTTCTAGTCTCCAGAACTGTGAAAAATAAATTTCTGTTGTTTGAGCCACCCAGTCTGTGGGATTTTGCTATGGCAGCCCTAACAGACTAATGTATATATGCAGTGGGAACTAATCCCAAATCAAAAAGATCATGCATACAAGAAATAGTTAATATTTTATTTTTCTACAGCTCTATTACAAGTAATTTCAGAACCTCAAACTGCTACCTTCCCTACCACAGGCAGTGTACGATTTAATGTCAGTCTACCCTGGATTCCCTCATTACCTAGGCATGGGGAAGGGAGAGCTCCCTATCTGTCTCTTGGGCATTATGGAGCAATGTTTGTCCTTCAGATGGGTCCTTAAGTTTGGGAATCTCTGTGATGCTGCAATAGTCCTATTGGCCTAGATTTACCATTACGTGGTTTTATTTTCTGTGGTCATGTTGGGGCTCAGAAACCGATACTCCATAACATATGGCACAGCAACATGCCACACTGAACAAGAAGCCTCAAGGTCTCTCTGAATTCCCCACAACCACTACTATCTATACACTTTTCCTAAGAAGTTGAAGTTCTTTTATAGGCCTAATGTCCAGACCCACCAACGAGAACAGTTGTTTTTTCTTCCCTTCCCTATAAGACCAAGAATGTAACCACACCTGAATAGATCCTTTCACTGTCAAAGACAACTATTACAAGTTAATCTCCATTCCTAGATCTACTCATTCACGCTAATAATCCCCTCAGAATAATTCCTCTTTCTCCCCTTCTATAACCTGTTTTGCCAGGATGGTGTATAAACTTCCGTCCCTCACTGGGAGGTTGTATTCTTTCTGAAGGATCCTATGTATACACGTTAAATAAATTTGTATACCTTTTCTCCTATTAATCTGCATCTTGTCTGTGATTTTTCAGCAAACTTTCAGAGGGCCAAGGGGAAAGTTATCCCTTGACCCACACTGTCACACCATCTTCCCTTAACACTGCAGGAAAAAAGGCCTGGGACTCTACTGCTTACGTAGGATTTCAGGATACTCTCCACAGTATAGTAGGAAACTCAGCCATGGGCTTATCATCCTTTCATACCCTAATTATAACTGCAGGCTGGAGTGTCAAGCATGGCTACTTAAAATAAGGGCAATGACTGACTATACTGCCATTGTCCGATGGGTTCTTCCTGACTGCTGCACAGACAAAATCAATCCACTGAGACCACAGCATTGCAGAGGAGGAAGAGATTAACTGACAGGAGGTCAGCCCACTCAGGAGAGCTGAAGCTATTCCTCAAATCAGTCTCCCTAAGGGCAGCTGACTCGGGTTTTTGTGGGCAGTTTGGTAGGTAGAGGGCTAGGGAGTGGGTGCTGCTGATTGGTTGGAGATAAAATCACAGGGGTGTGGAAAATGATCCTCATGCTCTTTGTCTGCCTCTAGGTGGGGCCACAGGACCCGTTGAGTCAGGAGTCAGGAGTCCACGTGGAGTCAGTCTGAGAAACATCTCAAAAAAACAATCTTAGGTTTTATAATAGTGATGCTATCTATAGGAGCAATTGGGAAGGTCACAAATCTTGTGACCTCTGGCCACAGGACCCCTGAACAGTAAGGAATTATAGAAACTATGCTTACATCTTAGCAGAGTTTAGACCCCTCTCATAATCCTATTCTTGTGGTCTTTCATTAGTCTAATAAAGGTAATTTTTGGTCCCTAGGCGAGAAGGGGTTTAGTTTTAGGGAGAGACTATTATCATCCTTGCTTTTACGTTAGAGTGTAAATTAAATTCCTCCTAAAGTTAGCTTGGCCTATGCCCAGGAATGACCAAGGATAGCCTGGAGGTCAGAAGCAAGATGAAGTCAACTAACATTTCTCTTACTGTCATAATTTTGCAAAGGCAGTTTCTATACATATGCGCTTGCACATACACACACACACACACACACACACACACACACACACACACAAAATGGTAACTATGTAGAGAAAATGGATATGTTAATTTAGCTTGACTGTGTATGTCAAAACATCAAGTTGTACCCCATAAATGCATATCATGTTTATATGTCAATCAATAATAAAAATAAATAATAATAAATATAATAGTAATAATAAATAAAATTCTAAGCCCCTCAACTGACAAAATGGACTCCCTCTTAGCCAAGGGGTCTCCAGAGAAACCTTGAAAACTAAGTTCTCAGCAATGACAGAATGGGAGGTTAGATGCGCCTTGGTATACCCCGTCCCTCACTAACTGCCATGAGGCTTTCTTCCCTAAGGGCTAAACAAAAACCAGCCCTTTTGAAAGACTCCACCATTGATAGCAACCAACTGCCTGACACTGCCCCTCTGTTTTATGGTTTCAACAGCACAACTGAGCAGCATTTCTTTCTGATAAGAGACTACCATTGGTAGATAGTAGTCTCAAAGATTGGTAGTCTCTTATCTTATGTTTGCTGAGGATTTGCATATCCTCTGCTTCGCCTTTTGACGGAGAGGGCTGAAAACTCCACACCCAGGTGAAGCTAATCCTGCTATTATTTGTACATGGGACGCATGATATTCATGACTTCTCCTGCAGCTCATTGAATAAGTATATTTAGCCACCCTGCTCAGCATAAATTCCTGTTCCCTTTGCCCCTCCTTTGAAGTGCCTGTTTCCAGCTTCTGGCTAGAAGCTGTGCTTCCCAGCCTGTCATAATGTCCATCCTGCAGCCTGCAATCCTTTATGAAAAATAAAGCTCTCCTTTCAAAGTTTATGAACTTATAATTCTTCAGTCAATACAATGATATCTCCATTTAAAAAAAAATAAGGACAACGACTCTTATTGGCTTTGAATTCCTACAATGGCATCACTTGGAAGCTCGTCAGAATTGTAGACTCTCAGACTCTAACCCACAGTCAGAAACTGCAGTTTAACCATATTCCCAGGGGATTTTTTAAATGCACATTAAAGTTTGAGAGGCAGTGGGCTAGGGAAATGATTCTCAAACTGTAGCAGGAATCAGAATCACCTGGAGGCCTTGCTGAATTACAAGGGCTTGGTCCACTCCCCTAGACTCTGATTCAGCTGGTCTCAGGTAGGGCCTGAGTGATCGTCATGCTGCTAGTCTGAGGACCACAATTTGAGTAGAATTGGTATGGAGTGTATAAAAGTATGTTAGTGTTTTATAAGTTAAGAGACCCTGGGTAACTTTTCCTGATTATCTTATTATGACTTGAGGCAGATCTGTCATAACATTTGTAGAGCAAGAATATCAAAGGAGACCCACACACCATTTGTATAAACATTTAAAAGTTATGAACCAGGCTGCAAAAAAATAGAGGGTTTAAATTTTTGTTGTTGTTGTTGTTTGTTTTTTTAAGGCAGGGTCTCACTGTTGCACAGGCTGGAGTGCAGTGGCTCAATCTCGGCTCACTGCAGCCTCGACCTCCTGAGCTCAAGCAATCCTCCCATCTCAGCCTCCCGAATAGCTGGGACCACAGGTGTGTGCCACCATGCCCAGCTAGTTTTTGTATTTTTTGTAGAGAAGGGATTTGCCCTGTTGCCCAGGCTGGTCTTGAATTCCTGGCTCAAGCAATCTGCCCACCTCAGCCTCCCAAAGTGCTGGGATTACAGGCATGAGCCACTGCACTCAGCCTTAAAATGTCTTATTCTCTATCTTGGCAAATACACCTCCAGGATGATGTGAAACATCATGCTTAAATGTGGAATTCTCAGGAATCTTCAGAATTTCATATACCTCGTTGTTCATGATCTGCCCCCTTTCTCCTCCTACTCCCACGACCCTATCCAGGGAAAAGACTCAGGAAGTGGGCTCAGAGCCTTTTGGGCAAGGAATTCCAGTGTCTTAGGCACCCAGAGGAATGGGCCCGGAAGGGGAAGCCTCTTGTGTGGCATGTCACTTGGCTTCATAGGCTCCTTGCATATAGGGAGGAGTGAAGCCAGAGAAGAGCCAGATGGGGCCCATTAAAGTGCAGGACACAGAGCAAGTCTCACCACAGTCATGTCTAAGAACAAGCAGATTGGAAGTCTTGGGGAAGTCTGTGATTTTCTGATCATATTCTGGAAGTCATGAGACTATTTAGTGCCCCCTAACAAGTTTATAAGATAAAATGCAACCATTGACCTACTAAGTTCTATGACTCTTCATCTAGTTCCTAGACCAGAGGCACCAGCTTCTTAAGGGCTGGATGTTTACGTTCCCTCAAAATTCATATGCTGGGGACTTTGGGAAGCAACTAGAGTTAGATAAGGTCATGAGAGTGGCCCCTGATGGGATTAGTGCCCTTAATAAAAGAGATAACAGACAGCTTGTGTTCACATACACTCTGTCCCTTTCTCTTTCTCATGTGAGGACAGAGTGGCTGTCTGGAAGCAAGAAAGACAGCCCACACCAGCAAAGATCAAGGTGCTGGATCTTGGACTTCCCATTTTCAAAAACTGTAGGAAAATGACTTTCTGTTGTTTAAGCCACCAAACTATGGTATTTTGTTATGGCTGCCCAAGTCAACTAACACAAACATTAGCTGGGGACTTGCTAGAAAGGCAAATTCCCTGGCCCACACTAGACCTACGGAATAAGAAACTCTGGGATAGGGCCCCAGTAATGTAATTCTGATACATGTTTCCATTGTTCAAAGAACAATTTTTTATTCTTCTATGTTCCCCCATCAGGAACAACTTGGAGAATATTTTTCATAAGAATTCAGCTTTGGACTCCTTATAGCTGAAAATACTACCTGCTCCATTATCAGCAGGATCTCTCCATTTCCCATCAAGTTCATGAATACAAAACGAGACTGCTGATATAATGTGTGTTAAATTGTTGTACCTGATTAAAAATACCAAAAAAATCGATCAATGTGCTCTATCTGTAAGAATTTTCAGATGCATCCTTTTGTTTGAAATAAAATGTCTTTTCATATTTTTATCTCTTTTAAAATTACAGTGATAAGACCTTAGAAAAGGGTTGCTAAAAAGCACATTTTAGAAAGACACATTTCTTTGATTTAAATTCAAATTTATATTCATGTAGGCATAAATATCACAAGGGGATATGACAACCATTTATTGCTTCAACCTCTTTCCTCAGCTTCTTGTGAAAATCATGTCTCCATAGTAATATTTAAATATAAAGAGATGAGAAGGAGATTTAATATAAAAATAATAATTAGCACTTGGATTTAAGCAATCATAGCATGCTGAAACCTCATATGTGCCCCATGAGAAGAGCTAGAAAAGAAAGTCATATGTCTTAATCTACTTGTGAGTGCCTCTTTATATACCTCATGTTACATTCAACCATCACAGCATATTGAGGTTAGTAGCATTATCCCATTTTGCAAATGAAAAAAAGGTAGACTCAGGCAGCATAGGTATCTTTCTGAGAGCAATTTGGTTAGCAAATAGTGGCTATGGGATCTGAACCAAGAGTGTCTAGCTCCAAAGAAATTCTCTATTTTCCCAGAACATCACAATGCCCTCTTAAACTTGAGAAAAAATGCATTATGATCTTACAGCCTGACCTTCTCCGGGGAAACTTTGCAATATTGCAGTTACATAGTTCAGACCCTATTAATTTTTGCTACACTTGCTATAAGAACTTTCTAAAGAATATCCCACTCTCTAGTCCAAGTTTGTCTATGTACCACTGCTAGAATTAGTTCTCCGAAAAGTAAGATTAATCATGTTCTCCCTCCAGTAAAATCCTCACCTCGGCCTTCAAGATTTAGCTCAAACTCTTTAGTGTGACACAGAAGGTCTTTCCCAGTTTATCGTCTGCCTACATGGTAAATCCTACCACCTCTCATGACTCCACTCCTACTGGCAGCCTGTGCTCTACCCTTAATGAGCCACTTCTATTCCTGTTTGGATCATGCATCTTGCCTTTCCACCATCTGTCCCAAGGTTTCGCGGACCCCTGAAATGCTCCGAGTGCCTTTCTTGACTCTTTTCACTTAACTACTTCCTAGCTGTCCTTCCAGGCCAACTTGTAGGATCACTTGTGCTCACTTGTGCTGCATGGTAACCTTCAGAGTCTGATTTGAGTCTGTCTCTTGGTGTCTTCTGATTCCTTCTATCAGGGCACTTAGGGCATGTTGGAACTGTTTATTTTTACAAATGCTTTGCCCCAGCCCATGCCAGCCCAACATCAATAACTAAATGGGCTGTGGTTTTCTGGCACTGGCCCACTCAGGCAGGACTACTTGGATCTTGAAATCCCCCTCCCACGTTTGTAGAAATCCTCATGAATAAGTGTCTTCGCCTGCACCAGCTACTGAAATCTTGCCTGGAGACTATAGTTATTCATCACTTAACAATGGGAATACATTCTAGGAAATTAGTCATTAGATGGTCATCATTGTGTAGTCATCATAGAGTGTACTTACACAAACCTAGACAGCAAACACCACCACACCCCTGGGCTATATGGTATAACCTATTGCTCCTAGGCTATGAACCTGTACGGCGTGTTACTGTACTGAATATTGTAGACGAATGTAACACAGTGGTAAGTATTTGTGCATCTAAACATATCTAAACATTGAAAAGATATGGTAGGAAGACAGTGTTATAATCTTATGGGACCACTATTATATATGCAGTCAGTTGTTGACTGAAACATTGTTACGCAGCGCATGACTGCATCTGGTTGACCTTGTTGAGCTACTTTTAGTAGTACTTGAGTAGTAGTTAGCTACTACTACTACCTGCCACTGCTGCTGAGCCTGCTAGCACCCTTTACCCTCCGTGCCCTTCCTCAAGTGTGACTCAATCCACACTGGACCAAACATCCTGCTCCATCTACCTGAGATTTTTGCATAGAAACAGTTCCTTCTGTTCTATTTTATTTTTCCCTTATAGCTACCACTCTCTGCAAAGTTTCAGGTATCCAGAAGGTAATGAGACAGGGGCACGATTCTGTTCTCAAAGTAATCCTTCCACTGTGATGACTGAGGCCATAAATTTGGGCATAGCTTGCCCTGACTCTGTCTTGTAGTAGAAGTTCTTCTCAGGCAGGCTCCTCATTTCCACATGCAAATAGACCCTATGTGGTCCTATACCACCAATATTCCCTTGCCCGGAAAGTTTCAAGTCCCAGAAATAAATTCAGTTTAGGCTCAAACTGGTACCCCCACTACTCTCTCACCCACAATCCTAGGCACAGGTGAAAAACAATCCAATAGGACATAGATGTTATTTCTCTAAAAATTGAAGGTGCTACCATCATTGAATCTTTCACAGACTGAAAAAAAAATGCTCATCTTCCAGATCCTCCTTTTTGGTAAGAGAGAATATTCAAGGAGCTCTTGTTGTTCAAGACTCTACATAGATGTGGGCCCTGGACTGGGTTTTTGTCAGTTTTCACCATCAATTTTCTCGCTTCTGCCAGCCATGGCAACCTAATCTGCAAAAGGACAGGGATAACAAACGGGCTGATGAAACTCTGAAGCTGAACATAGTGAGGCACTATGGTGGTCACATAGTGGTTAAATCTCTCTGGGAAAATGTTGTACACATACAGCTTAAAATCCCCCTGATCCTGACAGTTCACTTAGACTGCTTATTTTTTGGCAGACCTGATCTGGTCTCCTAGAAAAGACACATAAGAATTTGGCCAATGCTTTCCAAATTAGTCTGCTTTTTAAAGAAGAGGGTGCATATCATTAAAGTCCTTTCTTTCCTTTCAGAAGTGTCACTTTGCTAGATCCAGAGCATTCTAACCTGATGAATGTCTATCTTGGGGAATCATAAAGCAGAAAGTTCTACTCTGTAGCCTAAAAACAGTTTATCTAGCTAGTCAATTGGTGGTAGTCCACCTGTCTAGTAACCACTGGCTAAAAGTGAGGCTGAAGAACTCTGTGGCAGGACTCAGTAAGGAGAAAGCCTATTTTCCCCAGGAATGGGAGGCCAACGTCTGGCTCTTGGAAAAACAAGCACATCTCTGGTGCTAGGAGTGTAGCTGTTGCCATGGCACCCAGCCAGACAAAGCTTTAGATGCTGCGGAAGCTCCACAGAGACCAGGTCCTCAGAGCTGACAGCAATAGTAAAATGCAGTCACTGATTATATATTAAAACAACAAGAAAACCCCCTCTGACATGCTGCAGATGGCTCTTGATAAGAGCAGAGCTGCTGTGGATAAATTTCATTTTTATCATGTAAAACTTCACAATGTTGGGTCATGTCTGGGGCAACCAAACCCAATTTATGGAACACTGAGAGTATATACCTTCTTTGCTTGTCCCTACAGCATAAATTGTAATTCTGCTTTTTTTTTTTTTTTAACCTTTGGCACATTAGGTTACTACCATTTATTTTCATGGTATGATCTTTCTATTTGTCCAACTCCCTTCTTTAACAGATGATAATATCCATGTTCCATGATGTATATTATCTTGTCCAAGTTCAAGTGGCCAGTAAAGAAGCCAGGATTTGGCCAGGGGCGGTGGCTCACGCCTGTAATCCCAGCACTTTGGGCAGATCACGAGGTCAAGAGTTCGAGACCAGCCTGGCCAACATGATGAAACCCCGTCTCTACTAAGAATACAAAAATTAGCCGGGCATGGTGGCACATGACTATAATCCCAGCTACTCGGGAAGCTGAGGCAGGAGAATCACTTGAACCCAGGAGGCAGAGGTTGCAGTGAGCCGAGATCACACCACTGTACTGTAGCCTGGGCAACAAAGCAAGACTCCAACTTGGGGAAAAAAAAAAGAGCCAGAATTTGAACCCAGGTCTTTCTGACTGCAAATAAAACCCATGCTTTTCTCCAGTAGTCCGTATTGCTTCCTTGGGCTAGCAGAAACTATATTATGTCCTGACTCAGTTAGGAAGGATTTTGGCTGCAGATAGCAAAGACAACAATAAAAACTAAGAGTTTATAAACTACAAAGAAATTAAACCTGGATATAGGTTATCACAAAACTGGTTCAAAAATAACAAAGGGTCAGGACCCGGGTCAGTGTCTCTGCAACTGTCATGACCTTCCTCATAGGATCACAACATGGTTATTACAGATGCAGGCATCAGTTCTACATGAGCATGTCCAAAGCCTGGATTCATGTAAAGCTGCATGGTAAGAAGAGAAAGGAAAAAGAGCTATCATGATGATATGCTCTCTCCTTTTATCCAGGAGCAAAGTCCTTTCCAGAATCCTCCCAGTTGACTTTCTCTTAAGTCTCACTGGACAGAACAAGTTTCCATAGAAAACTTGATATTGTTTGGCTGTGTCCCTATCCAAATCTCACCTTGAATTGTAATAATTCCCATGTGTCAAGGGTGGGACCAGGTGGAGATAATTAAATCATGGTTAGAGTTTCCCCCTCACTGTTCTTGTGGTAGTGAATAAGTCTCAAAAGTTCTGACAGTTTTATAAATAAATGTTCCCCTGCACAAGCTCTTTTGCCTGCTACCATGGAAGACATGACTTTGTTCATTTGCCTTCAGCTATGATTGTGAGGCCTCTCCAGCCATGTGGAACTATGAGTCAATTAAACCTCTTTCCTTTATAAATTACTCAGTCTCAGGTATGTCTTTATTAGCAAAGTGAGAACAGACTAATATACAACTCTAGCTGCAAGGGAGGCTAAGAAAGAGCATTTGGCCTTTCTCAGCTGCTATAATTGAAGGTAGTTAAGAAGGACGTGAATTGGGAATGACCATTATGTAGCCAAATAAAAGTGTTTGCCACACATCCTCACAGTCTCCAGGGAACCATTGCTATATGGCAAGTTTTTGGTTTAGTGCTCATAATATTTCCCAGCATTACTCTAAGAGCCTCCTAACTAATGTTCCCTGTCCATAGTCTACCCTTTAGTGGAAAGATTTGGCTAAAATCCAACTTGTCTTATTAATACCCTGAAGCGGGTTCTGTCACAGAACCCAACTAACCACCGAGGCATTTAATACACAAGCACTTTGAGAACAGTTGTTTAAATTTTCTATTCTGTGCACAAATGGAAAATATTTCCAATAAAAACATAGCAGAAGAACCCTTTGTCTTTCTTTCCCTCCCTCCCCCATCCCCAACCATTCTTGCCAAGTCATACAAACTCTCCATATAATCTAAGTCCCAGATGAACCTAAAATGCTGTATTTTGTCTGGAGGAAGAAATGAACGCACACACTCGATGCTAAAATAAAGAGTAAGATTTTAAATTCCTTACAGACTTACAAATTGACTACATGGAAACAGAGGTTTTTTTCCTTCCTTTCTCTTTAATCATTTCAGTCTGGTTGCTGGTTTTCAAATTTATTGACTTGGAAAATTAAGACTTTCCTATGCGATATTTCATGCTTCTCACTTCATAAAGTCACTGCCCATTTGATTTAAAGACCCAGACTCATACCACTTCATTCTAAAAGGTATGGGACATTTGAATTTATTTTTTATCCACAAACAATTAGCATTTCAAACTCCAGGAGGAGCCACTCACATTGTTTTGTGTAAGTGGAGCCCCCTAGACCCACCCTGGAACTGTGCAGTAGAAGTCCTGACAATAGCTGCTCTGAGAAACAGCAAATATATACCTATTAGTTTGAGCACTAGTCCTCACAATATCTGTGCTCACAGTAATGAGAGAGTCTCTTCTGCTGTTCCTGGAGCACATATGTGAAGGTCATGCATAGAAATGTTTGTCCTGGGAGTCCAGGCTGAGTGCACCCTGAACAGAGCACTCTCTCTTTCAGCCTTTGTAAAGTGATGCCTAGCTCTTATTTTTAAATGACAAAGGGAAGGCAATCCCAGTGTTTGAAGCTCTTCTCCCATCCTAGAGAAGAAACAGGACAGAATAAGGGAATAAGGACTTGGTGAGTGACAGAGGCCAGTGTCAAGAAAAAGACTGAGCAGAACTGGGTGGTAAAGAGCTGCTGCTGGGTCTCTAAGAGAAAAATACAGATCAGGTTATTTTTCAGACAGAAAATGCGTCAATTTGGGGGAGACTGAGTGGAGTGTATTGGAACAGAGAATCGAAACTCCAGCAGTAGGATTAATCCATGGGGAACTCGATTTAGCAGAAGAGAGCAGACACAGAATTTTGATCATGCTATTCATTCATTCACCAAAAATACCTTATGTATCTACTGTGTCAGGCATTGTGCCTGAGGGATTCATCAGTGGAGGCAGACGTGGTCCTTCCCCCCAGGAAGCTTACAGTCCTATGAGCAAGGCTAACATTAAATTATCACACAAATAAGTGTGTGATCTGAAGTATGATAAGCATTATAAAAGAAAAATACATGGCACAAGAAAATGAGAAACAAAGGAGGCATAACCAGACCAAGGATTCAGGCAGCGTCCCCAGGAAAATGATCTTTAAGCCCTTGAAGGATAAGTAGGGTCCTGGGAAGTGAAGAAGTAGAGAAGCATTCTAGGCGAGGGGACAGCACATTGGGAGGCCCTGAGTGTGGAAGAACTTGGCACATTTGAGGCCAGAAAGGAGTCCATGTGAGTGAAGAATGTCACCAGAGAGCTCAGACTGACAACCTGAAATAATCAAAAGGCTCAGAATCCAATTTTAAAGAGCTTATTAAGGCAAAAAGCTGAGAATGACCATCCAGGAGACACAGACCCCAGAGAAATGGGTCATAGCTTCAAAGTTAAAAGTTAAGATCTTGCTAATATAGGCAGAAAACAAAGAAGTTTAGTAGGATCATAACATTTCTATACATGGTTGGTTTATGAGTTACAACAATTCAGTTAGTTTGTTTTCTTGTCCATACAGCTTGTTTTCTTTGCAGCTGGTTTTTATTTCCTTTCCAGTTTAAAAGAGTGTGTTTAACATTTTATCTTAAGACCATGTGATAGCCATGACGTCTTTGTGTGAGAAAGGTAAGAGGGAAATTCATCTGTAATGCAAATCAACAGTAAAGAGGAAAGGGGTCTTCCCTGGAACGCCTCAGTTATTTACAACATTCCTCAAAACAAGGTAAATAAGGAAGAAGGCATATCTGTAATGACAGAAGCAAAGGGTATAGCTGCCTGCTTAACTCTGCTTAACTCTTTGACTCTGACTTGGGTACTATAATTATATTCCTTTAAGGCTCAAACTACTGTAATGTTCTTTAAACAGGAAATCAATAAAAGTAGGCAAAGAACATGAACAGACACTTCTCAAAAGAAGATACACAAGTGGCCCACAAACATATGAAAAAAATGTCCAACACGACTAATCATTAGAGAAGTGCAAATCAAAACCACAATGAGAGATCATCTTCCATCTGTCAGAATGGCTTTTTTAAAAAAAGTCAAAAAATAACAGATGCTGGTGAGGTTGTGGAGAGAAGGGGACACTTATATACTGTTGGTGGGATATAAATTAGTCTAGCCACTGTGGAGAGCGTTTGGAGATTTCTCAAAGAACTGTGAATTGAATTACTATTCAACCCAACAATTCCATTACTGGGTATTTCCCAGCGGAAAATAAATCATTCCACTAAGAGGACACATGCAACTTTATGTTTATCACAGCACTATTCACAATAGCAAAAACATGAAATCAACCCAGGAGCCCATCAACAGTGGATTGGACAAAGAAAAATGTGGTATATGTACACAATGGAATACTATTCAACCATAAAAAAGAATTAAATCATGTCCTTTGCAGCAACATGGGTGGAGTTGGAGGCCATTACTTTAAGCAAACTAACACAGAAACAGAAAACCAAATACCACATATTCTCACTTATGAGTGAGAGCTAAACATTGGATATACATGGACATAAAAATGAGAACAATGGACACTGGGGATTACTAGCAGGGGAGACAAAGAGGGAAGCAAGAGCTGAAAAACTACCTATTGAATACTATCTCACTACTTGGATGATGGGTTAAGTCATACCCCAAACCTCAGCATCACACAATAACAAACCTGCACATGTACCCCTAGATTCTAAGAAAGTTGAAAAAGAAAAAAGAAGAAATAGAAAAGTATTTTGCAGTTTCAACAGCTTAGATGTTGACTTACTTATTTTCATGGCCATAATGTACAGGGATTTCTACAGAGAGCCCCCCTTTCAGGTCCTGAACTTCAGTTCTGAGTCACATCTATTGCAAAAGTGTCACACTGTTCGGCTCAACAACTACAGTGCAAGCGCAGGAAGTCACTTTCCTTTGAGGTCACTGGTCCCCGCCCTGAACCCTTAGCAGCTTATAAATTTATTCGCAAAAGTAATTCAGAGGTATTAGTGGAGGAAGCACCAGGTAACAGTAGACCAATGGCTTTCAAATTGTTGACATTTGGGGCACTGTGTCAGATTACTGGGGTCTCTCTTAACTCACACATTGGCAGCTGCCAAGCCCACCAAGTAGGGGGGCTGGAGGAAAGGGCTGCCAGGCTTATGTCACACCAAAACAGCAGCTGCTCCACAAAGAGCTCTCTTTCCTGGTTGCAGACTAGTAACAGCCCAAGGCAGTCTTGCCTGTGGCTTTACAATCTCTTTGACTTTGTTTCCTAATATTTGGGAATGGGAACAATTTCCACAATGTGAGGTCTCAGAATTATAAATGTTCCAGTTACCTGTTACCTGTTTCATTGCAAGCTCTCCTCGGCTCACAAGACAGGAGATAAGAACTGGTACAAGGAAGCTGCCATCCAGGGCAGGATAAGAGGGGTGACTAAGCTAGTCACCCTGCAGAAGACAGCAGCCTTCTGCAGTCTCTCATTTGCATTGCAAACCCAGACCCTGCAGCACGAGCAGCCAATTGGGAATAAAGGTCCCCAGGGCTAGAGGTTGTCATACTCCATCAAGCAAATAGGTGCAAAAGTTTGTTCATTCCTTGCATTGTAAAATCCAGGAATAGGCTTGGAATTCAAGGGGCCAGACAAAATTTTCTCTGAACTAACTTCTACTAAAATGCTAATGTGAAACTAAATGGAATTCTTCAGATATGTGAGGCTGCTCCAGGACTCTCCAGAAGAGCCTTGGGCAAAATAGACAGTGGATGGCACAACTCTAGCCTTACCTTAAAAGACATTAAACAAAAACTAAAATCAAAAAGGACTCAGTAATGACAGCCTAAATATACAGATGGACAATGGACAGACCACATATAAAATAGAATTCTGACCCACAACCTGCAGCCAACAGCCCAGGAAACCAGCCCATTATCTACATTAACCAGCCTAGAAAACCAGCCTGCTATCAATAACTCAAACTTATGTGAAGTCAGATAACTATCTCTGGTAAAATTCAGGGAACTGAACAATAATCCCTATAGTAATTAGCCCCAAATGGCCAGGACTTGATTAATAATGACAACTTTCCTAGTTTTTGTTCCTGCTTCCAACTTAGAACCAACCAGAGAAAGCCAGATATGCACCCCTAACCAATCACGCAGGATACCTGCCTACATTTTCCCCCTGCCAACAGCCTCAATCAGGGAATAACTAAAGCTCCCCTGCTTTCTGTTACCAGAAAAGGGTCCTGATCCAGACCCCAATAGAGGGTTCTTGGATCTCACACAAGAAAGAATTCAGTGCGAGTCCATAAAGTAAAGTGAAAGCAAGTTTATTAAGAAAGTAAAGGAATAAAGAATGGCTACTCCATAGGCAGAGCAGCTCCCAGGGCTGCTGGTTGCCCATTTTTATGGTTATTTCTTGATTATATGTTAAACGGGTGGATTATTCATGTCTCCCCTTTTTAGACAATATAGGGTAACTTCCTGACATTGCCATGGCATTTGTAAACTGTCATGGCACTGGTGGGAGTGTAGCAGTGAGGATGATCAGAGGTCACTCCATTGCCATCTTGGTTTTTGTGGGTTTTAACTGGCTTCTTTATTGCAATCTGTTTTATCAGCAAAGTCCTTATGACCTGTATCTTGTGCTGACCTCCTATCTCATCCCATGACTTAGAATGCCTAACTGCCTGCGAATGCAGACTAGCAGGTCTTAGCCTTATTTTACCTAGCCCCTATTCAAGGTAAAGCTGCTCTGGTTCAAATGCCTATGACATT
The DNA here is from genome assembly GCF_000001405.40 of Homo sapiens. Lineage (NCBI taxonomy): Eukaryota > Metazoa > Chordata > Mammalia > Primates > Hominidae > Homo > Homo sapiens. The sequence goes on from NC_000003.12 coordinate 155,425,575, forward strand.
TCCACTGTAAAACTTTCCCACTCTGCTGCCTGCTTTTGAGTCTCTGCCAAGACATAAGGGATGGCAGCTGACTCCCTTGATATAACAAGCTGGATAATAGCCTTTGCTTGTTCTCATTTGACTGGTCTTTGTTTATTTCCAAAACACGGTTCCATCACTTGTTGAGCACCTGATCTATCTCTAATCTCTGGACCTCAGCTTCTTCTTCTATAGGGGTTAATACTGCTAACCTCTGCCTCTCCCATAGTATTGTGAGGAAGAAACAAGTGCTTTGTAAACTAAAGCACTGAAGCAATATAAGTTATTACTTTGGATGTTGATAAGGCTCAGGATACATCATCCCAAAAGATGACCATTGGATACCAGGATATACCACCCCAAAATATGCATCTCTGGCATAATGTTTATTTTGAGAAACAGAAGACACAGGAAAGGCTCTGAAACAGTAGCCCTTTTGTAAGAGAAATTTACAACCACAAAGGAAATCTCCATTTTTAAGGATATCTTCTGTGTACTTTCCAGAAAGAGAAGAATGACTGAATCACTAGAGACTTTTATTAATGAAGAAAACATCTTAAATCTGACATTTTTCTGCCTTTAGAAAGCATCTTAAGGACTTAAATCTGCATAACAAACCTTTCCCTGTTTTCCATGCTTTTTCTGGTCATTTCATTTCAACGAGGCCTTTATTCACACCTTTCTTTCTTTTTCCAGAGAATGACGGGATTTAAGCCTGAAGTATAAATTCTTGGAGATCTAGAGATTCACTCATTCATCTGTGTTATCTCTTACATATATAGGGTGCATACATATTCTTAAACATTTTTGTTTTGCTTTGTTTTTGTTAATCTGTCTTTTGTTACAGGGATCTGTCCCAACTAAGAACTATGGGGAGTAGAGATAAAATTATTTTTTCTCCCCTAAAACATCAGTGTTGCTCTTCCACTACTCTCTTCTGCCCTCTTCCTTCCTCCTCTCTTTTAGAATATTCTGGTCTTGGTTCAGCACTTCAATTTGAATATACAAAACATGTGGGAAGGAACATAAATGTATAAATTTAAAATTTCAGAAATAGAGACATGTAGTGATGCAGGATTTTCGCTCCTTAGCTCAGCTACATCTGGGTTCTTGTCTCATGACAAGGAAGAATTAGGCATGTGGACACCAGAGAGTGAGTGGAGTAGAATTTATTAAGCATAAGGAAAGCTCTCAGCAAAAAGAGGGGTCCTGAAAGCAGGTTGCTGGTTGCCCCCTTCACAGTTAAATACCAGGGTTTAAGGCGTGAATTCCTAGTGGCTTCAACCCATCCTTCCAGTGCACATGTGGGCCCTTAGACTGATCCATTCCATATTGATTTATTTCCCTTACTGCACATGTGTTAAGGAATGGAATTTTCAACTGCAGGCATGTTTCAGGCAAGTCTCCTGTGCAAGTTCCCTTATCTGCACAAAACATCTAGTGTAAGCACTTGTGAGGCATGTTGGAGGTTCTCCAGGGACCCGTCCCTTACTGTCTGCCTAAAGCAAGCTGTCTAACTCCTTTCATTAGTACTTTACTGTAATGCCTCTTAGCCCCTCTTCCTATCCTGCCCCCCTCCACCTAAGCTTCTTTTCTATTTGGGACCTTGAGTTTCTCTTTTCCTCTTTCTCTCTCCTTTCATTCCTCGTTGTTGGTAGTTTCTATTCTCTAATGCTAGATTGAAGATTTTAAAATTATAAAAGTCTGCAAAGTTTTCCCCATTTGAGGACAAATCTCAGTCTGGTAGGTCTGAGAGCATCTTAAAAGAAATACAGTTTCATTATTTCCAAGAATAAAAAGGTAACACTGGTTGAAAGGGGAATAAGAAAGTCTTGTGTGCTTTAATGGATCAGAGTTGTAATTAGCTTATTCATTATTTGGATGAAAAGTCAGGCTCACAAATAGATGAGCATTTCCCTTGTTTGTGCTCTTAATTCCATCAGCAAACCTTATTCTCTTAGATGTGATGCATAATATCCCATTACAGAGTAATATTCATCAAAAAAATTAATCCCAGGGTCTCCTATAATAGCAAATATTAATCCCTGGGACTTGCCCAGGGCTTTGTTGACATGATTGCAATAAATCTTCCAAGCATAATAACTGTTAGAAGAAGGCAAATATGAAAGAAAAATTTCTAAAAGTAGCCTAAGATGGCTGCAGTTTGGACATATAGACAACAGAAATAAGGCCTATGCATTAAAGCTGAGCTCTCGCCTGCAAGGCTGGAGTCTGTCAAATATTTCACTGGCATGTACTGATTACTACTTTGCCTATCAGATGAAGCACAAAGTAAGGATAGAGCTAATCATTCGTCTCCAAATCCTAAGATGCCTACATACTCATTAACATTTTACTTTATATAAGCTTGCTTTATCTTATGTACGACATCACTGAGCACCAATTAGAACTATAAACATGTCACCTTTGCTTCAGTGCCTCCTTCTCCTATTTCTATGTATCAGAACATATAAATACTGTGCCTCATGTAGGCAACCCTGGGACACATTCTTGGTTTGTGCTGAATCTGTGTTCCTGGGCTATTAGTTTTCAATCTTGGCTCAAACTAAAATTAACTTTAAATTTTTGTAGGTGTATAATGCCTGTTATTTAACCATTCAGCCAACATAACTTTGTATAGTAGATGTCATTGGGGCAGCCAGGTCTGCCTTGCTTTTGTGGGTCTAGAGTGATGATTCCTGTGCAGGGGTTCTCAACCCTGAGTACACATCAGAATCATCTGGAGGGTTTGCTAAAATACACATTGCTCCTACACTCCGAAACCATCTTTACAAAAATTATGACAGTGAAAGAACTTTGACCTCCGTTTTGCTTCTAACTTCTAAGCTGCCCTTGCTTATTCCTGGGCATAGGACTGTCTGACTACAGGAGGAATTTAGTTTATAACTTAACTTTGAAACAAAGATGATAACAGCCTCTTCCCCAAACAAACCCCCTTTTTGTTTAGGAATCAGACTTCCTCTGTAAAACTAACAAATTAGCCACAAATTTAGAAATTATGGCTCAGGAGTCATTCAGCCGGAAGCCACAAGATTCCTAACCTCCCCAATTGCTCCTATGGATAACATCACTACTATAAATCTTAAGATTGGATTGGTGTTCGAGGTGTTTTTCAGCTTATTGGTGTCACCCAGACAAATAAACTGGCTCATCTGGTCTCATGGCCCCCACCCAGCAACTGACTCAGCACAAGAAGACAAGCTCCAACTCCCTATTTTTATCCCTGACTCAACTGATCATCATTCCTCATTCCCTAGCTTCTTGTCCGCCAAAATATTCTTAAAAAAATTCTAGCCTACGAATTTTCAGGGAAGCTGATTTGAGTAATAACAAAGCTCCAGTCTACCATTTAGTCAGCTCTGCATTTAGTAAACTCTTTCTCTATTGCGATAATGCTGTCTCAGTAAATCAGCTTTTCTGGGCAGCAGGCAAAATGAAGCCATCAGGTCATTACAACTCCCACCTCTCAAATTTTGAGTCAGTAGGGGTGTGGAGCCTGATGATTTGGATTTCTAAAAGGTTCTCAGGTGCTGCTTCTGATCCAGGGACTAGGCAATGAGAACCCCTGCCTTAAAGGATTGGAACTAACTTGAGCCCAGATGAAGCAACCCTCCTCCACTGATACACGCTACCAAGTTATGGGATTTCTTACCTGGACCAAGCTTCTTATCCTTAGAATACAAGAGATAGCCAAAACTTAGTTCACACTAAGGTACAAATAACTGGCATTAGCTCTTACCAGAGCCTACCTTGAGAGGTTTGAGGGGAGAATGCTATGAGTGAGTCAGCTGAAATGGCAGGGCCAAAGGGGCAGAGAAAGGGGGTGGTGCACACTGAAACTGAGTCTACACCATTTTGTCTAGCCCCAGCTAGCTTTCTCTACAAAAGAGGGTCTCCCCACAAGGAAATGCTGGTTTCTATCATCCTTAGATGGTAAGTGAAGTGGCTTACTCCTAAAATCTTAGCACTTCGGGGGGCTGAGGCAGATGGATCACTTTGAGCTCATGAGTTCAAGACCAGCCTGGCCAACATGGTGAAACTCCATCTTTACAAAAAAGACAAAAATTAGCCAGGCATTGGTGGTACATGCCTGTAGTCTCAGCTATTCAGGATGCTGAGGCTGGAGAATTGCTTGAGCCCAGGAAGTGGAGGTTGCAGTGGGCCAAGATTGCATGTCCAGACTGGGTGACAGAGTGAGACCCTGTCTCAAAAAATAAAAAAATGGAAAAAATAAATAAATGGGAAAGACAAGGTGTATTAAATTATCCTGGATCCTTTGTGCCCCAACCCGCTAGTCACCTATAATCATTTCTTGTACTGGAGAGTTCTTACAGTTTGACTTTAGTTTCTTACATTGTAACATTTAAATCAGAAAGGATGGAAGTCATATTTAAAAACTGGTATGTTTTAATTTAGATGTCAAATGAACTGGACAGATTGGTATCAGTCAACTTGACCTGGAGCTCCAATAAGGCTTTGGTTCCTAAATATCACTAAATTGCATGCACTGAGCATGATAAAGCATTCATTAGGTTCCCACTTCTCTGAGCAGGTCTGAGGGATACCTAAGAAAGAAATAAGCTCTTGCTCATACGATAACTTGGGATAGAAGGAACTGTGAGGAGGATGATTCAACAGGCTTGGAGAAAAGTAAGGAACTCAGAAGAGAGCTGAGTCCAGGAAAGACACCCACCTGTGGTGGTGCATTTCTTGCCTGTTCAGATGATGAGTTGAAGTCCCTCTTGATTTCCTTGACTTCCTTAGTAAGACAACCAAGCAATCAAAATATGTGGGGTCAGAGACAAGTCTGGCCCCAAGTGGCACTATAGGGGCATAGGGTAGCTGGAGAGCAGTGGTTGTATGGGAGATGCAGAAAGTTTCTACCTCAGGACACTTTCTCCAGTTTCAGGGCTTTATAACAACTTTCAACGTAATGTGTGGATATGATAGTTGTCAAGACAATGATGAAAGAGTTTAAAAATGAACGCAAGACTTTCTATTGTAGATTTATTCTATTTCTTCAAGTTCTTTGATTCATTTGTAAGTTGGCTAATAGTGGAATAAAAATAGATGCTATTATATAAGCGTCAATTGTAGGTTGATTATCTGGGATGCCCAAGCTAGTGGTGAAAAGAGCACAATTTCTGAGCCAAATAGCAAGAATGTAATTGCCTCTAGAAAGAATTTTGTTGAAAATGTAGGTAAGCAGATCCTAATGAGTCAAATCTAGATTGGTATAGACTTGATTTTCCTGTGGATATATTTAACTGTGGTAATTGTAATTATTACCAATACAGACACACAATAGTTTTTCTATTGTGCTTATGTAAAATAATTTTGCACATAATGAAGTGCAATTACAAGGGCATGGTCATGAAAAATACAGCAATATTTCTATAATAGGAGAAGCTGCATTTTGAAACTATGGTTGGAATGGGTGAACCATTATGGCACAAGGGAGTTTAACCAATCAATCAATTTGACAAAGTTGTATAATAACTTTTAGTAATAATTCATCTGCTTAAAAAAAGTCATAGTGTTATTGAAGGCAATTTTAAAGAATTTGATTTTCAAGGGGCTGGGTGTTTTGCTGTTTCAAGTGTTTTGAGTACTTAAGCTTTCACAAAGGTTGGTTCTTGAAATATTTTATATCGTAGAGGGCATACTTCTTGCTTTGAGGCAAATACTTCTCTGATTATAAATATTATTAGTATTCCTGCTACTACTGAAATAAATCACCCTATAGATGAGACAGCATTTCATGCCGAATAAGCATGTAGAGTCTAGATAGGCTGAGCATTGACACAGCATGATAGAAAGACTATGTTGTGTTAAATTAACACCTCAAAGTACCTTTATAAGGTGGGCCTTTGGATCATGTAGCATATGGTGTATATTCTGAAAATAATGGAAATCAATCCACAAAGCCACCTATTCTTATAGATAAGACATAGTAGAAATGGGAAAAAATACTATAATATATATTGTGATGATTAATTTTACATGTCCACTTGGCTAGGCCACAGTACCCAGATATTTGGTCAAACTTCTGGATGCTGCTATGAAGATATTTTTAAAATGAGATTAACATTTATATCAGTAGACTTTGAATAAAGCAGATTATCCCGCATAATGTTGGTGGACCTCATCCAATCAGTTGAAGGCCTTATGAAAAAGACAGTGGTCTCCAAAGAAAGATGAAATTCTGGAAGCCACTGCCTTTGGACTAGAGCTGCAATATCACCTCTTCTTTGAGGCTCCATCTGTCAGCTTGTAGAGTAAGGGAGGCCAGCAGGTTGGAAACTCAGGCAGGAGTTAATGCTGCAGTTCACAGGCAGAATTTCTTCTTCTACAGGTGCCATAAATGTGTTTAATATAGTTGCTGCCTCAGCATCCATTTTTAGACCTGACATGAATGTTTTGAAACCCAGTTGTGCTCGGTCACCTTTGGCCTGTTAAAAATTTGTTTGTGGTATAGACCGCTTGTTCCTCATCTCACTGACCCAAAACCCAACACATCCTGCTGCTCCTGACCACAATAAACCTAATGGTCAATACTAGAGTTATAAAAATTTAAGTTCCCCACTTCTTGTGTGTTTTCTTTAAACTAGCCAATTCACATACTCTGCCGAAAAGTCTACGAGATAATGCTCATGGACCTCAGTAAAGGCATAATCCCGCAGGTCCTCTCACTGTCTCTTGCTCCGCACTCGCTGGCTGAGCTCCCTGCCACCTCTAGACTTCCCATCAGCTCCCCATTGGCACCCCTAGCCTTTCTTGGTTTTGTAAGTAATGAATCTCTTCTGTTTCATGAATGGTTTCACCACCTCATTGTGTCTCACCTGACTGACACATCCAAACCTAATTTTCTCCCATCCTAGGCTCTCCTGCAGAATGGCTGTCTTGGCTTATGGCTGCTCTCAACAGAGAGACCTCAAAACTAAATTGTAAAGAAACCATAACAATAAAAATTACAACAGAAAACCTCAGTTTTTGCTCTTAAAGGCTTCTAACTGATTGGATAAAGCCCACTCACATTATCAAGGGCAATCCCCTTTACTTAAAGTCAACTTGATTGTAAATGTTAACCAAAAAATATCTTCACAGCAACACCTAGATTAGTGTTTGATGAAATAACCGGGGACTATAGACTAGCCAAGTTGACACACAAAACTAACCATCACACCCTCCAACATAATAGGAAACTAAAGCCTACTAAGGCTTATTGTATATCTGGCAGTAATTGTATTTCTTCTATGTAAATTAGCTAGTCAGCTGAAAATTGTTACCCTTATTGGCAAAACAATAATTAGCGTAGCAGATGGGAAGTATGCTATTGTGTCTAGGACTGTTTCTATGGCAAATGTATGATATGCTCATACAATATATCCTACAAATCCAACTGATGGTGTTGCTCATGTTATTTCTATATAGCCAAAGGATTATCTTGGTTCCTGAATAATATGCTAAACAAAAATTTTCCAAATCTACATAAAATTAGAATAAATCCTTTTGTAATTTCTAAGAATCAGAATAAATATTGATATGAAACTGAGTCTTCGCTCTCACTTGATCAAAGAAAACATGTTAATTAGCACAATTGTTATAGCTTAAAGTACTGGGAGCGACAATTAATACATAGCAATTAATACATAGTATATAAAAATGAAAATGGTGTCTTGTTTGGGCTATACCAGATGGTCTTATGTTAACAATTGTGGTAATAAAATTAATGGCATCTGAAATGAGAAATACTTGCTAAGTGAAGGGAGAAGGTAGTTAAGTACTTAGGTGCCTGCATATACTAGGTTGCTAGCTAATGCAGGTACATTCTTCATCCTGTTCCAGCTCTTCAGACCGTTAAGAAGAAACTCAAAGGATGAAACTTTATTCCAGTAGGTGAAAAGGCACAAGGCCTTTCTGCAATTCTGTAGGCATCACAAAAAGCCAGCCTTAAGGAATTTATGCAAAATTATTTAGGTGAAAATAATCTGCCAAGGAAGCTCTACTTTGAACCAGCATTATCCCCTGCCTTCTGTCAGTGCCATCTCACATTCCAGGTACATCTGTCCTCAAGAATCAGAGTGAGGTTGTGGCTCACTCTGCAGCCAGGAGTGTGCCTCCAAACATTGAGCAACCGGCTCTGTGCCTCCAAACCTACTCAGCTCTTCTACTCACCTCAAACTGCTCCAGCCACTTCCTGAAGGGGCCACTTAGAATCATCTAGGGGGCATTTTCAAGCCAATCCCTCTTTCTGCTTCAAGATCTAGGGGCCAGGTGGGGATTTAAAACACTTGAATTTTTATTAATCTCCCACCTTGAGAACAAACGCTGGGTTCAACTCTACTAACAGAACAAGTTATCTTCATGGGTCTTCGAGAAGATTACAGGTTGGGAACCCAAGGTTATAGCTGGAGATCTTTGGCATACCCACTGGTATATTAACCAGATATCAAGGCCTTTCATGATCTGGTATCTTCCTACATTTCTGACATCCTCTCTCATCACTATTTTCCACTCCTTTTCTCACACTTTACTTAAGTAGGACCAAGGACTCTACTCATGTTCCCAACAATCACATCATGCTTATCCCCTGACACTCACACTTTTAACATGCCATTTCCAATAACCAGAAAGCATTTTCCCTCTTTGACATCTTGGATAGTCCATCCTTGTTCTTCAAGCCCCAGCTTGATGAAAGCTGTGAAGTCTTCCCTGCCCTGTCCTGGCATAAGTAACTACTTCCTTGCCTGTGTTTCTACATCATCACACCATTGTACTGCTAGATTTGCCCACATCTGTCACCCACCTGGTAAACATCCTAATGGCAGAAGCCATATCCCAACCATATTTGTATGCCTTAATCTTTTAATCTCCTATCACAAGACCTGGCATAGAGCAGGTACCCAATAAATGCTTGTTGAGAAAATAATTAAAGATTATAATCCTCAACCGTATGTGTGGTGTTTGTCACAGTGGCCAATTCCATTCCCTTCTGCTTTCCTCCCCTCTCCACCCCACGGGGTCACCTGTAACAGAATTGAAAAGAACAAGGATACAAGTCTTTTCCACTGGAAATCTATCCAGACTCAGATAGCTCCCCTCCTAGATGATTTACAGACCTTCCTTTGAGGGTAAGCCTTGTCTCCCTGAGGCAGGACCAAAATGCACTGCACTTCATTTGCCTTTTTTTCCTCAAGGGTTCCCTTCCACAAGTTATACTTTGAAGTTTTACCCATTTCTGGCACTACCTGCAAGCAAACCAGGAGGGCACTTGGCAACCAACTTGGTGCCCTCTTCATTCCTCACAAGGCTATGGAGCTGTTCTATAAACCAAGCCCTTCCACAGGCTGGCTTGGGAATGCCTTTCTGTTACTTGTGTGAAGATCTCTGTACTTTTCAAAGCTGTTTCACATGTAGCATTTCATTTGACCATCACATCGCAATGCAAAATAAGCAGAGTAGATCCAGTAGTCCCACTTTTCAGATGCTGATGAAGAGATACCAAGAATTCCCAGCCACTAGGTTAGGACCCTAACCGAAAATAGACCTCAGATCCTGAGACACCTAGTCCCTTGCCCCACACACGATACCATATCAATACATTCCAAACGATTTCTAAGATCATCTTATCCAGTACAAGCTAACTCAGCTAACCATTTCCTGTACTAGTCCAAGGAATGCCCCGCTCAGGAAGCAACACTAGCAGCAGAGTTGGTGAGCTAAGCTAGAAATACTAGTTTTAAAAAGTAACAACTGGAAGTCCATTGTTAGATATTGCTGGAATTGGGATGTGAGTATACTGAAAATATTTTTTATTTTTCTTCAGTTAAAAATTTCATGCTCTAGAGCCCTAGGGTTTAAAATTTTTTTCTTTCATTTACCTAATATCTGTCAAATGGCATATTGTTTCAGGAGACCAGCAGAGGTTCTATATTTCAGCTGCCAACAAAGGGCATTCTGAGGCACCAGCTCCCAGCTCAGAACCTCTATTCTGAGATGTTAAAAGGTAGCTGAAGAAGAGAAAGGGTGATCTTTTTTTCCCCAGGAAGCCATAGTACAGTTTATTTTCCTACAGTCTATTCTGCCTCAAACTCTCTCTCGCTCTCTCTTTCAATTTTAGTTCTTAAAGGAAAATCATCTTATCCCATTCAAGATGAAATTAGAGGGATGCTTCTTCAAAGAACACTAATGAATGACTGACATTGTCAGGGAAAAGTTAAATACTCTAATGACCTTTCCCTTGTTTTTGGCAAGAATTCATCTTTAAAGAAAAGAAGTATGGGCTTTGCAAAGCTGAAGTGATTTGTCTTATTTCTCCAAGGTGAAGTGACCCACACCATTTCATCATTCCAGACTAGCCATTATGTGAGGTTTCAAAATGAAATGTGATTGCTGAAAGCTAAAAATCAAACATACCACAATGAAAAGTCATATTCAATTTTTTTATCCTTCTCATTTGCATTTTTCCATCCTTCCTGTTTACATCTTCTTCAGCTTGCCAGAATGAGACTATTTTATAAAACCAAGTGTTTAGATGTGGGCCTGTCTGCCACAATGTCCCTGTATATGGAAAAGGACTGGTAGGAAAATCTCAAATATTTTCCTTATCACCCTCCTACCCCCACCTTACACATCTCAGAACCCTGACTCTGTTCCTTAGGAATGGACAGAGCCTAAATTTTGTTTTCCTAGTAACCATAATCCTTTGTAAAAATCACTTTTAAAACATTGAGAAGGACAAGAGTCAATTTGCCTACTCCAAAGTTCTATAGATTTCCCAACATTCTGCCTAATTTATTGCATTTTACAACTTTCTTACACAATATAGAACTTCATATACACTTTTTTGCTTCTTCCCTTTTATTCCTGGATAACTTCTTTAGACTCAGTTTACATATGATGTAAGACGGTGCTCTCTATTTGTCCTCCGATGGAATGCTCTGCAGAGGCTGAGCATCTGAAGGCCAAGGTTTGAGTCCTAGTTTTTCTTCTCATTAGCTTATAACTTCGGGAAAAAAAAAAGGGAGAACTTAAGCTCACTCAGTCTGAGTGTTCTTATCTATAAAATATGGACAATAATAATACCTTCTTCATTGTGCTTTAAGGTGATTCAATGATATAATTCATGTGAAACCCTTAAGATAATGCCTTGGATTTGATAAATGTCCAATAATGCCAGTTATTAATATAGTTGTTATTATAAACTTACGTTATGTTGTAATTTATGTTTGTATCTGTACCCCCTTACTATACCACATACTCTTTAAGAACAGGGAATATGACTTTCAGGCCTGGAAAATTATGCTTATAAAAATATAAAAATTATGTCAAGCAAAGTATCTTGCACAGAGTGGGCCTTCAAAATATAATAAAGAATGAATGATGAAAGAGATCAGGTTTAGTGGGGTATCCATGACAGAGTTGTGTTACCTAAACCTAACCAGGTCTCAGCACAAAGCTTTAAGACCACCCCAAAAGCTCTGAGAAATTCAAGGCACTCAGAGGCTCAAGAGGTATTTGTACCAACTCTGTGACTCACATCATAAACACAATAAAAACTACATAGTTAAAATTATGGACTGTAAGGTCAGAAACTTGAAACTTATCTCTGCGACTTAATTGTTACTTGACTTTAAATTCCGCAAGCCAGTTTTTTCATCTATAGAATGTTAATAAGTATACTACTACTTCATTGATTTGTTACGGGAATTAAGAAAAATAATTCACCAGTAGTACTTAGCATAATTCTTGGTATATAATAAGTGGTCAATAAATAAAGTTCACTGGCAATGAAAAAAAGTATTTTCCATAATTTTAATATTATCTCTTTTCATTCTTTTTCTCCTCTCCTTTTGAGATTCTACTTAAATATATGTTAGATCTTTTCATTAACTCCCACATATTTTCTTTTCTTTTTAGAGATGAGGTCTTGGTATGTTGCCCAGGCTGGACTGCAGTGGTTATTCACAGATGTGATCTCATTACTAATCAACACAAGAGTTTTGACTTGCTCCATTTCCGACTTGACCAGTTCACACCTCCTTAGTCAACCTGGCAGTCCCCACTCCCGGGAGGTCACCATATTGATCCTGAACTCAGCGCAGATACCTGTTTGGCATAACACAATACAGCCCAGAACCCTGGACTCAAGCGATCCTCCTGCCTCCCAAGTAGTTAGGACTATAGGTACACTTTGCCACACTCAGTGAGACCCATATATTTCTAAAACTTGTCTCTGTATTTTCAATTCTGTTTTCTGTATATGTTTCAGTTTGAAAATATTTTATAGACCTATCTTCAGCCTATTCCATTTTATGAGACTTCTCCCTCTACACTACTGAGTAGATCCTCATTCTATTAAGACCTTAAAGTGAGGGAATTTTTCTAGTGTGTTTTTCAGAAGTTCAATTTTGAGAACACCAAGAAATAAGCTCTGGAAAAATATATCTCATTTAATTTCTCTTACTTTTTATTACATGGATTATTATTCCTATCTGGAATTCAACGTTTTTCTCTTCTTTATTATTTTGGTTTCAATTTTCTCTATGCTATCAAATTTATTTGTGGGCCTGCTTTTAAAACCAAGACTAGATATCTCGATAGATGCAGAAAAGGCCTTTGACAAAATTCAACAACACTTCATGCTAAAAACTCTCAATAAATTAGGTATTGATGGGACATATTTCAAAATAATAAGAGCTATCTATGACAAACCCACAGCCAATATCATACTGAATGGGAAAAAACTGGAAGCATTCCCTTTGAAAACTGGCACAAGACAGGGATGCCCTCTCTCACCACTAATATTCAACATAGTGTTGGAAGTGCTGGCCAGGGCAATTAGGCAGGAGAAGGAAATAAAGGGTATTCAATTAGGAAAAGAGGAAGTCAAATTGTCCCTGTTTGCAGATGACATGATTGTATATCTAGAAAACCCCATTGTCTCAGCCCAAAATCTCCTTCAGCTGATAAGCAACTTCAGCAAAGTCTCAGGATACAAAATCAATGTGCAAAAATCACAAGCATTCTTATACACGAATAACAGACAAACAGAGAGCCAAATCATGAGTGAACTCCCATTCACAATTGCTTCAAAGAGAATAAAATACCTAGGAATCCAACTTACAAGGGATGTGAAGGACCTCTTCAAGGAGAACTACAAACTGCTGCTCAATGAAATAAAAGAGGATACAAACAAATGGAAGAACATTCCATGCTCATGGGTAGGAAGAATCAATATCGTGAAAATGGCCATACTGCCCAAGGTAATTTACAGATTCAATGCCATCCTCATCAAGCTACCAATGCCTTTCTTCACCGAATTGGAAAAAACTACTTTAAAGTTCATATGGAACCAAAAAAGAGCCCACATTGCCAAGTCAATCCTAAGCCAAAAGAACAAAGCTGGAGGCATCACATTACCTGACTTCAAACTATACTACAAGGCTACAGTAACCAAAACAGCATGGTACTGGTACCAAAACAGAGATATAGATCAATGGAACAGAACAGAGCCCTCAGAAATAACGCCGCATATCTAAAACTATCTGATCTTTGACAAACCTGAGAAAAACAAGCAATGGGGAAAGGATTCCCTATTTAATAAATGGTGCTGGGAAAACTGGCTAGCCATATGTAGAAAGCTGAAACTGGATCCCTTCCTTACACCTTATACAAAAATCAATTCAAGATGGATTAAAGACTTAAACGTTAGACCTAAAACCATAAAAACCCTAGAAGAAAACCTAGGCATTACCATTCAGGACATAGGCATGGGCAAGGACTTCATGTCTAAAACACCAAAAGCAGTGGCAACAAAAGCCAAAATTGACAAATGGGATCTAATTAAACTAAAGAGCTTCTGCACAGCAAAAGAAACTACCATCAGAGTGAACAGGCAACCTACAAAATGGGAGAAAAGTTTTGCAACCTACTCATCTGACAAAGGGCTAATATCCAGAATCTACAATGAACTCAAACAAATATACAAGAAAAAAACAAACAACCCCATCAAAAAGTGGGTGAAGGACATGAACAGACACTTCTCAAAAGAAGACATTTATGCAGCCAAAAAACACATGAAAAAATGCTCACCATCACTGGCCATCAGAGAAATGCAAATCAAAACCACAATGAGATACCATCTCACACCAGTTAGAATGGCAATCATTAAAAAGTCAGGAAACAACAGGTGCTGGAGAGGACGTGGAGAGGTAGGAACACTTTTACACTGTTGGTGGGACTGTAAACTAGTTCAACCATTGTGGAAGTCAGTGTGGCGATTCCTCAGGGATCTAGAACTAGAGATACCATTTGACCCAGCCATCCCATTACTGGGTATATACCCAAAGGACTATAAATCTTGCTGCTATAAAGACACATGCACACGTATGTTTATTGCGGCATTATTCACAATAGCAAAGGCTTGGAACCAAGCCAAATGTCCAACAATGATAGACTGGATTAAGAAAATGTGGCACATATACACCATGGAATACTATGCAGCCATAAAAAATGATGAGTTCATGTCCTTTGTAAGGACATGGATGAAATTGGAAATCATCATTCTCAGTAAACTATCGCAAGAACAAAAAACCAAACACCGCATATTTTCTCTCATAGGTGGGAATTGAACAATGAGATCACATGGACACAGGAAGGGGAACATCACACTCTGGGGACTGTTGTGGGGTGGGGGGAGGGGGGAGGGATAGCATTGGGAGATATACCTAATGCTAGATGACGAGTTAGTGGGTGCAGCACACCAGCATGGCACATGTATACATACTTAACTAACCTGCACAATGTGCACATGTACCCTAAAACTTAAAGTATAATAAAAAAAAATAAATTAAAAAAATAATAATAAAATTAAAAAAAAAAAAAGAATATCTAAGGCAAAAAAAAAAAAACAAAACCAAGACTAGATATTCACCACCAGCATCAGGAGCTTCTGTTATAACCAATAGAAAATCTGGATAATATGGGTAAGAAAGCTAAGCATTTTTCAGTATACTTAAGAGCTATAGTAGGAATATTTTGACCCCCCACTCCCAAAAAAAAAAAAAATCACGCCTACGTTTCTTTCTGGGAATGGTGAGAAAGATCCAGTATCATCTAAGAGAAGAAAGAAAGAAACATCGCATGAGAATTAACAGAATTAATTCATCTTCAACTTCAAACATAGTATTAAGTGTGTATTATAAAAAGCTAAAAACCAAGAAACAAAACCTTCTATGCTTTTAAAAATGTAACATTGGAACAGCCAAATATCATTTAAACTCTTCTGGATGAAGAGTTTTAGTGATATGTAAAAATTTATAAACCTGGGACATGAGAAAGTATAAAGCCTGCATCTTTGGGTTATTGATATTCTGAATAGAAATAAGTTCATTCCAGGCAAATAAATATGGGAAGGCCACTACAGAAGTGTTTCATATTCATTTAAGTAATTACTCCTCCTTAAGGAAAATAGCTTACAACTGTAATGAGACAGTGAGGGAACTCATGCAAGTTAAAATGCCTTCAAGTACAACCAATAGCCTGGGGAACCCAGAGAAGGAAGACATGTGCTTAGAAACTATCCAGCCTGGCAACCCTTAGGAAACGGTTCCAGAAATAGGAACGTTTTGGCCCCTTCAACTGTTCTAACAAGGACTGCAGCAACTCATCTGCTGCCATTGCCAACCACAGCACCCAACCTAGAAAAATGTGGCAGTCTCTGAGAAGAAACTTAAAACTAGAGGTAGAGTTGGGAGGGAGTTTGGAAAATGAGCAGAAATAACTACATAGAGAAAAATATGAGTAAATACAGTACAATTCTCTCATCAATGGCTCATCAAGAACCAAAAATAGTCCTCCCCCCATAGTTTTCTATTAATGGACTACAAAGTCCCTTTAATATTAATAGTAATCATTCTTTTCAGATTGTATTTGAGAAGAAAATGAGTAACTTGTTTCAGAATTCCTAGGAAAATTTTCTGACTTTCATCTCTTCAATACTGTCTGCTCCATTTTTTGCTTTCTGCCACTAAACAAAGCAGGTTAAGCATTAACTGAGAAATGAGAAAACTTCCTCAAGCATTCCCAGCATAGTGTCATGAGACCCTTGCAAATCCAAAAGAATGTCAATGTTTCCATCTATGTAAGTGGGCATTTAAAAGGAAGAAAAATTAATGAGAAGGAATTTATTAAGTATGTTCATAAGCACAGACATTTTTGCACAAAATGAACAAGCAAATAAAACTCTGATCGCCTTATCAAACAGAGGCAAGAATGGCTAGACTCAGATTATTTTTCCTGGGATGAAAGATTTCTAAGCAAGTAACACGGTTTTGTTTACTATTGTTGACTATGGGAGATTCTGAAAAGGGCAGTCACTGAAACAAGCTAGGTAGCACAATATCAACTCCATTATCTGTAGCCATTTGAATTTTTATTTTCACTAAAAGTTATTTCATTCTCTGCCCGCCCCACTCCTATCACAACAGACCTGGTACTAATACCTCCATAGCTCCTTTTTTGCTCTTTGATGCAATGAAATTAGTTGTTCCAGAATATTTTGCATGACTAACAAGAAAGAAATTGAATAAAATATTGTAATTCACAAATCTCACTTGGCAAAATGACGTGCATATGAATCAACATTTTTGGTGAAGGCCCCCAAATCCTTTTAGTCACTCACTGAATTCACTCAGTGTTCCACGTATGAATACATTCAGAGTAATAATGTATTTCCAAAGTGCCTCATTTAACAACGATAGTTAAAAAATAATAATTCAGCAAGTAATTGCAATGTTAAGCCTCATTCAAATCTTCAAGGCAGAGACGTAGGGATCAGTCATAATCTCTTTCTCCTAAAGCTATCAAGGTGAAAGCCTAAAGGAGAAAAGCACCCAGCCTCTAGACATATAAATGATGTCATTCTGCTCAAAAAAGGACTGTTAACACACATGCACATTCATAAACATTTTAGAAGACAGTGCAATAAAATGAACAGACCCTGAACAGTGCTTTGGAGTAGGGAATATCTAAACTTGAATCCAAGCTCTCACCATGGTCAAATCACTCTTAACCTTGGTTCAATCATTTAACTGGCCGGGCGCGGGGGCTCAAGCCTGTAATCCCAGCATTTTGGGAGGCCAAGGCAGGCAGATCACGAAGTCAGGAGATCGAGACCATCCTGGCTAACACGGTGAAACCCTGTCTCTACTAAAGATACCAAAAATTAGCCAGGCATGGTGGGGGGAGCCTGCAGTCCCAGCTACTCGGGAGGCTGAGGCAAGAGATGGCGTGAACCCGGGAGGCGGAGCTTGCAGTGAGCCAAGATCGCGCCACTGCACTCCAGCCTGGGTGACAGAGCAGACTCCATCTCAAAAAAAAAAAATTTTTTTTAAATAAATCATTTAACCTTGTCAAACTTCAAGTCCTTCAACTGGAAAATGGAGGTAATAATAGCTACCTCCTGGAGTTTTGCAAGGATTACTATGGCATTATACATATATGAACATCCAATGGCAGTCATCACAACTTTTCATCTCCACCTATAACAGGTTAGCAAGCAAGAATAAAATAACTGTAACTCAAAAAATGTCTCTTAAATTATATATGGTCTTTCAAACCATATGCCCTCTGCCTTGTGGAAAAAAAGGGGATACATACGTTCCCTAAAGAGCAAATGGAAAGGGTAGGACAGTAAAGTCTAGATACAAACTGTTTTACTGTTAGCTCACCAGACATATAGAGTCTAAAAGAATATATAAAACAATTTCCTGAGATTTGACTTCTTACTGGAGTGAGACCTTAGTTCTCAGCTCTTGGCACACCCACATAGCCAGCACCTTAGAGACGGAAGAGAAACCTCCTCTCCCTTGGACATCTGACTCCATCTTTATCTTCACGAAGCCTCTTTAGACCATAAAGAAGTTCCTTTTTATTTTTGCACCTTTAGAATCATGCCTTTCTGTGTGCAAATAATCATCTCTTTACCCATCAAATATCATCTTGGTAGTTCTTAGGCAGAGTGTTCTGGGAGGTAGAGGAGAGGAAGGGCAGAGGGAAAGAGGTTTTCATAGATGCAACATGTCCTCACAAGATGCACTATCTTTTTGATGATGAGCACTTTCATGCTGCACAGAAATCCTATATCTCCAATGTGTTCTTTTAATTTTTTAAAACTCTTCTATTCACTGAAATCCAACATGTTCTTATGCATTTTTCAACCAGTAAGAAAAAAAGAAGAGAGCCACCCTGCCATGTCCCCCTCCATGAAAACTTCCCAATCCTCACAAAGGCCAATATCCCTCCTTAACTCCAGTGAGGTGTCTCCACACATACTTTGGCTACATTACTCAGTCTTTAGGCTTGTCACAGTTAGTTTCCAAGACCAACAGCTTATGCACAGCTGAGAATTGCCCTTTACCACCAGCACTTCTGTTGCCATGGGCACACACACCATGAGTCCCCTCCCTACTTCCAGGATACCATTTGCAGTCCCATCTGATCGCTGCTGGCTCCAAACTTAAATTTTTACAAGTGGTGCTCTTCCTTCTTTTTTAGGAATAGTAGACATCACACCACACATCTGAGAGAAGGAACCAGTGAACCCCCAAGCTCCCAACTTTAAGGGTCACCAGACTCTCATGCTCCCACTGCCCATCTCTCCCTACTTCTAGCTAGATTAACCTCCTCATGGGATATATGATCAGCCTCCTGACAAGTGGTAGGTCCTCTCCCCACCAGTTCCCAGAGGAAGAGCAGAGAACATATCGAGCCCTGGCTTTGTCCAATATTCAAACAAACTTTATAAACTTGATGGTATATTAGCTGGCCTTTTATTAATCTGAATGCTGGGTTCAAATCACATTTAGTGCACATTGATTCATTATTCTGGCTTACTGATGCCTCTGTAGGTGATAATGGACTAGTACTAGACTTTTTAATCCCAAACAATTGAAACTCTTTTGCTGGTAAATAGCTTTCAAAATTTCTTCCTTGATCAGAATAGACCCAAGAGAGAAATAACTAAATTCTTATAATTTGTTTTTCCTGAACTTGCATGGTATGTGGGAAAGGGAGTGGGGTGGGAAGAGGGCAAACAGTTATTTGCCACCAATATATTACGAAGGATTCAGATGTCTAGTCTTCAAAGAAAAAAGTCAACATGGACTAATTTTAGGGGTTTGCTGATTGAATGTTTTCTAGATGGGCTGCCTTTGAGAAACATACTTTCCTTGAGTGCAGCAGACCTAGCGGGTTCATTTTGTCACCACAGTCTCCACCGTCATAAGCAGAATAACTGCCCTAAGTACCTTCAGTATTCCCTTCCTCTCCAAGTGGCTTGAGTCATCATGCAACACCCTGGGTCCCAGAGGGCACTATTTCCAAATGCCCCCATAGCCCATGTATGGTGCACTCAACAACTTTATACAACACCACGTTTCTCGGACCCTCCTGATTCTGGAAAAGCCAGGTAACTTCTCTGCTGCTGGGTTTACTTTCCCCCTTTCTCTTCTGCCCACAGCTCTGAGGCTTCTCATTAAGAGTTTGCCCACCTCTTTCCCACAGTGGGAGTGGGGAGGATCCTTGCCTGACAAAATTTCTGAACGGAATTGGATATCTCTCCAAGGCTGAACCACGCTGTGAGCCATGCTGTCTTCCTGATGGTTGTCTTTCTCTAATCTTTCTCAATCAGAAGTGTTTGCTAACAACAATTTATCTAAATGAACCTGAAACTGGGTGACTTAAACAACAGAAATGTATTATCTCACAGTTCTGGAGCTAGAAGTCTGAGATCAAGGTGTCAACAGGTTGCTTCCTCTTGAGGTCAGTGAGGGAAGGATCTGTTCCAGACCCCTCTCCTTGGCTTATAGCTGATCATCTCCCTGGGTCTTTTTACATTGTTTCCCCTCTATGTGTATCTATCTGAGTCCAAATTTCCCATTTGCATAAGGACACAATCTTATTCTATTAGGGAATCTTGCATGATACCACTATACCAATGGCACCATTCATATTAGATTATGGCCCACGTTAATGACTTCATTTTAACTTGTTTACTCCTGTGAAGAAAGATGCTATCTCCAAATAAGGTCACATTCTGAGGTACTGAGGGTTAGGACAACACATATTTTTTTTGTGGGATTGGGGGGAATATGCATACAATTCAACCCCTACCTTGGCCAATTCATAAACTGTTCAGGAGCCCCTACACTAATGCATCATCTTGTTACAAAACTAAGACTCAACTAGTAATTAGAAAAAACTTTGTCTAGATGGTATGTTGCTGCTCAACCAACAACAACAAAACAACAAATGTACTCCCCACTTCCACATACACCCCACTTATTCGCTGATCTCTTCAATTATACAGTCTGTAAACATGATTTATTACCAATTTCTGTATTTGATGTGCATTCTCTGGCATCTTTTTTTTTTTTCTTTTTCTTTTATTTTTTTTATTTTGAGACAGAGTCTCGCTCTGTCACCAGGCTGGAGTGCAGTGGCGTGATCTTGGCTCACTGCAACCTCTGCCTCCAGGTTCAAGCAATTCTCCTGCCTCAGCCTCCCGAGTAGCTGGGACTACAGGTGCATGCCACAATGCCCCGCTAATTTTTGTATTTTTAGTAGAGATGGGGTTTCACCATGTTGGCCCAGATGGTCTCGATCTCTTGACCTCGTGATCCACCCACCTCAGCCTCCCAAAGTGCTGGATTATAGGCCTGGCCTGGCATCTTAAAGCTCAAGATTCAAATGGATAATTTAAAAAATGTTCTTAGTGTTTTTGTATTATATTTTTTTATATTGTGTGCAATTATGGAAATATTTTTAAAATTTGTTATCTCTAATGAATTCACAATATATGCAGAAAAAGTTGCTAGAGTGAATAAAGTTGCATAGAAAGTGACTTGTCCACTTGCCAACATTTTTCTGTTTTGCATTGCCTGGGCAGTTACCAACTTGCTTTTGTATTCAAGCAAGACGAAGAAATTACCATTCATGCATTTACCCATTTTTGCTCAGGGCTCAAACAGGGTACCACATTAGTAACTTTTAAAGAAATGATTAGCGAAAGTTGAAAATTTTCACCTACTATAGAAGCTGTCCTTTGTATCAGACAAATCAAACCAAACAAGATTTAAGGCTTTTAGAAAGAGTATTGGTTTCATATATATTTGAAATTTCAGAATCACATCTGCCTCTCAGGCCCAGAGTCTATTTAAGAAACTACAATCACTTTTTTTGTTTTCAGTTTTCAAAGCTTGATACAACCTAAATACTGTTTTTTTATCCAAAATCCAGTCTTAGGAAGGTACTATCTTTTTATAAAGGTCTAAATACTCTTTTATTTTCATATATAAACATGAAGATAATTCTGGAGATTTCCCTAAATAAAACCCAATGTGAACAATCAATGCTGAGAGGCAACCTGAGCTTTTCTTCTCTCATTGTTCCTTTTTATTTTGCAGAAAACTCTGAAGCATTTAGTCACCTAACCTATTGAAGAAGGGTGAGCTCACCTGGGCCTTGAGTACCTGAATCAAGTCAACTTTAGAAGATGAAACTGGGGGGAAAGGGGAGATACCCAAGAGAATGTGTCATACTCAGTAATAAGTAAGGTAGCTTGTTAATATCCACTATCAGTTTTGGGTATAGGTGACTAATATCCTTCTACACTGCCATTATTGAACTTAATGTCTACTTTCAGAAATGTATCCTAGGTGATCTCCCAGCCTATTCCTCCACTCTGAATATTTCAGTCTCAATATACAAAAGGGTTTGATCCCTTTGAACATGCAGCAGGCATAGACGTGTCTGGAACATGAGGTACAAATCTGAGAAACTAACAGTCCAGCTTACCTGATTCCTAAAGAACAACCCCCATTTCTATCCCCACATCTCTATGTCTGGGTTCCCCAACCCCAGCTTCCATCTTGCCTGTTTTTCCTGGGTTAACCTAATGGACACAATTATTAGCATCTCCATAGTCTGAAATTTGTAAATTAATGTGCATCAGTATCTGCTCTGGAAAGCTGTGGATGATGCATCAGTATTTAGCAGTTACATCAAGCAATTTAGTCACCTAGATTTGTGATTTGGTTGGTGGCCTTTCAGATGGGATGTCTGGCAGTAGGAAGATACCTCCTCCTGGATCATGGCTCAGCTGGCTCTGAGTTCCCACTTTAATTTCTGGCTTAGTGGAAGCTAGGAAGTGATTCAGTGGAAGTGAAATTGAATCTCAAAGCATTTCCTAAATAAGCAGGTGTCCTTTTTTGGTTGAGGCAGACTCTGGCTCCCTAAGGCAGACAGAGGGGATACAAAGTATATTCCTACTGTTTTCAGGCTGTCTTTGTTTCCGGAGTAAAAGATGGAATAGAATTTTTTTTCCTCAGTCTAGCACCACTTAGTAAATTTCTTTCCAGTTTATTATAATTATTTTTAAGTTTTAGCTTTTGATAGCATTGCAAGTCTTTTTTTCCTTTTGCTGTCACAAGCAATTTAACTGAGAGCTGTTAGACCACTGTCATTTGAAACAGGCATCTCTGCTACCATCTACCATCTGTTTAACTGTTATTAAAGTCTCAGATAATGTGTATGATTCTAAAATACACAGTAGTAAGTTATTTTGTGTTCATTTATCTGCCTAGAGTCTGAGAAGTTGATTCTTTGAAAAATAAGCCAAGTTGTAGTTTATCTTTCAGGAGGGAAAATTTTCTTGGTCAATCTCCAGCCTTCTACTTATTTGTAGTCTACCGTTTTGATTATGAGTTCTGGAAAACTCTGTATAACAGAAACTTCTCTTAAATTGTTATGAATTGTTACATAAGAGCCACGATTTCTCATCTGATCCTTCAAATAGATGTTCCCAGGAAGTTGCTTGATATTGGATTTCAAGAAATACTCTATTTCCTCAGGAATTGGTATGTTGTGATTAAATACAACTCTGCCGTCGGTGATTGTGATTCAGACTCCCACATGGTGGGGATTCAGTGAGTTGTGTTTCAACAGCATAGTGATTTGGGGCACATGTTTTATAATCCTATACATGGACAGTGAGAATATTGTTGCTGTGTGTGGCAGACACGTGGTATTGATTGCTGATTCTGAACACAGCAGCCATTCTCCTACCCCTTTTTCTAAGCTGACAGAACCTGACTTTCATGAGTGAGGCTGCAAATGTCAGATGCCCCCTTGCAGCTAGAGGTAGGCATATGACCCAGTTCTGACTAGTGAAGCATAATTGGAAGTCTATTGAGAGGCTCTTAGGAAAGATTCTCTTCCTTGATAAAGAGTCAGGGTGGGAGAAGAGAAGCTCCACAGCACCTGATTAGAAAAAAGAGGCAGAGAGACCCCAACCCTCTCTTCCTGCCTATGAATATTGATGTGAGAAGAAGTGGTATTTGGAGCTACTGGAGTCATTATGTGACAAAAAGATGTCCTTAGCAAGTAAGGGATGGCACTCAAGCCACTGAAACACCCCTGGACTTATCTCCCTCCAAACCTTGCAGTAGTTATTCCCTGTAGTTACCGATATCCTGTTCTTCTCTACTCCTGGACACACAGGGACACAGCATTTCTCCACCAAAGCATGGCTCCATGACTCGGTAGATGAAATGAAATGTTGCCAGAAGCGTCGTGTGCTATCTCGTGTTTGACTCTCTACCTGCTCTTCCCCTGCAGTAGTAATCGTGGGAGCATGTATATTTACGGAGGTGTCATAAGATCAAACAGCCTGGAAGGAAGAGCCAATGCCTGAAAAACAGCTGCTGTGACGAGCTGCCTGAACCCTCAGCCAACTTTGTTACTTTGTGTGAGTAAGAAATTAACTTCTGTTGTGTTAAGCCACTGGTGGGGGTTGTTTGTTACCATAGCATAAAGTAGTTTATCATGCCTGATACAATCTGTATTCTTTTAAGCCATTTATAATTGGTAGGCTCCTCCATGTAGCTGAAAACATCCTAATTCATACTATACACAGCATTTGACATGAAAACAACTTTCCTGTAAAATGAGACATTTGCCTTCATGGCAAAATAAATATCGACTACTTTTGCTTGCCAAGATGCCAATCTCTTTCTAGAAACAGCATCCCAATCTTACTTAAGGAAACCACTGCAGCAGACATGGCCATGCTCTGCCCATGTCTTCTCAGCACTTGCTTCTACTCACAGAAGATTGCTGTCACTGCAAACTCCTGTGTCTCTGCTTGAGAACTTTCGTCTGGTTGCAATAGAACACTCATCTCACACACAGGACAAGCCAAAAGTGCCCAGGAGTTAATGCCCAGAAGCCCCCAGCAAATTGTGTAAATAATAGATAATGTTGAAAAATATCCTAGCTTCCTCACTTCTGGGTTGAGATAACTCTGATGTGTGTTCTAGATTGTCTCCCTGTGGAATAAAGCTCCAATTGCTCATTGTGGGAACTGCTTTGATAACACATCCTTTATTGGCTTCTCTTCCTTCCCTGCCTCTCTTCTCCACTCCCCTACTGAGGTTTTCTAGGATCATATCCAAAATAAACCACTTGTTCTTGAAACCTTGTTTCAGAGTCTGCTCTGGGGGAACCCAAACCAAGACGTCATTCTCTCCAAGGGGAACCAATCTTTTTGGGACTGGCAGTTAAGTTAGATTACTTGCTCTGTCTTTAATATTTGGATCTTGAACAGAATCCCACAAAGACTATCTTTAGGGAGATAGACGCTTTTCAAAGGGTCTGCTTGTTAGTTCCTTCTTTATGGATTCCTGCAGTTCTTTTTGATACTTCTTTTCTGAGCCAGATTTTTGGTTTCTCTTCCATTCTATTAGTTACCTTATATCCCTTCAATACATTCCTTTTGGGATGAAATAGCTAGAATTTCTTCCTGTGGCTTGCAGTAAAAGAAAACAATGAATTTAAACAACACATTAAACCTCTTTCAGATATAAAGACTGATATAAATGAATGAGTTATAAAATGTATAAGAGCACTAAATGCTATATTTTAATTATTCACGAAATCAAATCCATAGGAGTCACTTTAAAATGTCAATGTTTTCATGTTTCTTTATATTTCATTTGAAATAGTGTCTCTAGCCAGTGAAAATGTCTTTACAGCATTTCAATACAATGCCCATGAACAATTATTGATCTGGAAGGGTAAAATAACTTGGTAGTGGTGGGACGGGTCATTGTGGTTGTTGTTGTTTTATTTTGTTTTGTTTTTATCTGGGGTGGTTACTAAGTTTCCATTATCTAGTGTAGTACTTTTAATTAAACATTTTTAAGATAAAAAAACTTTTTAAGGCATTTCTATGCGAAGAAACCTGGATTGCTATAATAATAGAGAAAATTTGTTTATTTATACAAACCTTACATACCTAACCATGAGGATTCATACAGCAAAGCTGTTTAAATATGATTTAAAGAAGATCCCCTAATGCCCAAATCTATGACAAGTTGAGTAACAAAATTAATAATGAGAATAATGGACTATAACCCCCAAAATAAAAAATATATATTGATGAGTCCATACTGATACCAATCATTCAAGAAATAAATAAGAGAATTCAAATTAATAAATATAGAAGAAATAACAGAAATATAAAATCATCATTTGATAACATTACAGTAATAATTACCTCAATCAAGAATCATTAATAGGTAAGGGTGTGATGAAAAACAGGATATTTACATGGTCTCAATTATCTTGCCACGAGAAATTTACCAAATACAAAGAGGAAAATAATGTTAAGTGAAGAAAATTTGAAAGACTGCCTTATCCAAGTGATCTAAGTTAACATCACTAGTAATTAGACAAAATGTCATTATGTGCCTCCTGATTTGATGTGTTTAGAAGGTGTGATGGTTCATTTTATGTGTCAACTTAACAGGGCCATGTAGTGCCCAGATATTTAGCTAAACATTACTTATGGGAATGTCTATGTGGGTATTTCTTGATGAGGTTAACATTTGAATTAGTAAACTGAATAAAGCAGATTTCCATCTGCAATGTGTGCGGGCCTCTTTCCATTTTTTGGAGGCCTGAATGGACTAAAAGTATTCTGTTGGTGCAAAGTAATCATGGTTTTTGCCATTAAAAGTAATGGCAAAATACTTTTGCACCAACCTAATATAAGTGAGAAAGAATGTTTTCTCTCTTCCTGTCTTCAAACTGTGACAGAAGTCTTCTGCTTTTGGGCCTAAATTCAGACTGAATCTTACATCATTGGCTTTCCTGGTTCTCAGACCTTCACTGTCAGACTGGAACCAACACTATCAGCTCACTTGCTTCTCAGGCCTTCCTACTCAAACTGGAATGTATGTACCATCAGCTCTTCTGCCGGGACTTCTCAGTCCCCATAATCACATCAGCCCATTCCTTATAATAAATCTCTCTCAATCCCTCTCTCTCTGTCTCTCTCTCACACACACATACATTCTCTCTCTCTATCTCCTACTGGCCCTATGTATTAGTCTGTTTTCATGTTGCTGATAAAGACATACCCAAGACTGGGAAGAAAAAGAGGTTTAATCGGACTTACAAGTTCCACATGACTGGGGAGGCCTCAGAATCATGATAGGAGGAGAAAGGCACTTCTTACACGGTGGCAGCAAGAGAAAATGAGGAAGATGCAAAAGCAAAAATCCTTGATAAAACCATCAATCTCGTAAGACTTATTCACTACCATGAGAACAGTATGGGGGAATTGCCCCATGCTTCAAATTATCTCCCACTGGGTCCCTCCCACAACACATGGGAATTATGGGAGTATAATTCAAGGTGAGATTTGGGTGGGGACACAGAGCCAAACCATATCACCCTGTTTCTTTGGAGAACCCTGGTTAACATAGATGATTTTGTTATCAGGAGTAATTGGTTCTGGGGCTTCTAGAATTGAGAGTCTAATCTGATTGGATTTAAAGACACTAATGACTCTATCTTCAGTAGTAAAAAGAGCACTGTTAGTTAGGGTTATCAAGTGGAGATATTTAGGGTACCTTTATGGCCAGATCAAGTATGGCTTGATCTGAAGGAAGTACAAGAAGGAAGGAGCTGGGTGACTATGTATATAATACTTTTGAACATTTTGGGGAGTCTAATAAATGTAATGACATTAGATGGTTGTTCCTGATGTCAATGGGCAAAATGATGAAATAAGGATGAGCTCTGGGATTCAAATTCCCACCTCAAGTGCCACATAAATGACCTCAAAACATCTATGTATGCTATGAAGGAGACCCTTATCTCCTATAATACAAGGCTGAGATTGCTGAAAATTAAATGCAGAGTATCCCATTCTGTGACTAACTGAAATATATTGCAAGTTGAACTCCCAGCCTCACAAGGTATCTACTATTAAAATGAGGATATCGATCAGGAAATAAGTTGGATCCTGTAAGTTAAAGTGGGTACATGTGGGAAGACTCTGATAATGCTGGTGATAGTGAGCCCCTAAATTCTGATGAAGCTTATTTTCCAATAGAAGAGCCCTCCTCACACCCAGTGGAAGCAGCATTACATCAGGTGTATGGAATTTTGCCAACAAGGCATAATCTGAATTAAATCTTAACACTCTTCAGAAGTGTCAAGACCATGAAAGACAAAGGCTAAGGAACTTTCACAGATGGAAGGAAATCAAGAAGATATGTCAATTAAATGCAATGTGGGATCCTGGATTGGAATCTAGGCCAGAAAAAGGATATTAGTGGGATACATGGTATAATTTAAATAGAGACCATAAATAAGTTAATATTATTGTATAGTGCTAACTTCCTGATTCTGATCATTTTACTGTGGTTTTTTGAGATGAAACATTTGGGGGAACTGGGTGAAGGATATGCAGGAATTATTTGTACTATTTTTGAAACTGTTTACCAAGTCTTCATTTCAAAATGAAAAGTTCAAAAATGAAAAAATAAATTCAAAACATTACTTAAAGTAAATCATATAAACTTGCATTAAAATACAACGCAAAATGACTACTTATTCAATGCATAAATGTCTGGAATTCAGAATAAAGAACTGATTAATGAAGAGAATGGGAGTATTAAGAAAAATGTAACTGGAACCAAGTGAAGGATTTTGACATGAGTTATTTTGTTTCTATATAAATTTCTGATTAATAATTAGAAATTAATAATTTCTGATTAATAATTAGAAATTAATAATTTATGATTAATTTCTGATAATAAATTATAAATATGTATTTATCTATAGATAAATATAGATATTCTATTTCTTCTAATAAATATGCATCTTTCTGCAAATTAAAAATAGAAATTTCTCTCTATCTTTATAAGTAGAAAAGGATGGATACAGGGAGGGAATTATGCATAAGTCAGAAAGGTCTGTGGGAAAAAAATTAAAATTGTACTCCAGAGAAAAGAATAAGTCAGCCTAGTGGTTATACAATAATTAAATGGAAAGAAGATATAATAGTATGCCATAAGATAACCATAATAGTGATATAGTATAGCAGCAAAAATTTGAGCATTTACTATGTGCCAACTTCTACTAATTAAGAACTTTATGTATTAATTCATATAATCTTCATGTTATTGAGCAAATGGGCTTGCTATCTGATGTACACAGAAGCCAATACCATGGCACCAGCTTTTGAGAAAAGAAAGGTTTTACTGCAAATCAGCCAGCAAGGAGTTGGGCTCAAATCTGTCTCCCTGATTTGGAATCTAATGAAAGTTTTTCAGCCTGAGCAACATGACAAAACAGCATCTCAACAAAAAAATACAAAAATTAGCTGGACGTAGTGGTGCTACTTGGGGGACTGAGGCAGGAGGATCATTAGATCCCAGGAGGTCTAGGCTGCAGTGAGCCATGATTGTGCCACTCCACTCCAACCTGAGTGACAGAACAAGACCCCATCTTAAATAAATAAATAAATAAGAAAAAAAGAAAAAAGAAAGTTACAAGGGATCAGAGGGCAAAGAAAAGGATTTAGGAATGTTGACTTGGCATGGGTCTGATTGGACAGTTTCAAATTTGACCATTTATGGTAAGGTGTATTGAGGCAGATTTTAGCCCCAGCTCTTCAGGGCCAAGAGACCCTTTGCTTTTGAAAGAGTCCTAGTGTTCAGGTTCCAGTCATGTCTCAGTCTTTTTGGTTTCCAGGGAAGGAATCATTGGTTCAAGATGTTGTTAGAAGTCAAAGCTTTTTTTAATTATGTCTTCCTGGACTACATGACTTGTAGTTTTCCTCTGCTATACCTACAAGGTAACTCGACATTTTGTTATCAACAGAGTAGGCCCAGTTTGGGCTGGTCCCCCTGTTACACATAAAAGATGAGGTGGGTCATTATTCCCATTTTACAGGTCATAATAAGATATAAAGGAAAAGGGATTTGAATGCAAGCACTTTGGCAAAGAGGTGAAGCTTCTAACCACTAGTCTATAGTACCACCTTGAATTTGCAAGAAAGGATAAAACCAACTAGTTTTCTTTTCTCCTGAGAGATGAAGTTTCTAATTTACAATACTATTATGTGTTAATATAATTAATACCCATAAATAGGATATTTGTGTCACCGGAATGTGATGAACTAGGGAAGGTGAGGCTCTCAGGGAGGAATTGGAGGAAGGGAAGGGGGTGGTGAGAAGGAGCCGACCCTGGGATGCAGAAGCCACAACCCTCACCCTGCCACTGGTTGCAGCTCCCCCAGAGGCAAGGGCTCTCAAGGGGACTGGAGTGAACTACTCCTGCCACACAGATGCTGTCTTGTCCCCAAGATGGTCCCTACATGTGGCATGATTAGAAAATAGTCTTTCAGGTAGAATTTGATCTGAACTGGCATTGGTCCTAAATTAGCACCTGGGAGGAGGGTCAGCAGAGAATGGTAGATAAATGCTCCTAAGTGTGCATTTAAATTTTAAAAACAGCTTCAATTAGTATATTCTGCGTTCAGAAAATGTGGACACCAACATTCACTACTCACTGAAGTTAATTGAGCAAGAAAAATAACATGAAAGCATTTGAGAAATATTGGTTCTGGGAACAGAATTTGCAAATGAATTTAGGGTAGGGTCAACTGGAAAGCATACAGAAGCCAGGGAGGTAATGGATTATAACTGAGTAAAACAGGCAAAGCTGTTTCTTTTGAAGAGGCTTTGTTTCCTAATTAAGCACACAGAATATTCTTTACTTCTACAAAGAAATACACTTTCTCCAATTTTGTTTTTAAACCCATAGGCTATCTTTTCTTTTCCTGGCTTTGTTGGAGAGTTACACACAGAGAAATAGTTCTTGCCTGCAGGACTTTCAGTGATGAAAGCACAATCACAAATGAGGACTGATAAGCCCTAATAATGAGGGTGACAAGGACTACTAGGTGGAGAAGTGAAGCTGGAACATGCACGCCCATTCATGAGCACAGGCTCTGTGTGCCTGCAACTGGGTTCTTACCACGCAGAATGTGGGCCAGTGTTGTCTGCCCTGTCGATTGTTCAAGACAGGCTAAAAGTCCACATTTTATATGAAATACCTTGAAATTCTGATGTTGACTTAAAACTTTTCAAACTATGTGCTGACCTCCTTCTCAAAATACTTTCGTCTCTTTCTCTATGATACTCCCCTGAATGTCCTCCTTCTTTACCGTATCCTCCTCTTCTGATCATCATTTAAATAGGGGTGTCCAATCTTTTGGCTTCCCTGGGCCACACTGCAAGAAAGGTAACTGTCTTGGGCCACACATAAAATACACTAACACTAATGATAGCTAATGAGCTAAAAAAAAAAAAAAAAATCTCATAATGGTTTAAGAAAGTTTACAAATTTGTGTTGGGCCACATTCAAAGCCATCCTGGGCTGCCTTTAGCCCACAGGCCATGGGTTGGACAAGTTTGATCTAAAACAAAGGTGCCCAAATCCTCTTTTCTGCTCTATTTACATTCCCTACCTGGGCAACCTCACTTGATCCCATGGCGTTAAGCCTATTTCCAGCCCTTATTTCTGCCCCTGACTCCAGACTGTCAACTAGACATCTCCAAAAGGAGGTCTAATGGGAATCTCAAATTAACATACCCAGAGGAAACTCAGATTCCTCCCTGAACCACTCATACCTTCTCTTCTCCATTTCAGGAAATGGAACTACCATCCGCCAAGATATTCAAGAGAGAAAAAAATACATTTTCTGCATAAATGGTGAAATCTTTTGTTTCCTTCCCACTCCTTAGTAGACCCTTTCAACCCCTTTCCCACCTTTTTCACCTGGAAAATTTCTACTCATCCTTCACAAATCAATTTGAGCATCATCGCTGCCTCCAGGCAAGGTGGCCACATAATTTGGGTGGCCCAGTGCAAAATAAAAAACGAAAATCTCACAGGTGGAATTCAACATATCCCTTCCACAGGAGGTCATCCCAATCCAAAATATTTAGACTTTGCACAGGGAAACACTTGGCATCTGATTTGGGAACAGGCGAGAAGTCCCTGCTGATCCAAACACGGCTGTTGCTCTGCCAGCCAAGGCAGAAACAACTGCTGCCTTGCGTTGCCCCGGACACTGTGGCGCACAAACCTGAGCTTGACCCTCCATGCTTCTACACTGTGGCCCCTGCTGGGGAAAAAGAGTGATGGCCAAACCTGACCTTGAACCTCCATGCTTCTATGCTGTGGCCTCTGCTGGGAAAAAGGAGGATGATGGCCTCCTCCTGCCCTAGAGTTCTAGCAGGCTGTAAATGGGCCAGGGAGGAGGGAGGCAGCCAAAAGTGAATAGCACAAGATGAGCAGAGGCTTCAAGTGCCCATCATGTGCTCCATTGTCCCATTGGACTTCATTTACAAAACACAAATTCAAAGATGAAACTAAAAATTTCAAAAGGGGGCCACAGAGCATTAAGCCCCAAGCACTAACAATTCTGAGGGTAAGGCCCTAAGCTACCTGATTGCATGCCTCTGTAGTTGGTCCTGCCTCCAGAAAATTTTCCCTGACCAGGCCCCTCAAACCAAGCTAGCTGCCCCTTTCTGTTCTTCCTATTTAACCCATGCTTGCCTTTGTCGCTGCACTTAGTACATTATATTAATATTATCTATTTATGTGTATGTTTCACAAAATATTTTATAACTTCATAAGGTCAAGGAATTCGGTTAAATCTTTTTTCTCCAATTTCTAAATCTTAATACTATATTAAAATTGCTTCTTCATATGTCTTTGATAAGTGTTAAATATGCTGACTGAGCTGGATGCATTTTATGTGCCAAGCCAGATCTGCTTGGCCCCACCAATACCATCACCCCCATCAATGTCACCCTTGCTTCCCCGCCAGAGCAGCCTCAGCAATAGATCACACCTCACCCATGGCTATTACATCCAAACTTCTGTGGCACTGCCACCACCAACTGAGGAGTTCCCGTGCACAGCTCCAAATGACAAAGGGAGATCTTCATAATCTGCCAGAGGGGACCCAGAGAGGCTCCAGCTTCCTCAGGGATAGATTAGAAAGTGTGGGTAAGGCCGGGGACAGTGTCTCATGCCTGTAGTCCCGGCACTCTGGGAGGCCAAGGCAGGCAGATCACTTGAGGTCAGGAGTTCAAGACCACCCTGGCCAACATGGTGAAACCCCATCTCTACCAAAAATACAAAAATTAGTGGGGCGTAGTAGTGCATGCCTGTAATTCCAGCTACTAAGGAGGCTGAGGCAGGAGAATCACTTGAACCTGGGAGGCGGAGGTTGCCGTGAGCCAAGATTGCACCACTGCACTCCAGCCTGGGGAACAGAGCAAGACTCCATGTCAAAAAAAAAAAAAAAAAGAAAGAAAGAAGAAAGAAAGAAAGAAAGAAGGAAGGAAGGAAGGAAGGAAGGAAGGAAGGAAGGAAGGAAGGAAGGAAGGAAGGAAGGAAGGAAGGAAAGAAAGAAAGAAAGAAAGAAAGAAAGAAAGAAAGAAAGAAAGAGAAAGAAGAGAGAGAAATAAGAAAGAGAAAGAAAGAAAAAGAAAAAGAAAGAAAGAGAAAAAGAAAGAAAGAAAGAAAGAAAGGAAGAAAGAAAGAAACCATGTTTAGAAAGAGAAAGAAAGAAAAAAAGTGTGGGTAAACTGGAAATGTGGACTTCAAATAGTTAAGTCCCATGGAGGCAGATTTCAACAATGCAAGACAAGAGATAGAAAAAAGTCAGCAGATACATTGTCTATTATTTCTTCCCCTAACGGACTGCTCTGAGATGCGATGGTTTTATTTGACCTCTCTGGAAATGTCTTAAAAGACGGGACAACCAGCTATTTTGTTCTGAAGGCATGGTTACCTTGGTATTATAATACTCTACCTTGTATTTTCCTACCCTCTTTCTTTACTGCACTCTTTTCCCCCTTACTCTTGCTTCCCTAGGGTTGTACCTCCATAAAACAGTAGCACAAAAGCTATCCCCTTCTGCTGTCTACTCCAAGAAACCAACGCTGAGAAAACTGGTTCCAGAGTGGGATAGTTAGTAATAACAACGGGCAAGCTGTGACATTAGAATTACTAAAGCTCTTATTTGTGGCTAATTGGGATAAGGTGGGGGTTTAAGGTAAGTCTTTGAATATTAAGTTGTCGCTGCAATTTACCAATATAAGGATGATGATAATTATAGGACTTTGGCAGTGGTTAGATACTTATGATGACATTGAAATCCTTGATAGGTAGTATGAGGCAGCTAATTGCTATTTTAAGGCATTCTGTGACCATGTTTGATCTATGGCAGGTGGTGGGACCAGATCATAAATGTATCAAACAAGAACCAGAGAAACACCTGTATGGGTAAATCTTGAGGGTGTTAGACCAGGGAAGTAGAATTAAGGCTGAAGAGGAAAATATTTATTAGAGTGTATAACTCAACCATAATTTCGAATTTCATGTCTAACAAGGACACCAGTCCTAGCAGTTTGCTGAGATGACTCCTCGAAGCCTGGATTCACAATGTAAATTAAATTGAGTGAAAATGTAAAGTAAATTGAGTTAAAATGTTGGAACCTCTTTGGCAGAGTAATTGAGAAAGGGGTCAGAGGCTCAAGAAAGGGGGACTATTAGAATAAAGACACTGAATCCCCCAGCTGTTTATATTTTCCAGGAGGGCCTGAGTACCAGCATCACTGAGAACCCACAGTTGGTTGTCCTGTCAGGCCAGGGTTGACTCTAATAGCAATGGGGATATGGGGAGTTGATCAAGGCAGAGCCCAGGTGGATGTAATGACCATAATGAGCAGCATGGCCAGAGGGGCAGTGAAGGTGCCTTGTCCCAAAGTGATGTTTTATTATAGCTAAGAAATGATGATTTTCCCAAAGATGACACAGACAAGCAGCCATCTACAGCAGTGGTTATCAAAGTGTGGACCTGAGATCAGCAGCATTAGCACCATCTGGGAACTTGTTTGAAATGAAAATTCTTGAGCCTCATCTCAGCTACTGATGCAGAAATTCTGGGGATGTGGCCCAGCAATCTGTGTTTTAACTAGCTCTCTAGGTGGTTGAGATGCACACTAAAGTTTAAGAATCATTGAACCAGCGTTTTGATTTGTACAATCAGAAATAATAGAGAACTGATGAACATAGGATGATGCTGGACAGTATAATGGACAGTTGCAATTTCTAGTTACTAGATCTAAGTCAGCTCACAGATCTAGAACCCAGTGATTGAAAGGAAAGCTTGTTCCTCACAATGTCACACAAGCATGACATTTATTTCTTTAATCCTTGCCCAAATTTGCCAAAATATGTACTGGACAGACAAAAAGTCTAGGTATTCTCACAGTTGGCACCAATACCAGGGGACACAAAACACCACCACCATTGTCTTGTAGTTGGAAATGGAGTATTATCAGTATCAGATTATAAATGGGATTTGGGCTCAAGTCCATCTTACAATGGGTCCAATAGATATAAGGACCCATTCTGTTACTTCTCTAGTCTCTGAATGTCTAATGGGATAGATATACTTAGAAGTTGGCCCTTAGTTTCCTGACCTGAGTTAAGGGACTTTATGATAGAAAGGAGCAGTGTTAGCCCCCCCTCCAGGCCAAGATAGTTAATCAGAAGCAATATCTCCTCCCAAGATGAACTGCAGAAATTAGTACCAACAAAGACTTAAAGGATTCATGGATGGCAATTCCCATTGTATCCCTAGTCATTTCATCTATCTGGTCTCTGCAAACATACACACAAATACACAAAGATAGATGATAGATGATAGATAGATAGATAGATATAGAAGATAGATAGATAGATAGATAGATAGATAGATAGATAGATAGATAGATAGATAGATAGTGGTGGGTGCTAGTGGGCTACTGCAAATTCAACCAGGTGGTATCCACAATTGCAGCTTCTGTGCTAGATATAATTTTTCTTTTTAAGAGTATACCAGTCTAACCTCTGGCACTTAGTTTGTGTCTATTATTTTGCTGTATGCTTTATTCCTGACTTTCATCAGTAGGGAAAATCAAAAGCAGCTCACCTTTACATTTGTAAGGACAGCAGTAAATCTTCACGGCCTTGCCCTGGGTCTGTGTTAATTCTACTGTCTATAATGGTATGTTTTGTAATGATCTCTATCATCTTCATATGTCACAGCACATTATGCTAGTCTTCTATATTGATTGACATTTTTCTAATTGGACCTAATAAAGAGAATAGATCAATCAACTTGAATGTCCTGATAAGATACAGACATATCACAAGTTAGACCATAAGTACCTAATGATTAAGGGGCCTGCAACACCAGTGAGATTTTTAGGGACCCAGAGATCTAGAGCATGCAGGGACATATCCTGTGAGGTAAAACCTGAGAGCATGACTATGGTCCACCATGTAACTGCAGTTGGAGCTACCCATCATGAGCATGGTCTTAATAGAAACGCCCAGAAAAAGGTTGAGAAGCACAGGAGCAAACTATTATATGAAGAAAATGGTACTTTTAAGAAAAGACTCAAGTAGTCCAGAAGACACACACAAAAAATGTGATTTGTTTGCCCAGACCTTCAGATCACCTACCTGTTTGGCTCTGGTGTCACTCCCTCAACTCATACTTATGGCCTCATGGGAAATCCTCTATAACCAACTGATGGAGAAGGGAAGACCTTGAGTCAATTCAAAGAGAGTGTGGTATGATATGTTGAGGTTCTCCAGAAAGGGACCACTACCTCCATACAGTTCCTCTCCGGAGTGACCCTAAAGAATAAGCACAGCCACAAGGAGGCTCTTGACAATCAGGTAGATAGGATGACCTATTTTCTGAATATCAGCCAGCCCCCTCCTTTGGTCAATCCAATGCTTGCATGATGATGGGCTCATAAACAAAGTGGCCATAGTATCAGGCTCAGATCCTATGTATGGATTGGAAAAGCAAGGGCTCTGGGAACCAAAAGGTGGAACTAGGACCACCCTTCTCACAATTATTCCAAATGAAGCATTCAAAATGTGTACTTTCTGTTCCTACGATCTTATATCTGCTGTGTTAGTGATCCTCATTCCCAGGCAGTATTGCTTCTTAGAGGACACATTGTGTTCCACTGAACTGGAAATTGCAACTATGTTGATCCATGCCAGTAGATAAGCAAGAAAAGAATTACTGTACTTACTAGTTTAACAAACCCTGATTGCTATGAGAGGTTGGGGTTGTTGCTACCACAATGGGGGCAGAGAGGAGTACATCTGGAGTGCAGCACTCACTGAGGCACCTCGTGGCGACTCTGTGACCAGTGAAACTTGTAAATGGGCACCTGCAGCAACTATTATGTGACAGAGGAAAACAACTGACGGTTGACATCCATTAGGGATTAAGCAGCTGACTACTGACTGAAGATGTGGGAAATAAGAATAGGTGAGAGACAACAGAGATGGTGAGTATCAGCTATGACCCTGAACCAGCTGCAGCAGTGGAGTGCAGCTTGATTTGCCCATCTTTAAATGTTGTTTAGGGGATTGAAACTGACCACGATCTGGAAGGACTGGCCTTGCCCCTCCCTTCTTGAGGAAATAGTGAAAAATATCTTGTTCTCGTACAACATTTGGTATATACTAATATGCAAGAAAATAGAATTAGTGCAAGAGATGCAGCATATCAGACCCAGGTTATGTATCACACCAGCTCCTCTCATCCCTACCCACCCCATCCCACTCAAAGTCAACCGTTTGCATTGTTTCAGCTACTCAGCTACTCGCACAGTGGTTAAGTCCCAGCTACTGTTGCTGCTGCCACTGTCACTGACACCATACACTGAGGAGTCCCCACATGCAGCCCCAGCTGGCATGGAGAGACTAGTGCACTGCACCCCAGGGTTCTGGCTCCCCAGTGGATGCCTGGAGGGATTGTGTAACACAACCTGGAAATACAGGAAGTGAGTGCCTTTTAGGGTAGACTTCACCACTAAAAGAAAGTAGATAGGAAAGATATCAGAAGATCTCTCATCCTTCCCTACAGCGAACTTCTCTCAGAGGCAGTCTTTTCGTATGGCTACTCTGGAGACATCCTGTAAATCCAGTTATCTAGCTGGTTTTGTTGTAAAGCTATGGTCAGCTCAGTAACTCATCCCTTTGTATTTCCTCTCCTGTCTCTGCCTCAATTCTCTATTACTGTCATTCTTGCTTCTTTGGGAATGCACTCCCACCCCCCAGTGAAATAGGTACTTCAGTCAAAAGAAAAAGTGGATAATTCATGTATGTCATATATACAGCAACAAAACTTTCTCTCTTATATTTTCAACTACCATAGGTGATATGTTTCTAATTGTTCGGACATTTAGAACAAAACCAATATATTTTATCTCAGCACCTCTACCAGGTGCTAAGTCTGATAATAAAGATAAGTCCTTATTATCATAACACTAACACCCAGCTGAGTACCTAGCCCAGACTAGATGTTAACTATATGTTTATTAAACTCTTCAGAAAAGGCAATGGTGTGTAGGGGAAAGAGGACTAACGTAGGAGTTGGAATAACCTTGCTCAGCTACTTCTTATCCCTCATGACCTTGGGCAAATCACAAGTTCAATGAGACTCATTTCTGGAATCTATGAAGTGGGGGTAACATCATCTCCTCACAAAATTGTCATAAGGTCTAGATGAGATGCACTATGTACAAAAGTCTCTTTATATTACAGAATCCTATACAAATATCAGTTACTCTTACACATGGCAAATGACTAGTCACTAAATTAAAAGCGAGAGGAAAAAAATGGACTGGATGGAAACCGAGAAATGAGAGAACCAAAGAGAAATATAAAAAGATAAATTTAGTCATCACCACACACACAAAAAATGGAACAAGATCCTGTGCTTCTTCCTCCTTCTAGGCATACAGCAAACTGGGATAGTAGACTGTTTACTCTCACATTTTCCCTAAGTTCCCTGATTCATCAGTTTATCAGATGTTTACTGAATGCACATGGGTACCAGGCTTTGAGCTAGGGAAAAGGGACAAGGCATGGTCATGCCCTTAGGGAAGTCTAGGTCTAGTGGAGAAGGCAGACATGTGAAGAGATCCCTACAATGAAGTGGAACCCAGGGTTTCACAGGTGCATTGGAGGTCCTCAAATGAGATTGTGTAATTCTTGATGGGTTGGAGACAATAAAGGAAGAGGAGATGATGATCAGGAAAGGCTCCCTAGGGAAAGAGATCTTCCAGGATGCATCTTGAAGAATGCATTGGGCAAAAGAGGAAAGGGCAATCTAAGGCAGAGGAAGCCAGGCTGCAGAAACACAAATCAAAGACTCTCTATGCAAGCTTATGGAACCTTATTCTGTAAGTTGTGGAGAACCACTAAAAATTTTTAAGTGGAAAAGGTGGGTTGATTATATTTATATTCAGAAGCTTTGCTTCTGTCCTCTGTGGATATAGCACTGCTGCAGGCAACTCCCCCAGCCACTTGTTACTGTTCAGTCTTAAAACATGCCCTGAAGCCTCTAGGAAAGGAGTCAAATGAGAAAACTTTGAAATTTTACAGGTTTGCTCTAGGTAGATTTTGCAGAGACTAGGTACTTCCTGGATTCTGCAGTTCTATTAAAAAAAAAATCAGGAAGTCTGTTAGTATCTTGATTGAGACCTCACTTGTGTGAGTGCCTTGTGACCGAATGAGTCCCTTTTCCATCCCTCCTGATAAGTGAAACCCTGATGAATCCAAAGCTTTTATTAAAATTTAAGCTTTACTACTGCCTCTTCCTTATTAGGCAATCTCCAAATGATAATTGTAAAATTGCTTCCTCTTCTCTTCCAATGTCCTATTAGTAGAATAATACTACATGTAAGAGTGACAGCCGGGCACGGTGGCTCATGCCTATAATCCCAGCACTTTGGGAGGCCAAGGCAGGTGGATCACAAGGTCAGGAGATCGAGACCATACTGGCTAACACAGTGAAACCCCGTCTCTACTAAAAATACAAAAATTAGCTAGGCGTGGCAGCGTGTGCCTGTAGTCCCAGCTGCTGGGGAGGCTGAGGCAGGAGAATGGTGTGAACCTGGGAGGTGGAGCTTGCAATGAGCCGAGATCATGCCAATGCACTCCAGGCTGGGTGACAGAGTGAGACTCTGTCTCAAAAAAAAAAAAAAAAAAGAGTGACAGACACACATGGGCACTAGAGGGATTGGTCTGATAAACCACCACTTTGTCCCAGTCATTTATCTTATGACTAGATCTCCTCAAGGCAGAGTTAACATCCAAATGTAAATATAAAGGAGAAGGAAGAGTGGGGAGGACTGTCTTACATCTAGGATACAAGCTCAGCCACAGCAGATGGTACCACTCAGAGTCATGAGACCCCTGTTCCAAACACTAGCTTCCAGATGACATTCTAGACATACCCTGGGCTAGAGGGAACCTGCTGCCTTGAAGGAAAGGACCAGTACCAGCAGCATTCATCGCCTGCTAACTGAAGAGTACTTGGACCCCAAATGAACAGCAGCGATACCTAGGTATTATGTCAAGGGCCTTGGGTGAGCCTCTGAGACTTGCCGGCTTTAGGTAAAATTCAGAGCATTACCAGCTGTGGTGGCTATGGGCAAACTCCTTCTGCTTGAGAAAGGCGAGGGAAAAGTAAAAGGGACTCTCTCTTGCATCTTATGTACCAGCAAGGCCACAGGGAGATACAGCACCAAGCAGGTTCTTGGGGTTCCCAATTCTAGAACTTGACTCTTAGACAGCATTTCTGGACCTGCCCTGGGCCAGAGGGGAGCCCAGTGCCCTAAAGAGGGACTCACAGGCCAGGCAGCATTCATAACAAACTGACTTAAGAGACCCTTCGGGCTTAAGGGAACATTGGTGGTAGTCTGACAGTACTCCTCATGGCCTGGGGTGGCAGTGGCTACAAGGTGAGGCTCCTCTGCCTTTGGAAAAAGGAGGGAAGAGGAGTGGGAAGGACTGCATCTTGTGGTTTCAGTGCCAATGCAGCCACAATACAACAGAACACCGGATAGATTTCTGAGGTTTTTGACTCCAGTTCCTGACTCCTGGAAGGCACCTCTGGGCCCACCTAGGGTCTATGAGATTTCACCGCCCTGAAAGGTGGGACCCAGGCATGGTTGGCTTTGCCACTTGCTGACTGTAGAGCCCCAGGGCCTTCAGCAAACATAGGCAGTAGCCAGGGAGTGGTCACAGTAGGCCTTAGGTGAGACTCAGCACTGTGCAGGCTTTGGATCTGACCCAGTGCAGTCATAGCAGTGGTGACTACAGGGGTGGTCTTCACCCCCAGGTTTACGTGGCTTAGAACAGAGGAGAGAGAGAGAGAAACTCTGTATGTCAGAAGAAAGTAAGGGAAAAGAACAAGAGTCTTTGCCAGGTAATTCAGAGAATTCTCCTGGATCTTGTCCAAAATCATCAAGGTGGTACCTCTATGAGTCTGCAAGAACCACACTGTTACTAGGCTTGGAGTGCCCTCTAAAGCAGACACAGCTGAGATCACAACACTCAAATTCTTTCAAATACCTAGAAAACCTTTCCAAGAAGGATGCCTACAAATAAGCTCAGACAGTGAAGACTGCAATAAATACCTGATTTTTCAATGCTCAGACACTGAAGAACATCTACTAGCATCAACACCATCCAGGAAAACATTACCTCACCAGAGGAATTAAATAAGCCACCAGGGACCAATCCTGTAGAAACAGAGATATGTGACCTGTCAGACAGAGAATTCAAAATAGCTGTCTTGAGGAAACTCAAAGAAGTTCAACATAACACAGAGAAGGAATTCAGAATTCTATTAGATAAACATAACAAAGAGATTGAAATAATTTAGAAAAATCAAGCAGAAATTCTGGAGCTGAAAAATGCAATTGACATACCAAAGAATGCATCAGAGTTCTTTAATTGTGGACTTGATCAAGCAGACAAAAGAATTAGTGAGTTTGAAGACAGGCTATTTGAAAATATATAGTCAGAGGAGAAAAAAATTATAAAAAACAATGAAGAATGCCTACAGGATCTAGAAAATAGCCTCAAAAGGGCTAATCTAACAGTTATTGGCCTTAAAGAAGCGGTAGAGAAAGAGATAGGGGGTAGAAAGTTTATTCAAAGGCATAAAAACAGAACTTCCTAAACCTAGAGAAATATATCAATATCCAAATACAAAAGGTTATAGAACACCAAGCAGATTTAACCCAAAGAAGACTACCTCAAGCCACTTAATAATTAAACTCCCAAAAGTCAAGGATAAAGAAAGATCTTCAGTAGAAGTCTTCTGACCAAAAAAAAAAAATAAAAAAGATAAAGAAAGGATCCTAGACCAGGTGCGGTGGCTCACGCCTGTAATCCCAGCACTTTGGACGGCTAAGGTGGGTGGGTCACCTGGGCTCAAGAGTTCGAGACCAGCCTGGCCAACATGGTGAAACCCCATCTCTACTGAAAATACAAAAATTAGCTGGACGTGGTGGTGCGCACCTGTAATCCCAGCTACTTTGGAGGCTGAGGAAGGAGAATCACTTAAACCTGGGAGGCAGAGGTTGCAGTGAGCCAAGATCATGCCATTGCACTCCAGCATGGGTGATAAGAACAAAACTCTGTCTCAAAAAAAAAAAAAATCCTAAAAGCAGCAAGAGAAAATAAATAACATACAATAGAGTTACAATACATCTGGCTGCAGACTTTTCAGTGGAAACCTCACAGTCCAGGAGAGAGAGGCATGACATATTTAAAGTGCTAAAGGAAAAAGAAACTCTTACCCTAAAATAGTATAACTGGCAAAAATATCTTTCAAACATGAAGGAGAAATAAAGACTTGCCCAGACAAACAAAAGCTGATGGACTTCCTCAATACCAGACTTGTCCTATAAGAAATGTTAAAGGGAATACTTCAGTCAGAAAGAAAAGGACATTAATGAGAAATAAATAATCATCCGAAGGCACAAAACTCACTGGTAATAGTAAGTACAGAGAAAAACACAGAGCATTATAACACCATAACTGTGTTTTGTAAACTACTCTTATCCTAAGTGGAAAGACTAAATGAGGAACCAATCAATAATACCTAAAACACCTTTTCAAGACATAGTCAGTACAATAAGATATAAATAAAAATGACAAAAAGTTAAAAAGTGGGGGTATGAAGTTAAAGCATAAAGTTTTCATTAGTTTTCCTTTTGCTTGTTTGTTTATGCAAATAATGTTGCTATCAGGTTAAAATAATGGGTTATAAGATAGTATTTGCAAGCCTCATGGTAACCTCAAAGCAAAAGACATACGAAGAATACACAAAAAAATAAAAAGCAAGAAACTAAATCATATCACCAGAGAAAATCACCTTTACTAGGGGAAGACAGAAAGGAAAGAAAGTAGGAAGAGAAGACCACAAAACAACCAGAAAACGAACAACAAAATGGGAGGAGTAAGTCCTAAAAATGACATTGAATGTACTTGGGCTAAATTCTCCAAAAGACAGACTGGCTGAATAATGAAAAACAAGACCCACTGATCTGCTGTCTACAAGAAACACACTTCACCTACACGGACACACATAGACTGAAAATAAACGGATGGAAAAAGGCATTCCATGCTAATGGAAACCAAAAAAGAGCAGGAGTCACTATACTTACATCAGACAAAATAGATTTCAAGACAAAAACTATAAGAAGAGACAAAGAAGGTCATTCCATAATGACAAAGGGGTCAATTCAGCAAGAAGATATAACAATTTTAAACATATATATAACAAATTTAAACATATATGTTTAAACACTTAACAAAGGAGCACCCAGATATATAAAGCAAATGTTATTAGAGGTAAAGAGAGAGCTAGGCCCCAATACAATAGTAGTGGGAGACATCAACACTCCACTTTCAGCATTAGACAGATCTTCCAGATAGAAAATCAACAAAGAAACATGAGACTTAATCCGCACTACAGACAAAATAGATCTAACAGGTATTTACAGAACATTTCATCCAAGAGCTGC
Source organism: Homo sapiens (assembly GCF_000001405.40). Classification (NCBI taxonomy): domain Eukaryota; kingdom Metazoa; phylum Chordata; class Mammalia; order Primates; family Hominidae; genus Homo; species Homo sapiens. The sequence continues at coordinate 155,468,960 of NC_000003.12, forward strand.
AGAATCCACATTCTTTTCCTTAGCACATGGGTCATTCTCAAGGACAGACCATATGTTAGGTCACAAAACAAGTCTTAAAACATTTTTAAAAATTGGAATAATAGGGGGAGGAGCCAAGATGGCCGAATAGGAACAGCTCCGGTCTACAGCTCCCAACGTGAGCGACGCAGAAGACGGGTGATTTCTGCATTTCCATCTGAGGTACCGGGTTCATCTCACTAGGGAGTTACAGACAGTGGGCACAGGTCAGTGGGTGTGCGCACCGTGTGCGAGCCGAAGCAGGGCGAGGCATTGCCTCACTTGGGAAGCGCAAGGGGTCAGGGAGTGCCCTTTCCGAGTCAAAGAAAGGGGTGATGGACACACCTGGAAAATCAGGTCACTCCCACCCGAATACTGCGCTTTTCGGACCGGCCTAAAAAACGGTGCACCACGAGATTATATCCCGCACCTGGCTCGGAGGGTCCTACGCCCATGGAGTCTCGCTGATTGCTAGCACAGCAGTCTGAGATCAAACTGCAAGGCGGCAGCGAGGCTGGGGGAGGGGCGCCCGCCATTGCCCAGGCTTGCTTAGGTAAACAAAGCAGCCAGGAAGCTCAAACTGGGTGGAGCCCACCACAGCTCAAGGAGGCCTGCCTGCATCTGTAGGCTCCACCTCTGGGGGCAGGGCACAGACAAACAAAAAGACAGCAGTAACCTCTGCAGACTTAAATGTCCCTGTCTGACAGCTTTGAAGAGAGCAGTGGTTCTCCCAGCACGCAGCTGGAGATCTGAGAACGGGCAGACTGCCTCCTCAAGTGGGTCCCTGACCCCTGACCCCTGAGCAGCCTAACTGGGAGGCACCCCCCAGCAGGGGCACACTGACACCTCACACGGCAGGGTATTCCAATAGACCTGCAGCTGAGGGTCCTGTCTGTTAGAAGGAAAACTAACAAACAGAAAGGACATCCACACCAAAAACCCATCTGTACATCATCATCATCAAAGACCAAAAGTAGATAAAACCACAAAGATAGGGAAAAAACAGAACAGAAAAACTGGAAACTCTAAAACGCAGAACGCCTCTCCTCCTCCAAAGGAACGCAGTTCCTCACCAGCAACGGAACAAAGCTGGATGGAGAATGACTTTGACGAGCTGAGAGAAGAAGGCTTCAGACGATCAAATTACTCTGAGCTACGGGATGACATTCAAACCAAAGGCAAAGAAGTTGAAAACTTTGAAAAAAATTTAGAAGAATGTATAACTAGAATAACCAATACAGAGAAGTGCTTAAAGGAGCTGATGGAGCTGAAAACCAAGGCTCGAGAACTACGTGAAGAATACAGAAGCCTTAGGAGCCGATGCGATCAACTGGAAGAAAGGGTATCAGCGATAGAAGATGAAATGAATGAAATGAAGCGAGAAGGGAAGTTTAGAGAAAAAAGAATAAAAAGAAACGAGTAAAGCCTCCAAGAAATATGGGACTATGTGAAAAGACCAAATCTACATCTGATTGGTGTACCTGAAAGTGATGGGGAGAATGGAACCAAGTTGGAAAACACTCTGCAGGATATTATCCAGGAGAACTTCCCCAATCTACCAAGGCAGGCCAACGTTCAGATTCAGGAAATACAGAAAACGCCACAAAGATACTCCTCGAGAAGAGCAACTCCAAGACACATAATTGTCAGATTCACCAAAGTTCAAATGAAGGAAAAAATGTTAAGGGCAGCCAGAGAGAAAGGTCGGGTTACCCTCAAAGGGAAGCCCACCAGACTAACAGCGGATCTCTCGGCAGAAACCCTACAAGCCAGAAGAGAGTGGGGGCCAATATTCAACATTCTTAAAGAAAAGAATTTTCAACCCAGAATTTCATATCCAGCCAAACTAAGCTTCATAAGTGAAGGAGAAATAAAATAATTTACAAACAAGCAAATGCTGAGAGATTTTGTCACCACCAGGCCTGCCCTAAAAGAGCTCCTGAAGGAAGCGCTAAACATGGAAAGGAACAACCAGTACCAGCTACTGCAAAATCATGCCAAAATGTAAAGACCATCGAGACTAGGAAGAAAGTGCATCAACTAACGAGCAAAATAACCAGCTAACATCATAATGACAGGATCAAATTCACACATAACAATATTAACTTTAAATATAAATGGACTAAATGCTCCAATTAAAAGACACAGACTGGCAAATTGGATAAACAGTCAAGACCCATCAGTGTGCTGTATTCAGGAAACCCATCTCACGTGCAGACACACACATAGGCTCAAAATAAAAGGATGGAGGAAGACCTACCAAGCAAATGGAAAACAAAAAAAGGCAGGGGTTGCAATCCTAGTCTCTGATAAAACAGACTTTAAACCAACAAACATCAAAAGAGACCAAGAAGGCCATTACATAATGGTAAAGGGATCAATTCAACAAGAAGAGCTAACTATCCTAAATATATATGCGCCCAATACAGGAGCACCCAGATTCATAAAGCAAGTCCTGAGTGACCTACAAAGAGACTTAGACTCCCACACATTAATAATGGGAGACTTTAACACCCCACTGTCAACATTAGACAGATCAACGAGACAGAAAGTCAACAAGGATACCCAGGAATTGAACTCAGCTCTGCACCAAGCAGACCTAATAGACATCTACAGAACTCTCCACCCCAAATCAACAGAATATACATTTTTTTCAGCACCACACCACACCTATTCCAAAATTGACCACATACTTGGAAGTAAAGCTCTCCTCAGCAAATGTAAAAGAACAGAAATTATAACAAACTATCTCTCAGACCACAGTGCAATCAAACTAGAACTCAGGATTAAGAATCTCACTCAAAATCGCTCAACTACATGGAAACTGAACAACCTGCTCATGAATAACTACTGGATACATAACGAAATGAAGGCAGAAATAAAGATGTTCTTTGAAACCAACGAGAACAAAGACACAACATACCAGAATCTCTGGGATGCATTCAAAGCAGTGTGTAGAGTGAAATTTATAGCACTAAATGCCCACAAGAGAAAGCAGGAAAGATCCAAAATTGACACCCCAACATCACAATTAAAAGAACTAGAAAAGCAAGAGCAAACGCATTCAAAAGCTAGCAGAAGGCAAGAAATAACTGAAATCAGAGCAGAACTGAAGGAAATAGAGACACAAAAAACCCTTCGAAAAATTAATGAATCCAGGAGCTGGTTTTTTGAAAGGATCAACAAAATTGATAGACCACTAGCAAGACTAATAAAGAAAAAAAGAGAGAAGAATCAAATAGACACAATAAAAAATGATAAAGGGGATATCACCACCGATCCCACAGAAATACAAACTACCATCAGAGAATACTACAAACAACTCTACACAAATAAACTAGAAAATCTAGAAGACATGGATAAATTCCTCGACACATACACCCTCCCAAGACTAAACCAGGAAGAAGTTGAATCTCTGAATAGATCAATAACAGGAGCTCAAATTGTGGCAAAAATCAATAGTTTACCAACCAAAAAGAGTCCAGGACCAGATGGATTCACAGCCGAATTCTACCAGAGGTACAAGGAGGAACTGGTACCATTCCTTCTGAAACTATTCCAATCAATAGAAAAAGAGGGAATCCTCCCTAACTCATTTTATGAGGCCAGCATCATCCTGATACCAAAGCCGGGCAGAGACAAAACCAAAAAAGAGAATTTTAGACCAATATCCTTGATGAACATTGATGCAAAAATCCTCAATAAAATACTGGCAAAACGAATCCAGCAGCACATCAAAAAGCTTATCCACCATGATCAAGTGGGCTTCATCCCTGGGATGCAAGGCTGGTTCAATATACGTAAATCAATAAATGTAATCCAGCATATAAACAGAGCCAAAGACAAAAACCACATGATTATCTCAATAGATGCAGAAAAAGCCTTTGACAAAATTCAACAACCCTTCATACTAAAAACTCTCAATAAATTAGGTATTGATGGGACGTATTTCAAAATAATAAGAGCTATCTATGACAAACCCACAGCCAATATCATACTGAATGGGCAAAAACTGGAAGCATTCCCTTTGAAAACTGGCACAAGACAGGGATGCCCTCTCTCACCACTCCTATTCAACATAGTGTTGGAAGTTCTGGCCAGGGCAATTAGGCAGGAGAAGGAAATAAAGGGTATTCAATTAGGAAAAGAGGAAGTCAAATTGTCCCTGTTTGCAGATGACATGATTGTATATCTAGAAAACCCCATTGTCTCAGCCCAAAATCTCCTTCAGCTGATAAGCAACTTCAGCAAAGTCTCAGGATACAAAATCAATGTACAAAAATCACAAGCATTCTTATACACCAATAACAGACAGAGAGCCAAATCATGAGTGACCTCCCATTCACAATTGCTTCAAAGAGAATAAAATACCTAGGAATCCAACTTACAAGGGACGTGAAGGACCTCTTCAAGGAGAACTACAAACTGCTGCTCAAGGAAATAAAAGAGGATACAAACAAACGGAAGAACATTCCATGCTCATGGGTAGGAAGAATCAATATCGTGAAAATGGCCATACTGCCCAAGGTAATTTACAGATTCAATGCCATCCCCATCAAGCTACCAATGACTTTCTTCACAGAATTGGAAAAAACTACTTTAAAGTTCATATGGAACCAAAAAAGAGCCCGCATCGCCAAGGAAATCCTAAGCCAAAAGAACAAAGCTGGAGGCATCACACTCCCTGACTTCAAACTATACTACAAGGCTACAGTAACCAAAACAGCATGGTACTGGTACCAAAACAGAGATATAGATCAATGGAACAGAACAGAGCCCTCAGAAATAACACCACATATCTACAACTATCTGATCTTTGACAAACCTGAGAAAAACAAGCAATGGGGAAAGGATTCCCTATTTAATAAATGGTGCTGGGAAAACTGGCTAGCCATATGTAGAAAGCTGAAACTGGATCCCTTCCTTACACTTTATACAAAAATCAATTCAAGATGGATTAAAGACTTAAACGTTAGACCTAAAACCATAAAAACCCTAGAAGAAAACCTAGGCATTACCATTCAGGACATAGGCATGGGCAAGGACTTCATGTCTAAAACACCAAAAGCAGTGGCAACAAAAGCCAACATTGACAAATGGGATCTAATTAAACTAAAGAGCTTCTGCACAGCAAAAGAAACTACCATCAGAGTGAACAGGCAACCTACAAAATGGGAGAAAAGTTTTGCAACCTACTCATCTGACAAAGGGCTAATATCCAGAATCTACAATGAACTCAAACAAATTTACAAGAAAAAAACAAACAACCCCATCAAAAAGTGGGCGAAGGACATGAACAGACACTTCTCAAAAGAAGACATTTATGCAGCCAAAAAACACATGAAAAAATGCTCATCATCACTGGCCATCAGAGAAATGCAAATCAAAACCACAATGAGATACTATCTCACACCAGTTAGAATGGCAATCATTAGAAAGTCAGGAAACAACAGGTGCTGGAGAGGATGTGGAGAAATAGGAACACTTTTACACTGTTGGTGGGACTGTAAACTAGTTCAACCATTGTGGAAGTCAGTGTGGCGATTCCTCAGGGATCTAGAACTAGAAATACCATTTGACCCAGCCATCCCATTACTGGGTATATACCCAAAGGACTATAAATCATGCTGCTATAAAGACACATGCACACGTATGTTTATTGCAGCATTATTCACAATAGCAAAGACTTGGAACCAACCCAAATGTCCATCAATGATAGACTGGATTAAGAAAATGTGGCACATATACACCATGGAATACTATGCAGCCATAAAAAATGATGAGTTCATGTCCTTTGTAGGGACATGGATGAAATTGGAAACCATCATTCTCAGTAAACTATCGCAAGAACAAAAAACCAAACACCGCATATTCTCACTCATAGGTGGGAGTTGAACAATGAGATCACATGGACACAGGAAGGGGAATATCACACTCTGGGGACTGTGGTGGGGTGGGGGGAGGGGGGAGGGATAGCATTGGGAGATATACCTAATGCTAGATGACGAGTTAGTGGGTGCAGTGCACCAGCATGGCACATGTATACATATGTAACTAACCTGCACAATGTGCACATGTACCCTAAAACTTAAAGTATTAAAAAAAAAAAAAGACAAAAAAATGGAATAATATCAAGCATCTTCTCTGAGCACAATGCAATAAAACTAAAAATTAATAATGAGAAATTTTGGAAACTATACAAATACATGGAAATTAAACAATATGTTCCTGAATAACCACTGGTTCAAAAAGAAATTAAGAAGAAAATTTTAAAATTTCTACAGGATCTAGAAAACGATAATGGAAATATAACTTACCAAAACCTACAGGATACAGCAAAAGCAGCACTCAGAGGGAAGTCTAGAGCTATAAGTGCCTACATTTAAAAAGAGGAAAAACTTCAAATAAACAATCTAACAATGCATCTTAAAGAACCAGAAAAGCAAAGGAAACCAAACCCAAAATTAGTAGAAAAAAATAAATAATAAAGATCAGAGCACAAATAAACAACATTAGAGTGGGAAAAATTACAAAGGATCAATAAAACAAAAAGTTAGTGTTTTCTAATGTAAACAAAATTGACAAACCTTTAGCCAGACTAAGAAAAAAGAGAGAAGATCCAAATAAATAAAATGAGAAATGAAAAAAGAGACATTACAACTGATATTGCAGCAATTCGAAGGACCATTAGTGGCTACCATGAGCAACTACATGCCAATAAATTGGAAAATCTAGAAGAAATTGACAAATTTCTAGATATATAAAACCTACCAAGATTGAACCAGGAAGAAATCCAAAACCCAAACAAATTGATAACAAGTAATGAGATCAAAGCTGTAATAAAAAAGTCTCTCAGTAGAGAAAAGCCTGCAAACTGATGGCTTCACTGCTGAATTCTACCAAACATTTAAAGAATGACTTACACCAATCCTACTCAAACTATTCCAGAAAATAGAGGAAGAAGGAACACTTCCAAACTCTTTCTATGAAGCCAGTATTACCTTGACACAAAAACCAGAAAAAGACACAAAAAAAGAAAATGACAGGCCAATATCTGTGATGAATATTGATGCAAAAATCCGTAACAAAATACTAGCAAACCAATTCAGCAATACATTAGAAAGATCATTCATTATGACTAAGTGGGATTTATCACCCATGGATGGTCCAACATATGCAAATCAATCAGTATGATACATCATATCAATAGAATAAAGAATAAAAAACATATGATAATTTCAATTGATGCTGAAAAAGTATTTGATAAAATTTAACATCCCTTTATGATAAAACTGAGGCTAGAAGGAACATACCTCAAAGTAATAAAAGTCATATACAACAGACCCACAGCTAGTATCATATTGAATGGGGGAAAAACTGGAAAGCCTTTCCTCTAAGATCTGGAACATGATGAGGGTGCCCACTGTCACCATTGTTATTCACCATAGTACTGAAAGTTCTAGCTAGAGCAATCAGACAAGAGAAAGATATAAAGGGCATCCAAATTGAAAAGGAAGAAGTCAAATTATCCTTGTTTAAGGATGATATGATCTTATATTTAGAAAAAACTAAAGACTCCACAAGAAAATTAGTAGAACTGATAAACAAATTCAGCAAAGTTGCAGGATACAAAATCAACATACAAAAATCAGTAGCATTTCAATATGTCAACAGTGAACAATGTGAAAAAAATTAAAGTAATCCTATTTACAATAGCCACATATTAAGCTCTCTATAATGAAAACTATAAAACACTGATGAAGGAAATTGAAAAGGACACCGAACAATGAAAAATATTCCATATTCATGGATTGGAAGACTCAATGTCATTAAAATATCCACACTACCCAAAGCAATCTACAGATTCGATGCAATCCCTATCAAAATACCAATGACATTCTTCACAGAAACAGAAAAAATAATCCTAAAATTTATATGGAACCACAAAAGACCCAGAGTAGCCAAAGGTATCCTAAGCAAAAAGAACAAACCCAGAGGAATCACATTACCTGACTTCAAATTATATTACAGAGCTATAGTAACCAAAACAGCATGGTACTGGCATGAAAACAGACACACAGATCAATGGAACACAATAGAAAATGCAGAAACAAATCCACACACCTACAGTGAACTCATTTTCAACAAAAGTGCCAAGAACATATGCTAAGGAAAAGACAGTCTCTTCAATAAGCAGTACTGGGAAAACTGGGTATCTATATACAAGATAAAGAAAATAGACCCCTACCTCTCGCCATATACAAAAATCAAATTAAAATGAATTAAAGACAAATCTAAGATGTTAAGCTATAAAATGACTACAAGAAAATATTGGAAATTTCCAGGACATTGGTCTAGGCAAAATTTTTTTGAGAAATACCCACAAGCACGGGCAACCAAAGCAAAAACAGACAAATGGGATCACATCAAGTTAAAAGGCTTCTGCACAGCAAAGGAAACAATGAACAAAGTGAAGAGACAACACACAGAATGGGAGAAAATATTTGCAAATGACCCCTCTGACAAGGGATTAGTAACCAGAATATATAAGGAACTCAAACAACTCTATAGAAAAAAATCTAATAATCTGATCAAAAAATGGGCAACAGATTTTAATAGACATTTCTCAAAAGAAGACATACAAATGGAAAACAGGCATATGAAAAGGTGCTCAACATCATTGATCATCAGAGAAATGCAAATCAAAACTACAATGAGATATCATCTCACCCCAGTTAAAATGGCTTTTATCCAAAAGACAGGCAAAATCAAATGCTGATGAGGATGTGGAGAAAAGGGAACCATTGTACACTGTTGGTGGGAATATAAATTAGCATAACTACTATGGAGAACAGTTTGGAAGTGCCTCAAAAAACTAAAAATTGAGCTATCATATGATCCAGCAATACCACTTCTAGGTATATACCCAAAAGAAAGGAAATCATTATATCAAAGAGATCTCTGCACTCCTATGTGTGTTGCAGCACTGCTTACCTTAGCTAAGATTTGGAAGCAACCTAAGTGTCTATCAATAGATGAATGGATAAAGAAAATGTGGTACATATACACAATGGAGTACTATTCAGCCATAAAAAGAATGAGATCGTCATTTACAACAACATGGATGGAACTGGAGATCATTAGGTTAAGTGAAATAAGCCAGACACAGAAAAACAAACATTGCATGTTCTCACTTATTTGTGGGATCTAAAAATCAAAACAATTGAATTCATGGATATAGAGAGTAGGATAGTTACATAGGCTGGGAAGTGTAGTGGGAGACTGGGAGTAGGGAGGTGAAGATGGCTAATTAATACAAAAAAAATAGAAAGAATGAATAAGACCTACTATGTGATAGCACAACAGGATGACTATAGTCAATAATAACTTAACTGTATATTTTAAAATAAAGAGTGTAATTGGATTGTTCGTAAGTCAATGGGTAAGTCAAAGGATAAATGCTTGAGGAAATGGATACTCCATTCTCCATGATGTGCTTATTTCACATTGCATGCCTATATCAAAACATCTCATGTACTCCATACATATATGCACCTACTGTGTACCCACACAAATTAAATAATAAAAAAATTTAAAAAGGAAGAGGATTTAAATTCAATATTAACCAAGAAATAATATGTGTTTTTTGTTTTTTTTAAAGGGAAAGCATCAGCTAAATGAATGTGCTAATGGATTACACTTAATGTAATTAAGCTTATTTAATTAAATTAATAATTACTCTGAGCCTCAGTTTTTTCATGTGTGAAATGAACTTGATTTAATCCCAGTCCATTATCAAATTTGCTTATCAAATATTTCCATTTAAGAACTTTAAGGAGCAAAGGAAAATGAGTATTTCCTGGGACAGCCAGAAGTACTGTGCATCCAACCTATTTTCTTCTTTTGGGAGGGGGGTACATATGATAATTTAGTACATTCATATAATTTATAAAGAACAAATCACTGTACCTGGGATATCTAACACCTTAAATATTTGTCTTTTCTTTGTGCTAGAAACATTCCCAACCTATTTTCTGAAATTGCTTGTATTTCACTTCCCACAATTTTGGGGATCTCATAATTCTAGTCCATAAAATGTCAGTGTTTACCCTAAAGGAACAAAACAAAACAAATGTAAACTCCTGGATTTGTTTTAGAACAAAGATACCGTCAAATCCTAAAGGGCAGCTAAATTCTATTCTTTGGCAAGTGAATTTTAACAGCTGTACAGCATGTCAATCCCTTCTAAAACAAGGATACCTTAAAAACAAACCAAGGTCTAAGGATAGAATTAGGAGATTCAGAACTCCCAAGAAAACAAAAATGCCTTGGGCTCACTAAGGGCATAGAAATGGTCACTTACCCTTTCATCATTACACATCAGCCCCCAACCAGACTCCCAGTGCCTGTCCAGAAAATAAAGGACCCCCAACCTTGGGGAAAAGCTCAGAGTTGGGGACCAAGGGAACCAGGGACCAAGTGTTCTCCTCTGCACTCTTCCCTCACATTGCAAAGCTTCAGACAATTTCACTTGCCAAACATAACCTCTCACTTGCCTTCCCCACGTAGCTCCCCCACCCACGACCACCACCACCACCACCACTACCACCGCTTCCCTCCCACCACCCACCACCACAACCAGTTCAGAAGGCTTATTTTTAAACTTGCAATAGCAATGCCAAATGCAAGGAAACTCATTACATTTGATTTTCTTTCAAGTCGCCTCACAAATATGCTCTTTAAAGCATAAGGAAAACACTCAGAGACATAAATTGCTGCTTAAAACTGTCCTCTGTGATAGCTTTCTATTTTGTCGCAAACACATGGAAAGGATGTCAGAGTGCTGAGTGCTTTAACTCAATAGTCATCATATGAATTTCAATTGTAAAAAAAGTTCACCAAGTGTTTAAAAATGTGTTTTAATTATATTTTCATGAATTCCAGGAAGAACATCATTGCAGTTAATGTTACAAAAAAAAAAAACAAAGAGGGACATCTGAACATGCAATAAAAAAGTGAATTCACAGTGAAAATAATGCATGTCAGTACTAAAATAGAGTTGCTTGGTTCCCTGAAGGAAAAGGGTTTCTTCTAATTATCTGTTCACTTGGATTTTATTATGAGAAAATATTCTGTGAAAGCTTTGGGGAAGTTTTCAATTTGTGCTACTATTATCATTAGAGTCTGATGGAAGTCCCTCATTCTGAAAGCCGTTGTTCGCAGTCTGTAATTCAATCAGAAAATTCAAAAGTACAACAGGTAGTTTGGCAACTCGCTTCTTGTTACATACAAAGCCATTAGCAAAAATATGTAACAAAATTTATGTAAAACAAACAATTTTGTCCTTATGTACAAAAGACAGCCTTCTTCCTCACACCCTCACGGCCTATTCCAAAAAGTGGGAAGGGCATGGGGAGCAGCTATCCATCCCCTTTCAACTCTCATTATGGGTGGGATAAGAACATCCTAAAAGGCAAGGTAACTATTTTAAAGTTTTTAAAACTGAGTTATAAAAATGCATCTGGGCTTCTGAACAAAGAGGGAAACATAGGAAAAATGATAACAGATTAAAGTAAGGAATTCATCCCTTTGTCGTTTGCAAAGTCTCTTAATCAACTCAACAGTTAGAGAGTAAAAATGACTACATTTGTGACTGCAATCTGAGGACACAGTAAAGGACATCTTGGTGAAACACACACACATTATAACCCGAGCTGCTGAGGAGTTTCACATCTAGGGCATGCACATATTTCATACTGATACAGTTTACAACAACTCAAGGGAGAAAGATCATAATAGGTACATGGGAAATGTCACCAAATCTATATACAAACGCATTAACAGGGAGAACACATGAAGTCAAAGGGAGACCCAAATACAAGTTTAAAAATACATTTGAAAATCATTCCAAAGCCAAGGAACTTATTTACTGAAAACTCTGACATTCTACAGAATACCTTGAAAACCTTAAGAATGCAGTTTTAAATAATTCACAGTCTCAAAAGAAAATAAATTTCTGGTTTATCATCACTGCTTGGCTCAGTCTGCAAAACAGAATTATCTGAACAAAACTGGTCAACGTGGCCATAGTGAAGAGCCGTGCATGCCCCCTCTGGGATGCCCCGGCCTTCAAGGCCACCCCCTTTCGTGTTCTTCAGGTAGCCTGCGATGTAGGAGCCGGTGGAGTGGCGATTCACTGCAGGGGTGGGTGCTGAGGGTTTGTTTCTAAGAACCACTCCTGCCCCATTGCTGGGGTTTGGAACTTTCTGCTTGTTGGCTTCCTGTTTCTCCTTGGCACGACTAGCAATATTGCGCACTCTGCTCTGACTTCTGGATGACAACTTCCTGACCAGTGCCCGGGGGAGCTGATTGGCATCCTGCTTTGAATATAGCACTTGGCAGTTGTCTTCCTGGTCAAAGGACACAAGCTTCCGAAGCTGCTCGGTCAGGGCATCTATAGGCTCTAACGACTTTGTCTTCACAGTCACGCCCTTCTTGTCTCTAATGCCAGTTGTAACAAAACTCTTACTAATACACTGGTACTTGCTCTCAAAATTGCAGGCAATGTCCTCTGATGTTAAGTCCCCCAGACTTTTGGATTTGCAAGGACTAGGCAGTTTCAGAGCAGGCAAAGGAAGATGTGCCAACTGCTTGGGTACAGGGACATGCATATCTTGAGCACTAGATTGCTGGGGCACACAGGTCTGGAACATTTTTGCATCTGAATCTGAGAAATGATTATGCACAAAGCCAGCACCCTGATAGGCTAGATAAGAAATACTTTGAGTTTTGACATCTTGAATATTGTTGAATATTTCAGGGACAGAAGGGCGGAGGGTCTCTTTACAGTAGCCGTTTCTCAAACCTCTTTGAAAGTGTTCTACCACACCCTGATTGTACTTGAGTTTTAAAGGAGAAGCAAGTTGACTTGTGCCCTCTCTCCTATATTCACAGGTTGTTAGAGAAAGATTTTCTGATTCTCCATCAATTTCCACAAGGCTGCTCTCCCCAGAATTGAAACAGAGAGTGGGATCAGCTATTACATCCTCCAGGGTCAAATCAGGGGAAGAGGCAGGGCTGCAGCTCTTCAGTGTTTCCCAGTCTTCTCCCTTGGTAGGACTTTTTGGTAACCAGCCACGAGAAGTATTAGGGGATCCAGGCAGGTTGCTTTCTAAGGCCGCTGTCTTGGCCTTACTAGAAAGGTCATCATCTGGTTTGGTTTTAGAGATGGGAGTGCAGGTAGTTTCATAAACTGTGTTCGTTGCATGTTTGGTGGTCTCAGAACTCGAGAGTGCTATCAGCTCCGGAGATGAGCACAGGAAGGAAGACTTGGATTTTCCCTTGCAAAAACCATGCTTGATGGGCATTTTTAGGCCCAGGCTAGGCAAGGGACAATGGCCTGACATCACACTGGTATTATGAAGATGAGAAACAACTGTGAGAGCCTGATTGTTGGTCTCATCAAACTGGCCAATCAGGGCTGAGATGGAACTGCCCGGCTCATTCTCATTTGTTAAAGTGACATTGTCAATAAGATGGGAAATTACACTCTCCTGCAGAATTGCAGTTGAATGTAGGTCAGGTATGTCAGAACAGAGCATGGAGACGTCTGACAAAGAAAAGGATGTTGCAGCTCGGCCCTTACCCCTATTACCTTCCAGGTTCTTAATTTCTAGGTTGCTATGAGAAAGGACGCTTCCTGACAAGATGCTTTTCCCTTCCACAAAGTCCTCAGGATTACCCTTTTCCTTGATTTTCACACCATGCAGATCTTGTGTGGGGTTAACTACAGGATCGGGAGCCAAATGCTGCTTTGGGGAGAGAGACTTGCTGGGACAGGGGTTTTCCTGGCAATTGCTTGTGGCATTTGATGTGGTTCTCCCACCCCTAGGACTTGACATGCCCAGCTGTTCTCCTGTGACTGACATGTGGGCAGTAGATACAATGGTGTCCCCTTGGCTGGTATCTTTGTGGAGCAGAGCACTGGAGGAGGATGATAACTTTTTGTTGAAATTTAGAAAATGTGGATCTTTTATACTTGCTTTCCCTTTTCTTCTGCCATCTTTATCTTCTGCTGAAGGAGACAAACAATATTTTAGGTGACATCTATCACTTTATGTAGGACCTGCAAACACTCATGTTGTCTTCGGACAGACAAATGGAGAATGTAAATCTGTTACACTGTGACAGAATATAATTATGGATTGCATAGGTTTGCAACAAAGTGTCTGTGTGATGAATAAATGGTAAAATATATTTATAGGAATTTCACTGGAGCTTCCCTTTGAATATCTATTACATCTGCTAAGGATGTAATATTCATTGTCAAAAAAATGTCAATGAGTTACCATACTTTTACAGTGAGGATTACCTTAAGTTGTTTCCTATTCAGATTTGTACTACACAGAAGCATGGCAATAGAAACAGAACAAGACAGCTCTGTTAAACAAAGCATTGTGGTACCTGTAAGCAAGATACTATAAGCTTTCAAAGTTATACATGTATTAGTTAAAACAAAAAAAGAAGAAAAGAAGAAAAACATAATAATATCATTTTCAAAACATTTTGGGAGCATATTTAATTTAGTCAATTAATTTCTAAAATAATTGGAAGGTGCAATAAATGCATTAAAATATCAATATCTGTTGAGTTAAAATGTAAAGATAAAAATTGGTCATCAATTCCATGTCATTGCTAATATCTAATTTTTTGTTAATCATATATTTCTTTTTAATACACAAATTTCATATTGCATCCTTCCCTAAAAGTGGCAGTAAGTTGTCAGGCACAGTAAAGGAAAACCATAAAAACACAATTCACAGTAATTTGGGATAGCCCATCATGGTTAGTATACTGCTAGGAGAGTATGAGGTATTCAATTCTTCATCAGATTATTTTAATAATTTAATGCTTTCAGAGTCATGATATATAAGAAAAAGAACTTGTTCAACTTGTTATTAAATAGTTTCCAAACTAAAAATATTCATCATAAAAATTTTGAAAACCTCAAAAAATTATAAAGAAAAAATTAAATACCATATGATGTTACCACTGAGACAGCCACTGTAAGATTTTGCAGAGGAACAGAATAATATATAGAATTTTGTAGTCTGCTTTTTCTGTACTTAATGCAACATAACTATGTATTGTTTTATATTTACCGAAACTTTAATACACATGACTAATTTATATAACTGTTTTTTAAAAGTAGACAAGAAACATTACCTCAAAATTGCTTTCTAACTCACCTTAATGGTATTAACATCTTAACTGTGGCATTAACAGATAGAACCAATTTCTACTGAATATAGCTTTATTTTTCCCAAAGATGGGGTTTTAAAATACATTTTAAGGCACATGTTTTATCTCTTCTCTGACACTGCTCTTAGCAAAATTTCAAGCTTTTAAATGTTCTTTTTCTCCTTCAAATAAACCACTGAAGAATATCTTGTAACAAAAATCAATACAAGTAAAATGGTGTTTGTGGGAAAAGAGAGCACTGAAATTAGACCATTTGATAAAAGTTAAAAGAATAATTTTGCTAAAGGAAATCAGTACCACATTTTACTTGTCTGAGATGATTCTGATTTAATTAAAACATATTTGTTGCAGAGATATCAAATGCACACAGTTTTGGCGCTTAAATTTACCCCCAGATAGGATGGGTTGGGAGTCACCAACATCAGTCAAAAATTCTCTGGCACACTGCAAGGCGGTCTTCACTCTTTATTGAGCTCCTGATATGAGTCAATGATACACTCAAATTAAGGAAAAAGACAGGCAGCACCTGGTCCCTATGCTTGTGGAGCCCACAACCGTGCTGAAGCTGCAGGCACACCTCTATCTCTGTCAGCATCCAAGGATCAGGGAAGTGAGGCCACAGGAAAACACTGCCTGAGCCACATCTTGAGAAAAAAGATTTGCCTGTTTTTGAAAAAGGTGGCTCGTTTTTAACATCTGGCTTTCTTTCTCCATAAACATTTCCAATCATGGAAATGTGTTATATGGTAAGAAAAGTAATACAACTATATTCACCCTCAAAACAAATCAGTAAATATGGCACTCATTTGGAAAATCAATATTTCAAATCCTATTTTGCAGGTTTCATCTTCCTCTCTGTGCCATCACACCTAATGGCTCCCCTATCCCTCACTGTCAATTTCAGATGTTGATATTATGAAGCTCTTGGTGAGGAGGAAATGGATCTACCTGGCCCCCAAAGTTTAAAATCTTCTGGTCTGGAAGATCACATTACAAAGTATTTATTTTTCAGTATATTTTACTTTGACTACAGAATGTCAGCCACTTCATAATGGTAAACAGGGACTGACATGCAGCCTAGAAGGGTTTATTCTCAGAGAAACTTAAAGCATCTTACCTAGAGAGTTTTCTTTTCCTTCAATGTCTTTTGCTGTTTCAGATACAGGCAGCGACAAAGCTCCCAGAAGGTTTCTGTCAACAGGCATAGAGACAGGGCGTGCTTGCAAACTGCGTGTGGTCCTCCTCAGCACGCCATCTTGATCTCTTGTGGCCTCGGACACAGAATCCTTTATCTCCACCATTTCTTGGAAGCCCATTTTGCTCTTTTTCCTGCCTTTGGCTGGGGCGCTAGCTGTGCGTCGCAGAATTCTATCTCCAATGGATCGCTTCCGTACATAATGGGAATTGTTTTCTGAAGAACTGTGCCTAGGATTCTTATTGAACAGTCCCTTCAGACCCTGGAGTTGTCTGTTCTGAAGACACAAAAGAACCAACCACAAGTTAAGCAAATGCCATCACATCAACAACTTGCCTTGAAAATGACAGCTCCATGAAAAATGAATATAAACCAAAATCGTACAGCCATTGAAATATATTCAAACCAAGAAAGCAGCAGCTCACAGCATGTTTGCACAACTTCATGCACATCTTATCAACCTTACTTTGCAAGGACTTCAGCCTTCCATTCTTACATCAAGCTTTCCCAGAAGTTTCCTACCCAGAGATGACAAAGTGGTAGGAAAAGTCTCCACAGCTCATAGACTGCTATGAACTTCAGGCGCCTTAAAGCAACAGATGCATGTTTCAAAGTGGTAAGCAGGAAGATGGAGTGATATGAAAAAGCATGCTGCCATAACCACTTAAAAAGAAATATGCCAGCCAGAACAAAGCACCATGCTGAGAAACTACCTTTGTAGCTCCTAGAAAGTGCAATATAGTATAACTGGGGTTGAGTATTAAAGGGCTCCACTGTAAAGGAAAAAAACAAAACACAACAAAACACAATTGGGGCTCATTGAAGAGGGTGTCACAAGTAAACACAAAAGAAAAAATGCATACATGTCTATAAACCCTTTCTCTTAGTTTTGGGGATTTTTAGTCTTATGCTCATTCATTGTTCAACCAATATCCACTACACTGTGATGTGTGGATCCCAACCCGAACACATCTTGAAAGGAATAAAGAGTATGACTCATAAATGGACATTTATTTAGCAGAGAAGATGGAGGTGATATAGAACACTTTCAGATTTTAATTTATTTCTGGCTCAAGTTTGTTTTTTTTTTTTTTTTTTTTTTGAGACGGAGTCTCGCTCTGTCGCCCAGGCCGGACTGCGGACTGCAGTGGCGCAATCTCGGCTCACTGCAAGCTCCGCTTCCCGGGTTCACGCCATTCTCCTGCCTCAGCCTCCCGAGTAGCTGGGACTACAGGCGCCGGCCACCGCGCCCGGCTAATTTTTTGTATTTTTAGTAGAGACGGGGTTTCACCTTGTTAGCCAGGATGGTCTCGATCTCCTGACCTCATGATCCACCCGCCTCGGCCTCCCAAAGTGCTGGGATTACAGGCGTGAGCCACCGCGCCTGGCCCTGGCTCAAGTTTTAAACAAATTCAGAATGTAATTGTTTCCCTCAATGTGATAAATGCTAGAGATAATCTGTAGTTAACCTGGGATTCCTAGAATTCAAGAATCATTTTTGAATTATTTACATTTGTGTCTACTTAGATGAGAGGCAAGACCCCAACAAGCAGCACAAACAGAAATCCAGGACTAAACACAGGAAGTTATGGTATAAAACTTCACGAGTCTTAGAAATTAGGATCCTTACCCCCACCTCCACGCCCTTGCTGACAGATATGAAAATAAACTTTACACTCCCTAATTCATGCTGAAATGGTCCATTCCTTATTAGTTAGGTTGTAGTCATAATAACATTAATATTAGCCAACATTTCTGAGCATTTACTGCGTACCAGGCAGCTTTCTAAGGATAAGATATATATTTATTTATGAGATAGGTATTATTTTTATCCCACATTCACAGATGAGGAAGCTTCCAGCTATACAGATTTTCTGGCAAAGAGCACGGGACATTTCTAGGCCCCATTCAATGCTTTAACAGTCCCTCCAAATCCCGTGTGGTCCTGAAAATTCATACTGGTAACCAAGTCCCCAATTACTTGACATGACCAGAGGACAACCTATTGATTTGTAAACCTCAAATGAGTTCTATAACCAAGACAACAGCATCAGGAAAGAACTAGAATGCATTTACATGGTCGCCTTTTCAGTCCTATAGGTAGCTTTAAAATCCATTCACAATTTTTAGATTTTCAGTTAAAAACATTGGTACCAAATGAATGTAGCCTGCCTAGAAGTCGCTGGGATCACAGCCCAGTTAGTACAGGTAACTCATCAACCATCTGAGACACTGCATTTCCCACTGAGGCCAGTTGAGTCTTTTTAAGGATTAAAATAAAACTCAACATTTAACTATATCTTCATTGTTTTAGCCCAACAGATTACTGCCTGAGAGAATAATAGTTTTCTCAATTCTATTAAGCCCAGAGAGGGCCCCTGTATAGAAGAAATGAGTACACACCTTAAATAGTGAAAAGAGTACAGGTGGATCAGGACATGACTGGAATAGCAGACTGGGCTTGCTGGGCCTCCTTAGAGTTTTTGGTTCAAGAACAGTTTGTCAAAATTTACATTCCTATTATGCAATTAATCAGTAGCATTGTTAAGGACCATATTAATGTATATGACTTTAAATCCTATGATCTTTCTCACCTTTCCATAGATTTCATTGATGGTTATGTGTACAAATATGGATGCTTCTGTCAGTCCTTCCAAATAGACATGCCGGTAGCCTGATAAAAGGAAAGAGAGTCGTTTCTTTTTAGTTGAACTTGCATTTGGCTTTCTCATGGGTGCAACAAAATTAAGTATCTGACTTGACTGTAGTTCTTTTTTTTTTTGAGACAGAGTGTTGCTCTGTTGCCCAGGCTGGAATGCAGTGGCATGATCTTGGCTCACTGCAAACCCCGCCTCCTGGGTTCAAGCAATTCTCCTGCCTCGGCTTCCCGAATAGCTGGGATTACAGGCATGCACCACCACACCCGGCTAATTTTTTATTTTTAGTAGGGACGGGGTTTCTCCATGTTGGTCAGGCTGGTCTCGAACTCCTGACCTTAGGTGATCCTCCCACCTCGGCCTCCCAGAGTGCTGGGATTACAGGTGTGAGCCACTGCACCCAGCCCAACTATACTCCTTTACATTTTACAAAGTTTGTTAAAAGTCACATTTATTACATGACACATATTTTATCACGTATGCTATTATGTAAGTAACATATCATATATTACGTCTTCCAAATAAAAAGGAATGGTCAGTCTAGAGAGAAAAGGCCAGCTCATACCTACCAGGCACTAAGCTGCTGAAGGTCACAGTTCTTTGTCCAACAAAGTCTCGTCCAATGGGATCGTGATCCCACACAAGGAACCGAACCAAAGCTATTTCTGGCATGTGTACTGTAAATGTCAGTGTTTCTTCCCACACAGGGTTAAATCCTCAGAGAAATAGGAAAAGAAAAATCAGAAAAGCAAAGGACTTGGCTGAAAATGAGTTGGCAGCAACATCTGCAAAGCAGACGGTGAAAATTGCTTGCAATGGTTATTAAACTCATGAAGACAACTAAGCCACACTCAAGGATGCCTTACTGGAATAAAGCCTCGAAATTTACCCCCTTGCTAGAAAATAATTGGTAAGAAAATTGCCTGTAAATTATCACATCAAATCTATTAATCTTTGATGCCTAACTGTATTGTAGAGAAGCTCTTTAGTATTCAGAATGCTTCAATAAGTTAAAAAATTATCTATAGTAGTGATCTAAGAATAATGTTTTAGACAAAACAATAAAGAATGATATCCTCTCCCAACAGAATTATGCTTCTCATGCACCAAAGATCCTGCTGCTGTAATAACCACCAACAACCATTTTATAAGGTGCATTTGCAGGTTTCAACTCCTATTGTACATACATCCTCTTATTTCTTATAGCAATTCTCTAAGTTTTTTTTAGAGGATGTTTAGAGTTTTTAGAGTAGAGCAGGGTTTTGGTTTTTGTTTCTTTCTAATTAAAAAATATATATTACTGACTTTCAAAAATATATTACTTTCAAAAACTGTACAAGTAACACTCATCTTTTAAAGTAGGGAATATCAGTATTTATAAGACATTTTGTAGTTGAGAAAATTGATGTTCATAGACAATAATGTGCCCAAGGCCACACAAGGCCTTATAGTTAGTGACAGGGTCAAATTAGACCATGCACTATTGATTCCCAGTAGCTTCTCACGAAGCAAGACCTTACTGCATGAATGATGGCATATTTTCACAGCTACTGAAAAATAAGTTAATAAGGTATATAATTCACCTCAAATACTAAAATGCAAAAATACATTTACTTGGTAAAATTCTCTCCAATAAAATAACTATAAAAGTTGTTAAAAATTCAAGTACTCCATAAGTTTCTGTTTTTCTTCCTTTCTAAAAATGAAAATAAGTGTTTAAAAATGTATGCATTTCGGAGGTATCAACCACTTAACCCTATCAAAAAGCCTCGAGCTAATGAAATAATTATGAGCTGAAAAATCACTGAGATACCTCTCTTGAATCAGAGAAGATCTTTTTGTTGACTTAGTGATGACCTCTCAATTATTTCTGAGACTAAAAAAAGAAAGAAGAATCTATTGAACATCGGTGGGAAAATGCAATTTGAGAAGGTTTCTTTCTGTGTACATGTTTTTCCTAAGTTATAGGTTTGCCCTACTCTGAAACTGTAGTGTTCCTTCAGGGACTCCTTGTGAACCCTTAATTTCTCAAATTAATGATTGTGCTTCAAATGTATTTTACAGTATTAATCACAAGAGATTGAGGAAAAATAGGTATACAATAATGTTTGTGAAATGTATGAACAAACAAATTTTAAAAGATTACAAATAAAAAGACATGAGGCTTGGGTAAAGAAAAATTTCTTTATATTATGGCGAAAATATAAGAAGAATGCTGCCCCTCCAATCGTATGTAAATATTCAAGAAGTAAACTCGCCAGACTATATTGTGCTTGCCTTTAGAGTTTTACATGCTCCAGAAAAAGTGAGAAATTATCAAGACACATAGGCTTCACAAATGAGAGCTTTGAGAAAACGCATGTCATAAAAATACAATATAAACATATAATGGAGGCATTTCCTCAGTGAATTTTTAACCCAATTCTTTAAAATATCATTTACTCTTTTTACTAGAAAAAAAATTTCCTTTAAAAGCAAAAGTCTAGAGAGCCTAGATTACAATACCATAAAAATAAGCCACGCATCAATTCCACAGTTACTTAGTTTTATGTGTTGAAAAGCTTTTAACATAAACTCAGATGGGAGTTACGGATTTTAGAGATTTCTTGCTCTTCTACATAGACACTTTTTTTAGTGTAAATTCTATTTCTAGACCATCTTCATTAAAAAGTGAACACAGATTACCATCTTACCATTGTCATCTACCACACGGGTTTGATCTTTACAACAATCTACTGGCAATCCAATAATTTCAACTTCAACAAAAGGGTCAATGATCTATTAAGTAAAGAGAAAGTACTATTACAAATAACATATTTCTATACATATGTTAATTAATCTGAGAATATTGGCCAAAATGTCTACATTTCGACAGCAACTGATTTTACAAGGTGCTTAGTAAGAAAAAGAAATGGTACTAGGTGTGGTGGATTCAGATATATGAGACAAGTATAAAAAATATTAAATTACTGTTTGCTAGTATTTATTAACGCCAACAACTTTACCCACTGAACCTACAACTTTAGTTCAGGGCAAATACCAAACAGAACTGAGATGTTTTGCCCATGCACAAATGCTGAGAGCAGCTGTATCTATAATAGTCAAACACTGGAAACAACCTAAATTTCTATCATGAGTAGGATGGATAATTGTGGAATATACGTTTTTTGTTTTTTGTTATTTTGTTTTTTGAGATAGGGTCTTACTCTGTAGCTCAGGTCGGAGTGCAGTGGCATGATCTTAGCTCATGGCAGCCTCCACCTCCCAGGTTTAAGCCATCCTCCCACCTCAGCCTCCCGAGTAGCTGGGACTATAGGATTGTGCACCACACCTGGCTAATTTTGGTAATTTTTGTAGAGATGGGGTTTTGCCATGTTGTCCAGGCTGGTCTCAAACTCCTGAGCTCAGGCAATCTGCCCACCTCAGCCTCTCAAAGTGCTGGGATTATAAATGTGAGCCACCGTGCCTGGTCAGAAGTATGTGTTCAATGAATACTCTCAACAATGAGAAAAGAATAAAGTTCTCCTATATAACATAACGTTGAGCAAGCCAGACATAAAAGAGTACCTACTCTAAGAGTCCATTTATATAAAGTTTAGGAATAGACAAAATTTGTCTGCTGTGATAGGGGTTGGTGTTTGCTATGAGAGGCAGTGGGGAGGGTAGATATTGACTGGGAAGGTGGACAGGAGCCTTCTAGGGATTCTGGATATACTCTGCCTTGATCTGGGTGGCATAATAATTAATCAAGCTATGCATGTTTGATTCTTATACTTTAATTCCCATCCTCTCCTCTAGGGGGAAATATCTTGTATTGTTGGTCATCTGTAGACTCTCCTTTCTGGTACCAGTTCTGGGCGACGAACAATGAAGGAATAAAACCCAAAGAATCTAGAAAGAGCTGACCTAAGAAAGTCTAAAGCAGAGAAAGTAGACTTCTTAAAGCATTTATGGCGGTACCAAATTGTAGAGCTCTGTGATTTCCTTCCTTAAGATCCAAAAATGATGGTTTAATAGGCGGGAGTGACAAAGAACCTGAAGTAATGGATCAGCTCTGAGAGGAAGGGCATGAGCATAGGAGAAGCTGCTATATAGCGAGAAAACAGAAGCCAAGAAGGTATAATGGAAACAATGGGCTAAGAGCTCTGGAAAGAAAAAAGACTGTGGCCGCAGATGAAGACATTTTAAAATCACGCGACACAGGTACAGCAGATGATAATAAGAATCAGCACATGGCCAAGGAGCAGGTGGCTGATGTGCAGCAGGGAGGAGCATTGCAGGAGGACAGGAATGTGAGGTTATATTATTAACGGAACATTGCCTTTCTAGGTTAAGATATACTCTTAGGTGTTGTTCTGTTAATAATATAATTGTCTTTGCACTCCAATTTTAGCAATGCTAGTGTCAACCTTAAATTGTGAATTCAATTGTGTGCTCTTATGCCTTCAAAATAGATGATGGACAGCAGTACAGCAAGAACTGTGTGACTTACCAATAAATCAGTTAATGTCTGATAAGCTGAGGTCAGTGCTCAGTTATGAACACACATACATCTCTGAAGACATTTCGGATAAAATGTAAATGCACTAAGATAATCACATAATTAACCACTTAGACACGTAGTCATAGGCAACTTACCTCGCCTCGATCTCCAAACATGGAGTCTGGAGGTTTGGGGAGTTGCTGTCCACTGATAACTTTCAGGATGAGCTGCTTTTTGGGGTTGGCAGGAAGAGGGTCACCAGAGAAAGGGTTGAAAGTACCTAGGCCAAGTAAAGTATAAGTTGGTAACATAAGAAGAAACACACACGCATGCACAGCTTAAGCTTGTAAACAAAGAAACAAACAAACAAAAACAAATGCTGAATTACATGATCACATAACTATCAGTGTGGCATAGCTGTGGTTTTCATTAGAAACCATGTTGCCAAAGGCCAGTGGAGTGGGCCAACTTAAAGCAAGTGTTTGCAATGCAATGATCAACTGTGGAATGAAGGAAGAGAAGCATTTTATTTGAACACCAACAGTGTAAAAAGAAGAACAATTATGTCAGATTCAAATAATTTTCTAACCTAAACTATCTCAGGCATGAGTGAATATAACAAACAGAAAGAAGACTTGAAATTAAGTAAACAGCAGAGCAAGAAAATGTGCAAAGTGTAAAATCTTGAAGATAATCCTGTCAACAACTTTTTTATCTGAATTGTTATATATGTAATTTGGAAATTTTAAAAATAATTTTAATGAGCAGAACCAAAAGAAAGTGTTGTTTGATCTAACACATTATCCTTTTTTTGCTTTGTTTTGTTTCTTTTGAGATGGAGTCTCACTCTGTCACCCAGGCTGGAGTGCAGTGGTGTGATCTTGGCTCACTGCAACCTCTGCCTCCTGGGTTCCAGCGATTCTCCTACCTCAACTTCCCAAGTAGCTGGGACTACAGGCACGCACCACTATGCCCAGCTAATTCTGATTTTCAGTAGAGACGGCGTTTTACCATGTTGGCCAGGCTGGTCTCAAACTCCTGACCTCAGGTGATCCGCCCACCTTGACCTCACAAAGTGCTGGAATTACAGGCGTCAGCCCCCATGCCCAGCCTATCCTTTCTCTTTTGTTAGCACTGTTTTGTAATTGGACTACACTGAGTAAAAGGGCTTGATAAAATTGTTTCAGGTGGAATTGAAGCTTCCCAGCAGGTCACAGACTCACATTACTTAAGATAGTTTCTGAAAGATTGGGCTCAGACCTTAAAAAGCAGTCCAGCTTATATGGGGCACTGGATTTCAAGTGATAACCCAATGCTATCCATGTCCCTCTTTCACACACGACCTCTCAAGATAACATTCTAAACATCACGGCTAACCAAATATTAAGTAGTGGTGACAAGAATTCTAATTCACATTCAAACACCTTAACCTATCTTTTTGAAAAAAAAAAGTTGAAAAACTCTGGGGTATCACACTTTCTAAACAGCTTCCTTAATAAAGGTTGCCTGCATTTAGACTATGAAATTAACACACACCTGCATTTATGACTATGAAATTAATACACACCTTTGCACATTTGCTGGGGTTTGAGGACATAGCCACAATTGCCATTTGCCTTGAATTTGGCTCGGTTTAACTGCATCATTCGTCCTTCAGATTGATAATTCAGTGCCACTGTGCAAGTTGAAAGTGGGAGAGAATTAGGCAAGATGGTGGCATAGTGAGAATATACAGAGAACCACTCCTTCCCAAGGAATACACACCTAGCTGGCAGCCTGCGTTCCAGTAGGGGAGAGGGTTGAAGTTACTGGAATCAATGCGGTAGGCAGAGGGGTAAATCCTCGTGAGTTGCTTTTGATTATAAATCATGAACTGCTCTGATTTTTGCTGAACAACCTGATGTGCTCTTGTTTCACTGAATGATAACACATTTCCTGTGGTTCCTGGCAGTTTTTAATCGAGAAAAAAGGAAGTGAGAACTACAGCAAAGAAAACACCACGCACAGAAGACTTTATAATAATGTCAGATTATACCAATAGCAAAAAGCAGAGCACTAGAGAGTGGATTCAACCAGAGTAGAGGCAGCTCCTCAACAGAAAAGACCCATAACATTCCATTCATAGGGTTCTTTTGCCATTTTGAGGCCAAATCAGAGCTGTGTGTCTTGCTCAAGTAGCTGTCTATTTCTGGGTCCCCTGTTCTCCCTAAGAATTCAATCATACCGCTAATTTATGCCTATCTGGCTAGCATGAAAAGAACAGGTAGAAAAAATAACTTAAACAGAATATATTTGCCAAATATATAGACAACCATGGATAAATAAAACTAGATAGCTTCTTCCTGATAACAGGAAGACATTCATTGAAGGCACTCATCTAAAAGGCACACAAGTAAAACATGTATTACTAGTAACATCCAGGATCCAAGAAAATAAAGGAAAATGAACAATTATAAAAATAAAAAGTTGAGTTTTAAAGTTGCTTTGAATAGAACTATGGAACAAGTCAAAACCTATTTGGGAGAAAGGAATAATAATGGAGAAAAAGAGGTCAAAAGCATTATAAAGGAATAAAAGTTTTAAGAACAAAGACAGACATTCACCTAGCCACGCATATAAACTATGGAACAAAGTAAAGGAAGGTAAAAGTACATGAAGCCTGTACTAAAGTTTCTGCCAGCACAATCATCAGGAGGGGTCAATCTAGACTCACAGAAGCTGCAAATTTGGGGGTCATAATGGAGTAAAGCTCCAAACATTTAATATTCCACTCTTGTCTCCAATCCCACCTTTTGTACCATATCTACAAAGCCCCCGCTATTTCCACTCCTTCACCAAGAACCCATACCCTATCCCCAAAATGGCCGCCCATATGTCATTTGAACATGCTGGAAAAGACCAGCCCAGATAAAAAGACCCAAAGTTACCCAGAATCTCATTCTTATTCAGCCCTAATAAGCTGAGTGTGTCTGAGCCCAGACAGAGAGATGTGGTCCATGAAACCAAAGAGTTGAACTGTATAT
The DNA here is from genome assembly GCF_000001405.40 of Homo sapiens. Classification (NCBI taxonomy): domain Eukaryota; kingdom Metazoa; phylum Chordata; class Mammalia; order Primates; family Hominidae; genus Homo; species Homo sapiens. The sequence continues at coordinate 155,495,597 of NC_000003.12, forward strand.
GGTCTCGCTTTGCCAGCTGGGCCTGAGTCATATCTAGACTCTGCATGTTTATTAACACACAGTTTCCCAGGGCCCCTGTGGTCCTCAGGGTTGTACACCCTTAGATGTTAGATGCTGCCCAACTGACAATGATACTCCCGAGTTAGAAGAGTCAGGAATACAAACTGTGGCAAAGAAATGAGAGGATTACAGTTTTTAATGTGATGATGTTTCTAGTTTAGACCCTTTCCTTAAAGATACATGTTCATATATTTTTTATTGGCATAACCTATTAACACAGTTTACATATCTCAAGCATACTAATATTGAACTTAATTGCAGATTTTGATGAGGGATGTTTTAAACATTATAGGAGAAAATATCTTTTTGACAAGCCTAATTCAGATAGAATAGGACTATAATCACTACTACTGTTTTGTCTGTCTCTCTACATAAATATGCACATCACAATATCATTGATACGACCTTGCTAATTAGGCACATATCAATTAGTATATTAATAGAGTTGAGTTGTATCACATTAGGATAAGCCATGCATTCATTATCTAGTTTTCATTTTGTGGCTGGCAAAAAAATTAAAAAGACAAAAACAGCTGAAGTTCCAGAGCTAAATAGTACTCAAGATTAATTTCCATTAAGTTAATAGGATTATGTTTTCCAAGCCATTTATTGGAAATTTTTATTCCCTAAACCAAATATACCTTTAACTTAATGCAATCATTCCCTGAGTTTATTTTTGAGCTAAGGGCAATTGTTGTAAGAGTGTGTTGCTCAGTTGCTGAGAATCCTACAGGTTCTCATGCTCTCACATGTGAAATTCATTTAAATCTTGTATAATTGTTACCATTTGAAGAAGGAATCAAGGCCAAAGGGAAGAAATCTTTCTGCAAATAGAAAAAGATACATTTGTGGAGTGGGGGCTGGGCAGGGGGAGATGGGAGGGAAGAATCCTGGAGGTTTGTGAGGACACAATGTTGTTTTCCCTTCACTAAAACTTGTTGAGAAATTTGGAGGTCCTGATTTACATTTCGGTTCCACTAAAATTAAAATTAGATGAAAAGCCACATGACAGTAGGTTTTTTTTCTGTAAGCATTCAGTAACTAAATGAAATAGAAGATAAAGGAGACAAGAGTAACTAGCAGGAAAGCCAAGGATATGAATAGATGTGACTAGAATTTCTCAGCTCCGTGTGGCAACTGATAGGTAAAAAACAGTGACGGAGAGAATGCTACTGAGATTTCTGCTCTTTTTGTTAAAACTTCAATCTGGATTAAGCTATTTTCACCCAAGTCAAAACTTTCATTGAGAAAATATAGGGCTTTTCAAGGTGTGATTTTAGCCAATTAATTTCTTCTTTTGGTCATTCGCATTTGGAATGGCCATCTGTGACCTGGTCCTCAAGCCGGGCCTGGACTTCACAGTTCAAGTGTTGCAGGAAGATCTTGCCCTGAGGCACTTGTCTTTGTATAGTAATAAAGTCCTCTTTGGCCCTGTGGGAACTTTCTCTGGCCTCTGGTCAATCAGGCAACCACAGTAATCAGTAGAACCCTCCATGTGAACTCAACACTATAGCAGCAGTGAGTTTCCTGACACTCAAATTGGTTTCTACATAGTCCCAAAAATGTGTGTTGATAATGGGATTAACAAAAATTCATTAACAATTGAAAAAGAAAGGTCAAGAATGTTTATTCAGAGCAGAATGAGAAAACTCTCCATCCTTACCGTCATCCACAATGTCCTGAGCGGCCACGGAGTTTGTGTACACAACCAAATCAGAGAGTTCTCGGCAGAGCTTCATGGTTTTCCTTCGGCGACCCAATCTGTGAAGTACCCACAGAGGATGCATGACATTTTGGAGTTGAAAGAGGTTTGGGTTCTTGGTTATCCCACTTTCCTTATTTAAGACAATGATTTAATAGGGAATACCTGCCCCAGGTCCTAAGGGAGCCAGGATTGGCACCCAAGTGTGCTTCCTAGTTCAGTGCTCTTTCCACCACAAAATCCTACTACAGTAGTCCCCCCTTATCCTCACTTTCCCTTTCCAGAGTTTCATTTGCCCATAGTTAACCATGGTCTAAAAATATTAAGTGGAAATTTCAGAAATAAACAATTCATGAGATTTTTTTTCTTTTTTTGAGACAGAGTCTCTCTCTGTTGCCCAAGCTGCAGTGCAGTGGCGCATTCTTGGTTCACTGCAACCTCTGCCTCCCAGGTTCAAGTGATTCTCCTGCCTCAGCCTCCCGAGTAGCTGGGACTACAGGTGCACACCACCACGCCAGCTAATTTTTTGTAATTTTAGCAGTGAAAGGGTTTCACCATGTTGGCCAGGCTGGTCTCAAACTCCTGACCTCAAGTGATCCACCTGCATTGGCCTCCCAAAATGCTAGGATTACAGACGCAAGCCACAGCACCTGGCCATGAGTTTTAAATTGTATGCCATTCTTAGTAGCATGATGAAATCTTGTGAGGTCCTGCTCCGTCCCACTCTGGACATGAGTCATCCCTTTGTCCAGCATATCCATGATGTATGTGTCATCTGGTAGACATCTTCTTATGTGACTGACTGTGGAGTGGAGGTTTTGCAGTGCTTATGTTCAAGTAACTCTTATTTTACTTAATAATGGCCCTAAAGTGCGGGAGTAGTAATGCTGGCAATTCAGATATGCCAAAGAGATGCTGCAAAGCACTTCCTTGAAGTGAAAAGGTGAAAATGTTTGACTTAATAAGGAAAGAGAAAAACAACATATATATAGGGTTCACTACCATCTGTGGTTTCAGGCATCCACTGCAGTCATTTCTCATGATGACGTGGGGACTATTGTAATGTGGTTTTATTCACTGCTCTGCCAGGAATCACAGCCTCTTCTCATGCATTTGTGAGTTCTGCTGTGGAAGGCTGGATTCCCACTGTGACCCAGTTAGGGAGTAACACCAGAGTTCATCAGGGAACTACATGGCCTTTGCAGGGAGGAGACCAGGGCTAAAATGGAACAGAAACACTGCATAGTGGGTAGCGGGCCACAAGAATTATACACCTAAAGGGAAATATGCCAAATTTCCATAGTGATTATTGGAGAGATGTAATTACAAAGGATGTTTACTTTCTTCTTTATACTTTTTCTATATTCTCTAGCTTTCTTAAAACAAACATTCATTACTTTATCTAGTGCTGTTTTTATCTTAGATATTTTAATAGTTTTCTCTCTCCTACAAACCACTCATAGGATCTCCTCTGCAACCTTACAAATTGTACCACCACTCTCTTCTGCAGTCAAGTCCTCCACAGACCATCACATTCCCCTCACACACACACTTTTTCTTATGGGAAACAACTACCAAAAACAAACCTAAACTTTAGTGTTCAATTAAACTTTATACTTAAGCTCCAACAGAATATCTATACATAAAATAGTAACTAATTAGGAAGGGCAGAGGAGATGTATGTGGTCCGTACTCTAGGCAACAGAAATAACATGTGTTATTGTCTGCCTTTTCGGTTATAAGTATCATAGTGGGTGTGAAGAGGTATTCCATTGTAGTTTTGATTTATATCTCCCTAATGTCCAACAATGTTGAGCACATTTTCATGTGTTTATTGGCCATTTGTATATCTTCTTTTTGTGAGGTTTCTTTTCGATAGTTAGATGTTCCCCTATAGGAGAAAAGTGGGTAAGTGAGGGGAATGTGATGGTCTGCTGAGAACTTTACTGTGGTAAAAATCAATAGAAAAAAGAACGCATGTTCCTTCTTTACCATATAATTAGGAAATTCTATAGCCACTGGTGAAAATCTGATTTTGTGAAGGCTAATGATTATAAATCGGTGTGAAGTCATGCCTAGAAATTATAAGTAAAACTCTAAGACATTCCGTGATATGGAGAAATTCTACAGAAAATTAACTCTTTTTATTCCTCATCCTAGAGGTGCATTAGGTTACTAAAGTCCCAAAAGGACATCATCATAGATGCTCAGGCCCTGATATCTATTATGGGAAAATCTATAGTTGACACTAAGCAGCATGCAAAATGATTTCATGTGATAACTGTATTGATGTCTCCTTTGCACACATTAAGATTATTGTAGCTTTCCTCAAACACTGCCTTTTCCCTGGCTATATGTGTCAGAGTTAAGCCTTTCTCAAACTTACATATGACAACAGTCACAGCAGAAGTCTCCCAGCAGGTGATCCTATTATTTTCTCTTTATCCTTTACTGTAACTATATATTCAATTTTCTGTTCCCTAGAGTAGGGACCACACACATCTCCTCTGCCCTTCTAATTAGTTACTATTTTATGTATACATATTCTGTTGGAGCTCAAATATAAAGTTTAATTGAACACTAAAGTTTTATTCCTACAGGGCTTCTATGCTTCTAATTTCAAATAATTTCATTTTTCAATAAAGGCAAAAGTGTGTATATGTATCCATATCTATCTAATATATATAATTTATATTTCTTTGTGAAAGTTATGGTATAAATAAACTGCCAGGAACTCCTGTAATGAATCATGTGTCACGATTTGGATTCTGAAAATATGGTCATGTTACTTATCATAAATACTACTGGCAATAAAGCAAACAAACAAACAAAAAAGAACTTTTTTTGAATACTTATTTAATCAGGCCAGGGCTTACAGGGCTAATTAGTTTAATTCCTTTAATCCTTACAATGACTCTAAGAGACAGATACAATGAGGAGCCAAACTTGTCGCATGTTAAAGTTGGTAACTGGAGGAACAAGAATTTGAAATCTGGCTGATTTCAGATTCCTGGCTCCTAACATGGGCTTAGCATCCATCTTCTTTAGTCTCTTGTGACGGTCTTTGTATTAGTTCATGTGCTCCCTCCCTCTTCTCTGAAGATACCTTTTACTTGACAACTGCTGCAGCTAACATTTATAAAGAGCTCATTATGTGCCAGGCACAGAGCTGAGTTCCCTACATAAATTATCATTTCATATCCAGCTGTTCTTCACATGTTCGACAGCACAGAATACTTTCCTTGTGATCCAATTCTCTAGACATGTACAAGAAAAATGACTAAGCTGACAAGGATGGAGGGGCCTCAGGAGTGTGAGTAGGAAACATGGAGATGCTTTCTTACCTGTACAGCTGGCCACCCTCCTTGCCAGTACTCTGCTGTGTGTCTTCCTCATCATCAGTACTGTAAGATTTAGACCGTGATTTTGTAGTTTTCTGCCAGAAAAATCAAAACAAACTTAACAAACTCATTGTATCAAGTATATTTACAACATGCAGAGAATGAGCTGGGCTTTAAAATGCACATGTGCACAAACATAACTTGGAGGGAGAAAATGACCAAATATTGCAGCTTGCTTCAGCATTAATAACAAGCCTATCTAAGGCCATAATTATATTAAAATATTAATACAAAACTGAGAGTTTCATGCTCAGAAACTGACTTCGGAGACACATAAAGTTGATGTATCAGAAAGACTTTATTAGTCATGCATTTTGAAGGTTTCTACTAGGGGTAGAGTCAAAGTTGCAGTATCTATGTAAATGATTATAAGGGACAAAATGCCCTTTTGTATAGGAAGCTCACTATTAATAAACTGTAAAAGGCACATTTGGTTTTTTAAGAAAGGACATGTAGTAACTTTTAAAAAAATAAATAACTACCATTTCTGCTTTTGATCAGTATGCACTCAAATGATCATCTAAATCAAATTTCCCTTTTGAGATTTTGACCCATTTTCATTTCTAGCAGCAGGAAAAAAAATTGCTACCCACAGAATACAGGCTGAAAGGCTCCAGGTCTAATCTGGTGTCTTTTGGACAGATCAGCTGTTTCACAATAAAACTTTTTTGGGATGGTATGATTTCATCCCCACCAATTTGGAGATAGTCCCAGTATTTAGGCAACACAGACCTCAACAATACAAATGATGGGCCGGGCGTGGTGGCTCGCGCCTGTAATCCCAGCACTTTGGGGGGCTGAGGTGGGTGGATCACCTGAGGTCACAAGTTCAAGACCAGCCTGGCCAAAAAATGGTGAAACCTCATCTCTACTAAAAATACAAAAATTAGCTGGGCGTGGTGGCAGGTGCCTATAATCCCAGCTACTTGGGAGGTGGAGGCAGAAGAATCGCTTGAACCCAGGAGGTGGAGGTTGCAGCGAGCCGAGATCCCACCATTGTACTCCAGCCTGGACAACAAGAGCAAAACTCCATCTCTAAATAAATAAATAAACAATACAAATGATGGGGAAGGACCACCCCAATAATTGCCGAAAACCTTGCCATCGAAAATGCAGTGTCTACAAACAAAGGTAAGATGTTTAGACAGAGAACCCTGGACATCAGGAATGTGGCTTAGAAAGGGAAAGGGTCTCCATCCCCAAATTACCATAGGACCATGCCACCTTCTAGATTTTCTCATGCTTCTCCTAAACCCCCCCAAAAATCAAACAAGCTACACTGTTGGCATAAACACACTCAACTTCTCTCTATTTCAGTGACAGTAAGATGCCAGTTTGGTTTGGAAACTTCTCCGGCATTATTTATGCCTTGAGTACCTCAGCTTGCAGGTATGGAAGCCCTACCATTTGATGATCTCATGTTCCGTCTTTCACCAGGCTGGTAAACTGGCTAACCTCACTAGCTTCCTATTGGATCTTTAGAAAGAGTGTGGCAAGAACATCTATTTCAAAGGATTATTGTTGTGATGGTTAAATAAATGGCACAGAAAGTCATTCTGTAATCTATATAACATTACCTTTCCATTTAAAATACTGTCAATATTTATTAAAATAATCTATAAATAGTCTAATGGACAACAATTTATTCTTATAACTTGAGGTATGATAAATTTTAGTTAGGTGAAGTACTCCCTAAAACATCTACTTTGAAAGACTATTTTAATTGTAATGACAAGTTGCAATCCAGAAATGAAATATTCTCTAATTCCACATAGTTAGTAATTTGAGTTATACAGTAATAAATGTCTTTTTAAGAATCATTTTTACTATAAAATGCAAAAATTAGAAATAAGAAATGAATCACCAATGACAGATAACATTCAGAGAATGATATATTTTCTGGACATACAGTTTTGACACATCTTTTCATGGTTATCATACCATAGAATCTACTTCTCATCTTACTTTTTCATTTAATGTTTCACAGGTCGAGCTCTTCCGAGGGATCATCTTTTAATGGCTGCATCATTGTCCATTATGTGAATGATTCACGGATTACTTACACAGTCTTTGGAGGTGAACATTTTGGTTGTTTTCAATATTTTGTGATAATGACTAATCTGACTAGCCTACTAACAAATTATCTCACTGACGGGCAGGAAATTCTAAATATGACATTCCTTAAAGTAGAAGAAATGGCCTTACAGAAACCTCACGTATAATGTAAAGTTCTCCATCTAATAATTGAATTCTTATGTAAGTTTTACTGACAAACAGCTAATCTGTCCAGAAGACACCAGATTAGTGTAACATCTTTTTTCACTATTTTATTGAAGTGTAACATACAGTTGGGACAGTACACTGGTCATAAGTGTGCAGGTTGATGTCTTTCACAAATCAAAACCACACATACGACGAAATAGAATATTATCTGTCCCCCAAAAGCCTTCTGATCCTCCAATTCTGTCATTCCTTTCTCTGTGAAGGTAATAACTATTCTGATGTCTACTCTATAGGGTTTCTTTTGCCTGGTTTTGAATTTAATATTGATGGAATAAAACTGTATGTACTCTCTTGGGTCTGGTTTATTTTGCTCAACATCATGTTTATAAAGATCATATTATTGCATATAGTTGTAATTTTGTCATTTTCTTAGTTGTTAACTATTCTCTTATATGAATACACCACAATTTTTACTCATTCTATTATCAATGGACATTTGTACTTTTTCCTCTTTGTACTATTACCAATCTCAATATAAGTATTGTTACTTCTGTCTTTTTTTTTTTTTTCTGTAGATGGAGTTTCACTCTTGTTGCCCAGGCTGGAGTGCAGTGGTGCAATCTCGCCTCACTGCAACCTCTGCCTCCTGGGTTCAAGCAGTTCTCATGCCTTAGCCTCCTGAGTAGCTGGGATTACAGGCACACACCACCACACCTGGCTAATTTTTGTATTTTTAGTAGAGACAGTGTTTGGCCATGTTGGCCAGGCTGGTTTTGAACACCTGACCTCAGGTGATCCACCCACCAAGGCCTCCCAAAGTGCTGGGATTACAGGTGTGAGCCACCACGCCTGGCCTATTTCTGTCTTTTGACATATACCTAACAATAGAACTGCTAAGTCATAGTACATAGTGCAGCTTTAGCAGATACTGTGAAATAGTGGGCCAAAGTACTTGCACAAATGTGCACAACCATAAGTAGTGTTTGAGAATTCAACTGCTTCATCCTCACTAACATTTGGTTCTTGCCATCTTTTAATGTTACCTGTTGTGGCGGGCATATATGGAATCACATAGTCATTTTAAATTGTGTTTCCCAGATGACTGACGGGTGAATTCCTTTTCTTTATTAGCAATTTGGATATCTTCTTTTGTGAACTGCCTGTTTAAGTGTTTTGCCCATCTTTTAGAAATTAAGTTGCCTATCTTTTTATTGATTTATAGAAGCTATTTATATATTCAGGATAGAATATATAATACACATACCAGTTTTAATAACACATACCCATTATGTATTGGATATGTATATTTAAGATGTTAAATACAGTTTTTTGGATATATTATTGGATATATGTATTCAAAATATTCTTTCCCAGTATGCAACTTGCTTTTTGATACTGTTGATGCGTAGAAGTTCTTAACTTTTAAAGTAGTTTAAATATCAATCTTTTCCTTTGCTGACGTGCTGGTTAAGAAATCTTCAGTTATTCCAAGGTCATGATGATATTCTCCTGTTATCTTCCAGAATCTTTAAATTAACTGAAGTATGCATAGTTATTACTCTTAATTCATACCTTATGTTTTCCAAAGTTGGTCATGAGGGATCGTCCATGTGATTTCTTTCCACTTTCCTTTACATCTGGACTCTGAATAAATAAAGGCATAATATAACTATTTATCTTCTTTGCTTTTGTCTTTTTCCTTAGTTCTGGTGGAATAGCAAGGGGGCCCTCTTTTCTCTTCTGTTTGCCTCTAGGTGAGAAACAAGCAGACTCCACTCATTTCCTCCTGCTCCACACTCCACTACCACAAAGGTGGCTCTGCCTGCCTTGGAAAGGGAAATATTGGCATGGAGAGATGGATGCCAGCCAGGACGCAGCAGCTGCCTGCACCTTCCCAAAGCTGAGGTCAAGGGCTCTCAGCAGTGTGCAGGTGTGCTGGCCCTCATGGTGCCTGTTCACCAGGCTCTCCACAGCACAGGATGTGTTCTTTTAAATGTTCTGAGTGGGGTTAAGTCATTTTCAGTTAAGTAGGGATTCAGTTTTGGAAAATGACCAAAAGTCATTAGCAGCCAATTCTATTGAATAAAGAAAGTGGATCACATTGACTAAACAGTGCTATGTGGGATTTTAAAACATTATAAATAAATAAAATCCAAGGATATCTATGAGATAATAGATTGTTTTTGTTTAAAGTAAACCAAGCAAAGTTTATGTGTTCGTTGAAATAATTCCCTCTGTGATGAGCACTGGAAAGAGGTATTGTAGCCTCTGAATTTTTCCTCACATAGGTTAATTTTCCAGTTAGAGATACTGGGCCAACTCTCTTTCCTGGAGCCTATGTCTCATTAGGTAACAGAAAGTCCACCTGCTAAGAGAGTTTAAACTCTTATTCATTTGTCATCCTTAAAAATATGTTAGGTGGTTCATTACTAATAACATGGTATAAGGAGAGACCAGTAGGCCCTACCTGACCAAGACTCCAGCTAAACAGAGAAGAAGCAGGTAACCACATAAATGGAATAAATGTGGGTGAGAAAAAACAGTTAAAGCCAAAAGGTTGGGAAGGGGATCTGTATATGCCCATAGATGCTAATCAAAGATGCAAGTAGGGGTAGGAAGAGATTGGGTGGAGTCCAAGAACTGGTTGGGGAAAGAGCAGTTCAAAAAATGCTGGAGGAGTAATGGTGAGGGGTTTACAAGGTGATTGATGTTAGGTAACTGTTAACTGATTCATACATGTTTATTGCTTTTGGAGATCTATTAATGCGGATCATTAACTGTTCAAAAACTGTGGAATTAAGAAGGCAGCTGGATGTGATCATAGACATAGCACTGCTCTCCAAGTCAGAAGACCCAGTTCTGCCAACAAGTAGCTACATTTCCTTTAGCAAGCCTCTTCTCTTGGTCCGCTTTTTTTTTTTTTTTAATCTGTGAAATGGACCAATTAATCTGTGAGTTCCTCTCTATTTCTAGTAGGGACTATGCCATTTATTATCCAAAACAGGACCTTTTAAGAATAAAATGGGATACTTTTAATAATTATGCTGGGACAACAGGTATAAAGCACGGCTGTCACAGGCAAATTGAGGTATATGGTCACCCTATTTAGTAGGAACCTATTATACCCTAAGGATAATGCTAATTGCATTACATATATTCTCATTTACTATGCATAACCAACCCTGGGAATAAGTATAATTAAATTCCAATTTTACAGAAAAGGAAAGCAGAAATACAGAAAGTTAGATTATATGCCCAAAGTTACAAAGCTTGTTGGTGATAAAACAGGATTCTGTCTAGCTACAAGTCCTCTCTCTGGCTTCCTTCCACTTCTCCAACATTTTCTATCCCATTCTCACTCTCTTTTTTTTTTTTTTTTTTTATTATACTTTAAGTTTTAGGGTACATGTGCACATTGTGCAGGTTAGTTACATATGTATACATGTGCCATGCTGGTGCGCTGCACCCACTAACGTGTCAACTAGCATTAAGTATATCTCCCAATGTTATCCCTCCCCCCTCCCCCCACCCCACCACAGTCCCCAGAGTGTGATATTCCCCTTCCTGTGTCCATGTGATCTCATTGTTCAATTCCCACCTATGAGTGAGAATATGCGGTGTTTGGTTTTTTGTTCTTGCGATAGTTTACTGAGAATGATGGTTTCCAATTTCATCCATGTCCCTACAAAGGACATGAACTCGTCATTTTTTATGGCTGCATAGTATTCCATGGTGTATATGTGCCACATTTTCTTAATCCAGTCTATCATTGTTGGATATTTGGGTTGGTTCCAAGTCTTTGCTATTGTGAATAGTGCCGCAATAAACATACGTGTGCATGTGTCTTTATAGCAGCATGATTTATAGTCCTTTGGGTATATACCCAGTAATGGGATGGCTGGGTCAAATGGTATTTCTAGTTCTAGATCCCTGAGGAATCGCCACACTGACTTCCACAATGGTTGAACTAGTTTACAGTCCCACCAACAGTGTAAAAGTGTTCCTATTTCTCCACATCCTCTCCAGCACCTGTTGTTTCCTGACTTTTTAATGATTGCCATTCTAACTGGTGTGAGATGATATCTCATAGTGGTTTTGATTTGCATTTCTCTGATGGCCAGTGATGATGAGCATTTTTTCATGTGTTTTTTGGCTGCATAAATGTCTTCTTTTGAGAAGTGTCTGTTCATGTCCTTTGCCCACTTTTTGATGGGGTTGTTTGTTTTTTTCTTGTAAATTTGTTTGAGTTCATTGTAGATTCTGGATATTAGCCCTTTGTCAGATGAGTAGGTTGCGAAAATTTTCTCCCATGTTGTAGGTTGCCTGTTCACTCTGATGGTAGTTTCTTTTGCTGTGCAGAAGCTCTTTAGTTTAATTAGATCCCATTTGTCAATTTTGGCTTTTGTTGCCATTGCTTTTGGTGTTTTGGACATGAAGTCCTTGCCCACGCCTATGTCCTGAATGGTAATGCCTAGGTTTTCTTCTAGGGTTTTTATGGTTTTAGGTCTAACGTTTAAATCTTTAATCCATCTTGAATTGATTTTTGTATAAGGTGTAAGGAAGGGATCCAGTTTCAGCTTTCTACATATGGCTAGCCAGTTTTCCCAGCACCATTTATTAAATAGGGAATCCTTTCCCCATTGCTTGTTTTTCTCAGGTTTGTCAAAGATCAGATAGTTGTAGATATGTGGCATTATTTCTGAGGGCTCTGTTCTGTTCCATTGATCTATATCTCTGTTTTGGTACCAGTACCATGCTGTTTTGGTTACTGTAGCCTTGTAGTATAGTTTGAAGTCAGGTAGTGTGATGCCTCCAGCTTTGTTCTTTTGGCTTAGGATTGACTTGGCGATGCGGGCTCTTTTTTGGTTCCATATGAACTTTAAAGTAGTTTTTTCCAATTCTGTGAAGAAAGTCATTGGTAGCTTGATGGGGATGGCATTGAATCTGTAAATTACCTTGGGCAGTATGGCCATTTTCACGATATTGATTCTTCCTACCCATGAGCATGGAATGTTCTTCCATTTGTTTGTGTCCTCTTTTATTTCCTTGAGCAGTGGTTTGTAGTTCTCCTTGAAGAGGTCCTTCACATCCCTTGTAAGTTGGATTCCTAGGTATTTTATTCTCTTTGAAGCAATTGTGAATGGGAGTTCACTCATGATTTGGCTCTCTGTTTGTCTGTTGTTGGTGTATAAGAATGCTTGTGATTTTTGTACATTGATTTTGTATCCTGAGACTTTGCTGAAGTTGCTTATCAGCTTAAGGAGATTTTGGGCTGAGATGATGGGGTTTTCTAGATAAACAATCATGTCGTCTGCAAACAGGGACAATTTGACTTCCTCTTTTCCTAATTGAATACCCTTTATTTCCTTCTCCTGCCTGATTGCCCTGGCCAGAACTTCCAACACTATGTTGAATAGGAGCGGTGAGAGAGGGCATCCCTGTCTTGTGCCAGTTTTCAAAGGGAATGCTTCCAGTTTTTGCCCATTCAGTATGATATTGGCTGTGGGTTTGTCATAGATAGCTCTTATTATTTTGAAATACGTCCCATCAATACCTAATTTATTGAGAGTTTTTAGCATGAAGCTTGTTGAATTTTGTCAAAGGCTTTTTCTGCATCTATTGAGATAATCATGTGGTTTTTGTCTTTGGCTCTGTTTATATGCTGGATTACATTTATTGATTTGCGTATATTGAACCAGCCTTGCATCCCAGGGATGAAGCCCACTTGATCATGATGGATAAGCTTTTTGATGTGCTGCTGGATTCGGTTTGCCAGTATTTTATTGAGGATTTTTGCATCAATGTTCATCAAGGATATTGGTCTAAAATTCTCTTTTTTGGTTGTGTCTCTGCCCGGCTTTGGTATCAGAATGATGCTGGCCTCATAAAATGAGTTAGGGAGGATTCCCTCTTTTTCTATTGATTGGAATAGTTTCAGAAGGAATGGTACCAGTTCCTCCTTGTACCTCTGGTAGAATTCGGCTGTGAATCCATCTGGTCCTGGACTCTTTTTGGTTGGTAAACTATTGATTATTGCCACAATTTCAGAGCCTCTTATTGGTCTATTCAGAGATTCAACTTCTTCCTGTTTTAGTCTTGGGAGAGTGTATGTGTCGAGGAATGTATCCATTTCTTCTAGATTTTCTAGTTTATTTGCGTAGAGGTGTTTGTAGTATTCTCTTATGGTAGTTTGCATTTCTGTGCGATCAGTGGTGATATCCCCTTTATCATTTTTTATTGTGTCTATTTGATTCTTCTCTCTTTTTTTCTTTATTAGTCTTGCTAGCGGTCTATCAATTTTGTTGATCCTTTCAAAAAACCAGCTCCTGGATTCTTTGATTTTTTGAAGGGTTTTTTGTGTCTCTATTTCCTTCAGTTCTGCTCTGATTTTAGTTATTTCTTGCCTTCTGCTAGCTTTTGAATGTGTTTGCTCTTGCTTTTCTAGTTCTTTTAATTGTGATGTTAGGGTGTCAATTTTGGATCTTTCCTGCTTTCTCTTGTGGGCATTTAGTGCTATAAATTTCCCTCTACACACTGCTTTGAATGCGTCCCAGAGATTCTGGTATGTGGTGTCTTTGTTCTCGTTGGTTTCAAAGAACATCTTTATTTCTGCCTTCATTTCGTTATGTACCCAGTAGTCATTCAGGAGCAGGTTGTTCAGTTTCCATGTAGTTGAGCGGCTTTGAGTGAGATTCTTAATCCTGAGTTCTAGTTTGATTGCACTGTGGTCTGAGAGATAGTTTGTTATAATTTCTGTTCTTTTACATTTGCTGAGGAGAGCTTTACTTCCAACTATGTGGTCAATTTTGGAATAGGTGTGGTGTGGTGCTGAAAAAAATGTATATTCTGTTGATTTGGGGTGGAGAGTTCTGTAGATGTCTATTAGGTCTGCTTGGTGCAGAGCTGAGTTCAATTCCTGGGTATCCTTGTTGACTTTCTGTCTCGTTGATCTGTCTAATGTTGACAGTGGGGTGTTAAAGTCTCCCATTATTAATGTGTGGGAGTCTAAGTCTCTTTGTAGGTCACTCAGGACTTGCTTTATGAATCTGGGTGCTCCTGTATTGGGTGCATAAATATTTAGGATAGTTAGCTCCTCTTGTTGAATTGATCCCTTTAGCATTATGTAATGGCCTTCTTTGTCTCTTTTGATCTTTGTTGGTTTAAAGTCTGTTTTATCAGAGACTAGAATTGCAACCCCTGCCTTTTTTTGTTTTCCATTGGCTTGGTGGATCTTCCTCCATCCTTTTATTTTGAGCCTATGTGTGTCTCTGCACGTGAGATGGGTTTCCTGAATACAGCACACTGATGGGTCTTGACTGTTTATCCAACTTGCCAGTCTGTGTCTTTTAATTGCAGAATTTAGTCCATTTATATTTAAAGTTAATATTGTTATGTGTGAATTTGATCCTGTCATTATGATGTTAGCTGGTGATTTTGCTCATTAGTTGATGCAGTTTCTTCCTAGTCTCGATGGTCTTTACATTTTGGCATGATTTTGCAGCGGCTGGTACCGGTTGTTCCTTTCCATGTTTAGCGCTTCCTTCAGGAGCTCTTTTAGGGCAGGCCTGGTGGTGACAAAATCTCTCAGCATTTGCTTGTCTATAAAGTATTTTATTTCTCCTTCACTTATGAAGCTTAGTTTGGCTGGATATGAAATTCTGGGTTGAAAATTCTTTTCTTTAAGAATGTTGAATATTGGCCCCCACTCTCTTCTGGCTTGTAGGGTTTCTGCCGAGAGATCCGCTGTTAGTCTGATGGGCTTTCGTTTGAGGGTAACCCGACCTTTCCCTCTGGCTGCCCTTAACATTTTTTCCTTCATTTCAACTTTGGTGAATCTGACAATTATGTGTCTTGGAGTTGCTCTTCTCGAGGAGTATCTTTGTGGCGTTCTCTGTATTTCCTGAATCTGAACATTGGCCTGCCTTGCTAGATTGGGGAAGTTCTCCTGGATAATATCCTGCAGAGTGTTTTCCAACTTGGTTCCATTCTCCACATCACTTTCAGGTACACCAATCATACGTAGATTTGGTCTTTTCACATAGTCCCATATTTCTTGGAGGCTTTGCTCATTTCTTTTTATTCTTTTTTCTCTAAACTTCCCTTCTCGCTTCATTTCATTCATTTCATCTTCCATTGCTGATACCCTTTCTTCCAGTTGATCGCATCGGCTCCTGAGGCTTCTGCATTCTTCACGTAGTTCTCGAGCCTTGCTTTTCAGCTCCATCAGCTCCTTTAAGCACTTCTCTGTATTGGTTATTCTAGTTATACATTCTTCTAAATTTTTTCAAAGTTTTCAACTTCTTTGCCTTTGGTTTGAATGTCTTCCCGTAGCTCAGAGTAATTTGATCGTCTGAAGCCTTCTTCTCTCAGCTCGTCAAAATCATTCTCCATCCAGCTTTGTTCCGTTGCTGGTGAGGAACTGTGTTCCTTTGGAGGAGGAGAGGCGCTCTGCGTTTTAGAGTTTCCAGTTTTTCTGTTCTGTTTTTTCCCCATCTTTGTGGTTTTATCTACTTTTGGTCTTTGATGATGGTGATGTACAGATGGGTTTTCGGTGTAGATGTCCTTTCTGGTTGTTAGTTTTCCTTCTAACAGACAGGACCCTCAGCTGCAGGTCTGTTGGAATACCCTGTGTGAGGTGTCAGTGTGCCCCTGCTGGGGGGTGCCTCCCAGTTAGGCTGCTCGGGGGTCAGGGGTCAGGGACCCACTTGAGGAGGCAGTCTGCCCGTTCTCAGATCTCCAGCTGCGTGCTGGGAGAACCACTGCTCTCTTCAAAGCTGTCAGACAGGGACACTTAAGTCTGCAGAGGTTACTGCTGTCTGTTTGTTTGTCTGTGCCCTGCCCCCAGAGGTGGAGCCTACAGAGGCAGGCAGGCCTCCTTGAGTTGTGGTGGGCTCCACCCAGTTCGAGCTTCCAGGCTGCTTTGTTTACCTAAGCAAGCCTGGGCAATGGCGGGCGCCCCTCCCCCAGCCTCATTGCCGCCTTGCAGTTTGATCTCAGACTGCTGTGTTAGCAATCAGCGAGATTCCGTGGGCGTAGGACCCTCTGAGCCAGGTGTGGGATATAGTCTCGTGGTGCGCCGTTTCTTAAGCCGGTCTGAAAAGCGCAATATTCAGGTGGGAGTGACCCGATTTTCCAGGTGCGTCCGTCACCCCTTTCTTTGACTCGGAAAGGGAACTCCCTGACCCCTTGCGCTTCCCAGGTGAGGCAATGCCTCGCCCTCCCATTCTCACTCTCTTTATGTAGGAAACAGATATCTACAAATACCTATCACCAACTTTGACCTCTCCCTGAGCACCGGCACATCTTTCACTGAATTATTGAGTAAGACATTGTCCTAGGAACTTGGCATATACATAACGACAAGAGCAAACAAGAGAGATGCAGACTCTCTCCCTACTGGGCTTGCAGTCTAATCGTAGACACAAAAGATTACAACACACTGTCATAAGACTATAATGGGGAAAGCTTAGGGCACTGTGGGATGGCACAGGGAGACCATCTACCTGGATTTGAGGATTAAGAACTTCCAAGGGGACATGACACAAAAGCTGAAGCCTAAAGGTGAGTACAAGTTATCTATGTGAAATGGGGAAGACGAAGTGTACTATGGCCAAGAAAACAGCCAATATGAAAGCCATGTGGTAAGAGCACGGTACCAGGAAATGAAGAAAGTGGAGGTGTGCACGTGTGGACTCCTACACATGCACACTCTGTGGGTGTCACCGCTAGGAGCCAGAACAGAAAGGAAGGATCTTATGGGCTATTATCTCTGAATTTGAGCTTTATCCTCCAAACTATGAGGAGCCCTGAGATGGTTGAAGACAGGAGAGTGACATGACCAGATGCACATTTCTGAACTATCACTATGGCAGTGGTGTGAATGAGACATTAAGCAGGGCAGCTGAGAGCTTAGGAACTTGTTAAGGTTATTCAGGCAGCAGCAGTTCAGATATAAAGAAAGCAGCAGATTCCAGAACTCTTAAGAACCATTTCCTGTGACTACTAAGTTCTTCCAGCCTGAAGGCAAATTTCATTTTTACTTTTCTTCAGAGCTCCGCAGGAAAAAGACAGGACAAGTAGAAACCAGTCCTGCACTGTTAATTGACGGTCCAGAAAAGTAGAAGCTGGAGTGACGTGCTGCCCAGAGCCATACTCAGCACATTCTCAGCTTTGGATTTAAACCGACATATGTATCTGGCACAGAGGGCCTCGTCTCAACAGTAACTTGCCTTTGCTTGCCCAGTGAACCAAAACCATATTTTTAAAACATAGCAGTGTTAAAAACCTCAAAAATAAGTAAAAAGGAGATGAGTTTTGCTACACTACCTCTCAAAAATTTTTGGTTCTCTTACCACTTTACCTGATGGAGAAATTGTCATTAGGATCTCTTCAGTGAAAGCAAAAGATAGAAGGGCTTAATTTGTTTCTTCCAAAATATCCAAGCCTTATGGTTGCATTTCCAATGAGAATAATCTAGGATGGGGCAAAGACTTCTCCAAACGCATAAGGGAAGTAACTGGCCCAGATAAGCCAATGAGAGTTCACCAAGGACAAGAAGCAGAATCAAGATGGGCTAAACAAGTCTGATCTTACAGGCACTTGTGGTGTTGAAAATAAATGGCTGGAGGCGAGGAGGGTGGAAAGATTGTTACTATTCATAGAAATTATTAAGAAAATCCAGAATTACATGGTAAACTATAAGGGCAGTAATGCTGTCATTGACCTTTTGGTTGTCTCCCCAGTATTCCATCTGCCCCTCTAACATGCAGTTTGAGAGGAGCTAACCTTGACAAGAGCTTCAGAGGTAAGTTCTCACTGGCATTAGCAAGCCAATATTATCCTATACTCTGGCCAAGTACTGTTTCAGGAAGGACACTTACCCATGGCCACTATGATTAGCTTGGGGGTAGGCACATGAACTAGGTTAACAAAACTCTCGTTTGTTAGTTGGGGCAAATATGCTGTCTCAATCTCTCTGGATATGGACCAAGAAACATGTAACTCATGGGGCTATTGGCAGTTATCTCGCAACCATCATAGACAGGAGAACCAGACTTGAGATGACACTGATGGCATGATAGGTAGAGCAAAAAAATAGAGCTACAATGACACCACTGAGCCTTGGGATTAAATCCACCCCATAGGCCATTCTACAAATAAATTTGCCGCTTACCAACATCTTCTTCATCATTGAAGCCATTTTGTATTAGGATTTCTAAGTTTAGAAACTAAATGGGCCTGAGGAACAGCCTGGCAGTTGGATGGCTAGACTTGTATAGGGTCCAGAGGGCAACCATCAATGCAGAGTGATCACTTAGGATCCAAGGGCGGTCACCCCCATATGATCTTCCTTCTGCCTGAAGAGCCCTCAGCCCTGAAAAACAGGTGGTAAGTAGCAGGGAAGGCAGACATCTAATGAATGTGGAGAGGTGGGAGTGTAAGGGACACAGTGGGCTGAAACTTCTTCCCTCACCTGAGCATGCATTAGGAAGATGAGTCTGGAAACACTGGGCTTTGTCCTGAGGGTCCAAGTGGAGCAGTATTTGAGTCATTTCTACCTCCACCCAATCCACTTTTAACTATTTCTCATATCATTTTGCAATAAGAGATTTTCATTTCTCAAGCAAAATGAGGACAGAAATAGAAGAAGTTGGAGGAGCATTTCACAAATGATTAGAAACAAAGTATGAGATGCTTTTTTTTTCCTGTTGAAGGATAAGTACAAGAGGGAATCAGATACCTGCTTCAGGTGTGCATTTAAGCCTTCATGCGTGGCCTTCAGTAGTGCCCGCACTGTGAAACTATCAGGATCTTCTTTATCTCGAATTTGAGATTCTTTTAACAGTGACTCCAGTTTTTTCCTTATGAAAGATTCCACCTGATGCTCAGTGGTCCCATTACTCTGCAAAGAATTAAGTAACACAAATGATTTCCTTAAGAAACACACCGAATTAGAATATACCCTTTGATCAAGCCACAATTGCTTCTATAATTTCACTTCTCTCAATTACTTGTAAGAAATTAAGCTCAAGTTCATTGTACCATCTCAGTCTTCCCTCCTCCACAAATCCTTTAATAATAAGGATTACTATTTATTAAGAACTAATTCTCTGCCAGCTACTCTTCATGTGACTGCATTCAGTCCTCAGGAACCTTATAAGTATTATTATCATTTCCATTTCAGTGATATAGAATCTGATGCTTAGAGAGAAATCAAGTAAGTTGTTCCTGGTTACATAGCTAGCAAATAACTGAAGCAGGATTCAAACTCAGGACTCCAAAGCCCTTCCCCCTATGCTTATGCTATTTGATGCTTTTAACAGATAAAAGGCCAGGGAAAGTTTTTGGAAACTAAGTTTTCTAAACCTACATAAATAAATTAGAACAAAAATATGCTATTAAAATAAAACTACTTTTTTCACTGAGGAGAAAAGAATGCTATGGAAATTTCAGGAGTTGAGGATTATTGTGAGATATATTTCCTTACTATTTCCAATCCCATTGTATAGTTAGGGGGAACCCCAATTATTACCTCAGCCATGATTTGTCATTACAATTACTTTAAGATCACAACAAATTTCAAGGGGTTTGGATATCAGAGCTATGACCTGTCCAGATGATGACTCACAGAATTTTGAGGTGATCATGGGATATAGATTCTCTCAAAGTCCTGCTTAGCACAGCTTTTCGGCCATTTGTTCTGCTTGAAACCAATGGCCCCAGCCTCCGTTCATAGCTCTTCTGCTCTTCCAGTGCACCTACCTCTCCCTGTTTCCAATACCTTTCCATAAATTCTTCAACCACTTGCTAAAGACCAACCCCCCAAAGGGAGGAAAGGGATACTCCTTCACAAGAGCAATTCCCACATTCTTCACGAAAAGTTTAAGGCTGTTCTTCCATTTGCAAATCTATTTCTAAGAGGTCATTATATGTGGACTCTGCATAATGGGTAGCTTTCCAATAATGCATTCATTTTCACAAAATCCTGTAAGAGCAAAGCAATTATAAATGCCCTAAGGAAAAATTTCAAAAATCTATACCAGGATAGGTTATTGAATTTCCCTGTATCACTATCACATGCATTAATATCTTTAACATGCCCAATTAATGAGGCACTCCACTTCCCTGGAGACCTCCAGGTCCAGAAGGAGATGCAAGGATGAAAAAAGAGTTGGCTCTTAACATCAGAAGGGAACACCCTCCTGTCATGCTAGAAAAGGCATGTCCCCAAATATTCTACCCTGGTCATCAGAGATGCCCACAAAAGCACAGACAACCAATACAACAGAGTTTCTGATAAGGAACACGGCATTACTACCTGAGTGACTGAGAAGGCCCCACAAAAGAGGTGGGAAGTGATTGTAACTCATTGTAACTGAGATTTCAACAGTGATGGAAAGAAGGGCTTTCCTGCCAACCACAGTTCTAGCAAAGGATTTACATGAATTAAGAATGTTCTGTAAATGCAAAGAACACATGAGTTTTCCTAGAGTTCATGGAGTAGGGTAGTGGCAGATAAAGAACTTTGGAGAGCGGAGGGACTTGAAAGCAAGAGGTATGGAGCTGCTAAGAGAGTCTTTGAGTGAACAAGTCCTTGGGTAGCAACTCTAGAAACAGTATTAATC
Organism: Homo sapiens; assembly: GCF_000001405.40. Classification (NCBI taxonomy): domain Eukaryota; kingdom Metazoa; phylum Chordata; class Mammalia; order Primates; family Hominidae; genus Homo; species Homo sapiens. The sequence continues at coordinate 155,516,608 of NC_000003.12, forward strand.
TGGCAGCGTATGCCAAAAGAGGAAGTGTGTCTGCAGATGAAACATCAGGCACACTGGGCCCCAGTGCAGGTACTAAGTGCCTAGGCCAATGTGCTGGGGGTAGTTAATAAAGTTGAGAGATAGTTTGGGAACAAAACTCATTTTGTATTAAAAAAAAAACCATGTATTGTGTTTCTGCTGTGCCAGGTGAGAAGTATTAAAGAGGAATACCCCCCACTGTCACAGAGCCCTCAGTGTCATTGAGAAGGCCAACACATCCCTGGATAATTACACAAGCAGGAACAAGTAGAGAGGGGTAGCATATGCACACAGAGGAGGCGCAACTTGTCCAGCCTTGGGGAATCGGGGGACAATTCCAGGAGCATAAGAAACCTGAGTCAAGCCTTAAAAGATAAGTATATTAGTTTCCTGTGACTTGGCCAGGTGCCATGGCTCATGTCTGTAATCCCAGCACTTTGGGAGGCCAAACTGGGAGGATCGCTTGAGTCCAGGAGTTTGATATCAGCCTGGGCAACATAATGAGACCCTGTCTCTACAAAAATTTACAAAATTAGCTGGGCATGGTGGCATGCACCTGTAGCCCTAGCTACTTGGGAGGCTGAGGTGGAAGGATCCCATGAGCCCAAGAGTTTGAGGCTGCAGTGAGCTATGATCATGCCACATCACTCCAGCCTGAGCCACAGAGCGAAGCCCTGTCTCTAAAAAATAATAATAAAATAAAGTTTCCTGTGACCAATTTAACAAATTGCTACAAACCTGATATCTTAAAACAATAGAAATGTACTTATTTTCTCACACGTCTGGAGGCCAAAAGTATGAAGTCTAGGTGTTGGCAGGGCTACACTCCCTCTGAAAGCTCTAGGGGAGGATCCTTCCTTGCCTCTTCCAGCTTATGGTGGCCCTATGTATTCCTTGGCTTGTGGCAGCATCACTCCAATTTCTGTCTCTGTCTTTATATGGTCTTCTCATGCATGTCTCACCCATCTGTTTGTGTCTTCTCTTCTTATGAGGACATTGTCATTGGATTTAGGGCCCACGTGGTTAACCCAGGATTATATTATCTTGAAGTCCTTAACTTAATTACATCCGCAAAGACCCTTTTTCCAAATAAGCTCACATACATAAGTACCACGGATTAAGACTTGAACCTATCTTTCAGTGGCCACAAATGAACCCACTGTAATGACTAACAGCTGATCATCTGGCAAAGAGTAGGGGGACAGCATTTCAATGTGAGGAAAAGCATGGAGAAAACAAAAAGTATCAAAAGAACCAGTAATCATATGAGCAAGGAGAAATGAGCCACAGGGAAATACAGAAAAAGCAACTAAGATTGTACACAGTAGTCCCCCTTTATGCATGGGAGATACATCAAAAAATCCTCATTGGATGCTGAAAACCATGGATAGTCCTGACCCCTATGTATGCTGTGTTTTTTCCCATATAGTAATGGGTGGATACACTGGACAAAGGGATGATTCACATCCCACGTGGGGTGGAGTAGACAGTGCAAGATTTCATCACACTTCTCAGAATGGTGCACAATTCACAACTTACAAATTGTTTATTATAGAATTTTTCAATCAATATTTTGGGCCATGATTGACTGCAGGAAGCAAACCCACAAATAAGGGGGAGACTGTATTGTACTAAGGCTCCCAAAGCACTGTCATGTAAAGATACTTCATTTGAGCTGCTGAACCCTGTTTAAGGCAAACACTAGGGCTAGCCAATTTTTTCTCATAATGACACAGGCAGAAAGGTTCAGCCACTCAACCAAACACACAGGCCTATGAAAATGGCTGAATTGCAGCTTGAACCTCCTAAGACTTCCCATTCAAGACTGTGGCTATTTTTCCATACAATGCAGCAGCCATCCCTCTTATATTGTTACAGAAAAAGAGAAAAGAGAAATTCTTGAGTCAAAGTAACCATGCACAGGTTCATATTTTAAAAAGCCATTATTTCTATCATGGAACCAGGGAAATACATCATCACAATCCCTCTGGGAAAAACAATTTCACTTAAGGTCAGAAGCAAATCCAAGAAAAGAACTCCACGTCTCTAACCCCCAACGCATTTGATCAAGACCCAGGGCCCAAAGGAGTGTGCATTTGCTGCGAGGACAAAAAAAAAGAAAGCATTTAAGAGCACCTAGGGTATCCAGTATCACACAGAATGCTCCAAATGAGCATCCATTTCCTTCTCTCACTCAGGGCCTCACAAAGAGGCAGAGACTTCAAGTAAGGAGAAGATCTGTGGCCATAACACCAAGTCACTTTCACTGTCAGCAAGGAAAGGCTCAAAATACAAAGCCAGAGCCGATCCAGAGCTGGTAAAATAAAGAATGCTTAACACAAAAGCTATAATTATTCACTTCACATCCTCCAAATACTGGGAGCTGCTAAAGGAATGATATCTCTGCCTGTTGATCTTTTTCTGCTCTGTGATTTACTGCACAAGAAAATTGGCAGCTGTGAAGAACAAATAAATGTGTGGCTGAGGTTTCATTAATATATTATCATTCAGCCCTGGAATCCAATAGCACTACTGAAAGGAAGCTAAGACAGACACTTGACCTCGAGACCTATCAGGCACCATGCACCTGCAGCAGGGACCACAGCTGAAAGCCATATGTATCTTGCTCTTTTGTTCTCTGGGCCAATGGGTGAGAAAGGACGCTGCAGCTGGGGGCTGGGGGAGAGCAGTCATTTCATATGGTGGGTAGTTTCCACCAGAGAAGTAATCAGGGTTCTCAATTCCCTTTTTTGAGAGATAAATCTGATCTAGGAATCCCTCTACCACAAGTAAATAAATTAAACATATTCTCATTTTGTCTCCAGCATGAAGCTAAATCATCGCTGAATATGCAGAAGGATGCCCCAAACCACAACCATCATTCCAGACTGGGAAGATCCAGGAAAGGGGAGAAATTGGGTGCTGCTCCTTGAAAGGAACCTTCCAAACAGTGGGCTCTACCTGCACTACACATTGCAATCACCAGCAGAGTGCTCAGAAATCCCAGGCCATGCCCCAGACCCATGTATCAGAATCTCTGGGCCAAGACCCAGACACTGCGGTTTTTGAAAGCTACCCATCATTCCAATATGTGGCCAGAGTTGAGGAACTTTGCATTAAAAAAAAAAAGGCAAAAAAGTTGAGGACCTTTGCTTTAAAAAAAAAAAAAAAAAAGGCAAAAAACTAAAAACTGAAGTATTTCAACATCCCCCCAATTTTTTTTTCCTTTGGCTAAAGTCCAAAGATGGGAAGAATAATATATTGCTGCCCTTTCTGAGTGCCTTACTGCTTTCCAAGCTGTAAGACCTGAAGGTCTTGGCTGAAGAACAGCTGCTTCTCAGCCATTCAAGCCTGTGTGTTTACTCCTGTCCTCTACCATCTCCTGCCTGCTCCTTTAGCTCACTTAACAACATATTCTTCTGTTCAAGGACCAGTCATATCCATGTATTAGAAACAACTAGAATCTTCCAGGGAGATTCCAAGTCACCTTTATCATTCTCTACCCCTTGTCGCCAGGATGTACTAGCATGCCCAGCACCTGGGCTTTTTGACTCAATGAATGCTTTCAACAGCAAGACCTTGTAACCTCAAGAGGTAACTCATGCTGTCTTTGAGTGCTGGTATGTTTTAAACGAACAAGATTCATAATCCTTTTTAGGATAGCTCAAAGCATAAAAGGAATGATAGGAAAAAAGATGAGGGAGGAAAATTATTAAAGTGTTTAGTGAGAGATATACACATGCAGACTGGATAATGGTTTTAGAATATAAGACAAAAATTGCTACATGTCACTGCACCAGGACTCCTTTAGAACTTGCTGGAAGGCTTGGTGTTTATGGGATCAGCTTTACGTAGGAGATACAGAGCTAATGTTTATGCCCAAGAAGCTGGCAAAACAGATTTAGAGAGCACAAGATAAAAGACACTGCATAACTCAGCAGAAGCAGAAAAAAATTAATGAAGTTAAAATACAGAGGTGGAAAGTGTGTAGAGCACACTGACATTAGAAGACCCATAAAGATGAATAATGGTGACTTCGCCTCACAGAATCAAATCTGTTAGATTACTACTCTGTGGTTGAAAGGAACTTGTCCTCTGTGTCTCTGAGTTGTATGATTCTTGGGTCACTGAACACACTGGCTTTACCTTGTGGCTTACCCATTGTGAGCCAGATTTTCTCTATGGCTGGAGCCACAAAATAATATGTGGTAGAAGCTTAAAAGATTCAGTTAATTCAACAACAGAAGCATTTATTACATAAGAAAAAAACTTAACAGTATGGCTTAAACCGCTAGCTTAAAAGTAACAGGAGTCTTGTCCTCCTGCTCTGCATCTAACTCCAGGGTGGTGCCGGGAGAGCCTCAAATCCCGCTTCTGGCCTTTGCGCTTGGGGTTCTTTCTGCCTGGAACATTCCTCCTCAGGTATCAGCATGGCTAACTCTTCACTTCTTTCAGGCCTTTGTTCAAATGCATCTTCCCTGTGAGGCCTTTCGTTGACATCCCATCTAAAATTTCAATAGATCCCTTACATATACACATGCATAAGTGTGCACACATGCACACAGACACACACACACTTTTTTCCTTTAGCACTGATCACTGTCTAGTACACTATATATTTTACTTATTTGTCTTATTTCTTGTCTATCCTCCTCTTCTCCCATTGATGTGTAAACTTCACAAAGGCAATGATTTTTGTCTATTTTGTTACTGATATATCCTCCAATACCTACAACAATGATGAGCACATGTCCAACAGGAGATGTTTAATAAAAGTTTATTGAATGTACAAATGAATCTTACATGACCTCATGAGAGTTGGTGTTCCAGTGTAAATGAATGCAAAGTTAAAATGTGTATTTATTGCAATAATTCAGATATAAATCTAACCACATTCTCTCAACTTAAAACTGAGGTTAAGAGCTTCCTCTAAGATAATTATTGGTTCATATAAACTATCCAAAGTACACCCTCTTTTGCAGAAATATGATCAGATATTCAGTTTCTCAGGGAATTTATTATAAATTCACCAGTCAGGGCATTTGAGCCCTCTGCCAACAATAGGACTATAAATGGTCTGATTACAAGATAATACTTTGCCTTTCTAAACACGGCATTGCCTTTTCTCAGAAAAGCTCAAAAATAGCAAAAAACAATTTGAAATATTTCTCCAATGTTGATTTACTTCTTTTCTCTTCCAAAATATAACAAAGAGATGCCTATAAACATTTACAGTTAAGGTGCTCTACTTTCACTTAGGGCCAAACCAAAGAATCCAAATGAAAGATCATATCTAACTCCATGGAATCATGTTCCAAACCATCTCCTGATGTGGGTTTCCAGAAATCAACTACTCTTAGTAAAGAAAAGAGGAATCCAGTTGGATACTCCAATTTGTTCCCATAAGACTACAGCTTACTATTTTTTGCATAACTACATATATTTAACTTAGGAAGTTGGAGAGCTCACTGGCATCAGAAGAAAAATGAAATAGCTGAGTGAATAATGATAGATCTACACTATGGCTGGCAACCAAGAGATCTAGAAAACAAGATGCAAAATGATAAAAAATCAGAGACAAAAATCTGGTTTATAAAGTAATGCTAAAAAAAAAGCTAAATTATCCATAATCATAATTAATTATAAAAAATAAATACCTAGAGGAGAAAAAAGCAACTATTTAAAATATTAACTGTATAATGACACCTCAAGCATAGTTTTCAATCATGTAACTCTATTTAGATTTTCTGTAACCATAGCCCTATTAATTAATGGTATTTAATTTTGCTAACATAAACTATTAAAAGGCAAGAGAAGAATACAGATAGTAACTTTTCCTTTTCACTTCAAGCTGAATCTTCTCCATTTGGCCCATTTAAAGGGCATTAAAGCCAAGAAAGAAGTGTCTACTGAGACATCAGCTCTCATTAAGCTCTTGTCCCCTTTGAAAATAATGCCAGCTCATTTTCACAACTACAGGAAAGCCAACACAGAATTATCTGAGAGTGGACTGTTGTTAACAATGTAATAACTGAATTCAGGGCAATGGTGTAAATTACAAGAATTTATACAAAATTTCTCTCTCTTTTTTTTTTTTTTTTTTAGAGGGTAGAATCATAGTCCTGATGTCTAGAGGACTAACCTTTTCTGTAGAAATAAAATTCTATACCAAACTATCATCCCTGTGTGCTCCTCTCAGGTTGCTGTGTTACTCTAGCAATCACATGAGTTATAGAGTTACAGAAAGAAGCGATGAGGCATCTTTTTAAGTCTTATATTTCCCTCAGGTTTGTATTTCCCTTGGATCACCTGGCTAAATGATGCTTTTCTTTTTTTGCGGGGGGGGTGGGGTGTGGGGTTGGAGGTGGGGACGGAGTCTCGCTCTGTCGCCCAGGCTGGAGTTCAGTGGCGCGATCTCGGCTCACTGCAAGCTCCGCCTCCCAGGTTCACGCCATTTTCCCGCCTCAGCCTCCGGAGTAGCTAGGACTACAGGCGCCCACCACCACGCCCGGCTAATTTTTTTTGTATTTTTAGTAGAGACGGGGTTTCACCATGTTAGCCAGGATGGTCTCGATCTCCTGACCTCGTGATCTGCCCGCCTCGGCCTCCCAAAGTGCTGGGATTACAGGCGTGAGCCACCGCGCCAGGCCTAAATGATGCTTTTCTACAAAGGAGGCTCCTTCATCTAGAAAAGGGGGCTGACACACCAAGTGAGTAACAAACTATTCCATGCCACTTTATTGAAGACTTGACAAATTAAAGATTTAGCCAAGAGGTCCATGTCTGGAAGGGCTTGGAAATCCCTCTGGTCCAAGGTACATTTTCTTAAAGAGGGCATGGGCATCCCAGAGAAGCAGGTCCACGTGCAGGTGGGGTTCCTCCAGCCAGCCTTGACAGGGAGCATGGGGGGCTGCTAGCACGAGGTAGGGAAGGCAATGCTAAAAGTAAAGCCAGCTTTTATTATCAAAGACAGTAACATTTCCAACTACAATTTGATTTTTGAATTTGTAATAGGAAATTTATCCCTGGAGAGAGGGTTGAATGAATTAATCACTAAAATTCCTTCCAACACTCAGACACAAGAATCCTTGACTCATTCATTCAACAAACATTTGAATGTCTATGTGCCA